>NC_000023.11:49528394-49878679 GCF_000001405.40 Homo sapiens | reverse complement strand
GGGGGCCGGGCTACCAAGGCCGCTGGGCCTGGAGAGGCGCGTCCCTGGCCCATCTTATCAGCGCTCTGCAGGGTCTGGGCCTGCTGCTCGCGTCCTCCTGGGCTCCCAAGGCCACGGGTGGGTTAATGGCTTGACAGCCGGCCTCCTGGCCCAGCAGACGCTGAGCAGCCCGATGGCACAATCCACCTCTTCTCTCCAAGGCCAGCTGGAGGGACGAGGCACGACAAGGCCATCCCTACAGCTGGCACTTCCCCTACAGCTGAGAGGGGGCCTAAACTACAGGACACACTCCCAAGACCCTTAAGCCCTGGCAGCATCCCGGGGGAGGGGGGCAGCAGGTGGAAGTGGAAAGAAGCCTGTGGAGCTGCCAGCAGGGAGAGGGAGTCGGACATGAGGCTGAGAGGCCTCTGGGAACCCCTGTGCCAAGGGGCTGCTGGCACTGGGCAGCAGCACCCCAGAGCCCACGAGGAGTGTGCCCAGAGCAAGTGGCTCAGACCTGGGTCATGGCTCGAGGGTGTCGGGCTGTAGCTGCTGGTCCCAGAGAGTGCAGCCCAGGGCAGGCATCAGGACAGGAGTAGGAGGAGAAAGAGTGTTCTAGGAAGAGTCTAGTCCCCTAATCCTGGTGGTGGCTGGCTGTAGCCTAGTGCACGCTGTCTGGCTTGTGTGGCTGTGCTGCCTGAGTATACATACCCTAGCAACATTCTCCTTGCTCAGCACTGGACATCAGCTCTCCACCTGGCCCCTTCCTCTAGGGAGGGGATGGGGAGGCCTCCTAGGGTTAGCAGCAGGAGTTGGGCCTCAGGAATCAGGAGCCCTTGAAAGGAGGATGCGTGGTTCCCATAAAACTGAGGGTTGCCCTGGGCCCTACCCTTCCTGAGTCAGCTCTTGCTTCAATTCCTTGAAGCACCCCAGCATCCTTTCAATAAATGCCTGCCCTTTGTGGCCTGCAACCAGAGGAACTGCAACTAGCACACTCACTGAAGGAATCCTGCTGCTGCTGCTGCTGCTAAAAACAACCGAGGTCATGGATGAGGGGGTGGAGGATACTCTCATCCCACCTCCAGACTGACAACAAAAAGACCTAAAGATCTCTGTGTACCTGGGACTGTCTACCATTGAAGATTAGCCATGGTAACTTGTTGACTTAGTGATCAACTTCCTGCAGAAGCCCATAGGTCCACCTGGACTCTGCCCAGGCCAGCGTGTTCTGAAAATGGAGGGCTCTGTCACCATTCACTCAACAAATGTTTATTCTGCACTGACCGAGGGCCAGATGTACCAAGAGCTGTGGACACAGCACTCCAACTTACTCCAGGGCTACTGAAATCAGGGATGGCTTCCCCAAAAGGCACACTAAGGAAAGTCTATGTCACTAGCAGAGAAGAGGCACCAAAGACAAAAAATCAAAAAAGAAAAAATACCAGAAACAGTTTGACATTTGATTTTTTTTAAGTAGTCCTCGTGGGAAAAATCAGAACTTTGTTGTACTTCCTTACATTCATTTCCTGATTACATGATGCTTTTGTTTTGAATCACGTGTGGAGGGTGTCACCAAAATCTTTAGATGCTTTGTCCTTATGTGGATCTGGACCCAGATCCTAGCAAATGTTACCATCTCTGCCTCACAAAGATCTGACAGAATGCAGGCAGTTGGGGCTATCCTTAGGAGAGACAGCTCTCCTTCGCAGTAGATGCACCTGGGTGATAAATCCAACTCTGACCACAAGGTGGCAAAAGAGTAAATGACAATTCCTCATATATGTTTTGTATGTTTATATAAAACTATTGGTTTATATAAAATGCTCTCTAAAAATATTAAGAAAAACGTGTGCTCCTTCACACATTTTTGGGTTGATGTCTGATATTTTGCATCACAAATGTCAATTGGCTACAAATAATGTAATTTGTGACAAATGTTAATATTCAAAAATAAAACTGTTATGTCACTATTTCACATGAATCCGGTGAAACCTAAATACCTTAGTGACTTGAGAGCCACCATCATCTGTTTTAAAAATGTATAACTGAGCTCTTCTTTGATACTTGGAAGTTGTACATTTTCCCTTTTCTCAGCTCTTAATTCCATTCTGTTTTTCCAACAGAATTTTGTCTCAATAATTGTCTGTTTTTTCACTTGAAATGTTTTTGATTATCCTATCGTATTTCTCTGCAGCAAAAATGTGTATATATTTTTCAATTTAAATGCTCTTTAAATGTTCCTCTGATTATAAGGCTCTAAGTGTTGTTTAAAAATTTGCTCTTGTTTGAATTATCATGACAATTAGTATTAGAATAAAATGGATCAAAACATTGTGAATATATTACAAATTTTGATAGGTAATTATTAAACGTAAAACAAAAGTTCATTGTAGATAGGGCTTTTTTAAAAAAAATTAATGGGTGTATCCATGGATAAACATTGCTTTTTGCTAGAATGAGATAGGCTTCAGCATCAATTCTCTTCCTATTTTTTGTTTGGTTAAATGTTAGCACACAGAAACCTCATTTATATGAATAAGTGAATAGGAATGGACATTTTGTTTTAGCAATGCACGCAAGTCTTTGAATTCCTTTGGAGATATATGGGGGGAAATTACACAATGATTTATCCTCAAAATTATTTCTCATGATTTATCAGCTGATAACTTCATAGGTTTTTTCTTCAATTCTACTGGAAGCAAAGAATTGGAAACCATCTGAGTTGCAAAAGGATTTTATCCCCATTCATTTGTTAGAGCAAGTTGTTTGTTTACCATCGTCAGCATTGTTCGGAATTGTCTCTCCTGTGCCCCAAGGATTTTACATCACAGGGCAGCGCACCCAGGTTAAGATTCAGGATAGGTAAAAGATATGCTTTTTCTTTTGTAAAGTGCAAAAAGGACCATTGTGAAAGGGGAGATAGAAAAAGAGAACCAGTTTGATTCCTACACTGCAAGTATGTTCTCTGGCAGGTCAATTTTAAAAGACTACACAGGAAATTTGAGGATATAGAAATTGATCCCCTTAAAACTCCTGTACTCCAGGGTGATGCACATTCCACTTTAAAAGTTGCTAGTTTATATTTATTATTATAAAAGTAATATATACAATATTCGTGTTTTTTTAATAACAAGGTATACAAGGCATAACATGAAAAGTTAAAGCTCTTCCCTCCCCCGCCAATCACACCCATTTTTATTCCCCTGAGATAACTACTTGTTAGCACTTTCACATTTAGCCTTTAAGAAATTGTCTATGCAAATACAAGCATGTTTTATACATGCAGTTGTCCCTTGGTAATCCGTGGGAGATTGGTTCCAGGACCCCTGTGGATACCAAAATCCATAGAGATTCAGGTCCCTGATATAAAATGTTGTGTAGTATTTGCATATAACCTATACACAGCCCCTCATATACTTTGAATCATCTCTAGGTTACTTTGAATCATCTCTAGGTTACTTTGAATCATCTCTAGGTTACTTTTTGTATCATACCTGATACAATGCAGATGCTATGTAAATAGTTGCCGTACTCTATTGTTTAGGGCAGCGATCCCTAACCTGTTTGGCACCACCAGGGACCCGTTTTGTGGAAGACTTTTTTTTTTTAACGGCGGTTGGGAAGGGATGGGGGGCTTCAGGGGCGGGGAGATGGTTTCCGGATGAAACTGTGCCACCTCAGATCACCAGGCATTAGATTCTCATAAGGCGCGTGCAACTTAGATCCCTCGCATGCACAGTTCACAATAGCGTTCATGCTCCTATGAGAATCTAATGCCGCTGCTGATCTGACAAGAGGCGGAGCTCAGGCCATAATGCTGGCCCGCCCGCTGCTCACCTCCTGCTGTGCGGCCCGGTTCCTAACAGGTGGCCCCCCGGGTTGGAGACCCCTGGTTTAGGGAATAGTGACAAGAAAAAAAGTCTGTACCTGTTTGGTACAGATGCAACCATCCTTTTTTTTTCCTGAATATTTTCCATCTGTGTTTGGTTGAATCCCATGACTCGGAACCCACGGATATGGAGGTCCAGCTGTATTTTTTTAATGAAATATAAATTAGACTGTAATATATAGAAGTTCTCTCCAAATTGATCTACACACCCAGTGCAATGCCAGTAAAAACTTCCAATGAGTTTTTTGGGGTAGACTTTAAAAAGTGATCCTTAAATTACTATAAAAACTAAAAGGCATTTTCCCCCTTCCTGATTTCTCTTTCTCCTTTCTGGAAATGAGGATTTAAAGGCTATAGCTTATAGCCATTTTGCAACCAATCATGATGGAAAGACCAAAAAGCTGATCACCTCTGGACCTATCCTTACATGAGAAAAAAATATATCATATTTTGTCAACTCTAAGAGGTACATCTTAAATGAAAATCATTTAAAGATTTTCAACATCCCTGAAATCTTTAAATGACAATTTATGATTATATTTGGCAGCATTTTTTTTTCTTTCTTGGTGGCACATAATATACTGGAGTGTCTCACAGGCAATAGTGTCTTAAGATCAGTGTAATGCTCAAAATGTCATCCTATTTAAGTCTTTGTTATTTGGAACCTGGTTATATGTAGCTGAATACAATATTCCTAGGTGATAGCAAGCTTCTTATTTTCACTCCTGATGGAATTTCAAGTTCTTTTCCTGGCCTTTAAGGCCCTACTGATTCTGGCCTTAGACTCTTAGACCTCACTTTCTATCAACTTAGCATTGCCTCAAACAAACTCGATTTATTGCTGTTCTTTGAATAAGCTAAGCTGGCTTCTGCTTCCAGGCCTATGCCCTTATTGTTTCTTCTTCTTCTTCTTTTTTTTTTTTTTTGGAAAGCTCTTCCCTTAAACACCATCACCACATGATATGTTAAATCACCACCACATGATATATTATATATTACACACACACACACATAATCAATATAAACTCCATGAGAGTAAAATGTTTACTATTGTATTCCCAATGCCTCCTTGGGACTTAATACATATTTAAATATTTGTAAAATGAACAAATGTATGTTTTTCATTGTGCATGAAATCAACCATATTTTCTTATGTTTATTGATCATTTTGTATTACCTTTTTTGCAAACTGCCTATTGACATCCTTTGCCTATTTTTCTTGTGGCTTCTTATTAATCATTATCATAAGTAACACTTGTATGGTACTTGAAGTATGCCAAAAGCTGCTCTATTAAATTATTTAAACCTCACCACAATTTTGAGAAGTAGGTGCTGTTATCATCCCCATTTTACATGTGAAGGAACTGAGGCACAGAGAGATTGAGAGACACCCAAGAGGTTGGGCTGTTAGCTACTAGCCCATTGTGTGTCAGAGTCTAGTGTACATATGTGTTTTTCCCATTTATCATTGGCTGTTGTATTTTACTTTATTTTTTACCATATGATGTTTAAGATTATTATGTAAACAAGTTTCTGAAACTTTTATTTGTGGATCCTGAATTTTGGTGTTGTATTTGTGAAAGTTTTTTTTTCCTGATTATAAAAGTATAGAGCAAGGGAAAAGGGCCCGAGACAAAAAAAAAGGGTGGGGGCTTGATGATTTCAACAAACGAAAATAAGGCCAGAAGGGCTTGAGCTTAGTGACCAAGAAGGAGGAGAGTGGCATAAGTGGAGGATGAAGATAGAGGTGCAGGCAGGGGCCAGATTACCTGGAGCTTTGTAGACAATTATATAGAATTTGAATATTGTCTCAATTGCAATGAGAATCATTTGAAAGCTTTTAAGCAAGGAAATGACATGAAATGATTTATGGTTTACATACAATAATTGTAATCAAATCATAATAATAGTAACTAACATTTATTAATTGCTTATGATATGCCAGGCAGTGTTTTATAAGTGTCTTATCACACCCTGATGGGGTAGGTACTAATATTATTCTCACTATACAGATGAGGAAACTGAGGCACAAAAACCTTAAGTACCTTCAATTTGCCTACGCTTACTTTTTGCTTCTATGCCTCTTCCTATTCAGAATATACCTAATTTCAACAACGAGATGTCTGATGCCTACTTTTTCCATGCCACTGATGTCTCACTAGTGGCCTGCAAGTCTTTACGCAGGTAAAGAAAAGGGAAAGAGCAAATCCATTTAGCACCAGGGCCCCTAGGTCTAAGAGTTGATCAGGTAGGCTCCTCCCATCCATTTGGACCATGCCCAACTGCTTAGGAATAGCCATGCTGCTGGCCCATTCATGATTACCAAGGGAGTCAGCTCAGCAACCCCTGCTACCAATGCAGCAGGACTAGGCCTTGCATCCTGTACTCCTGTAGCCATACCAGCAATCAGGGAACTGAGGAATGGGGTCATCAGGATCTACCACAGGCTTCCAGGAGATTCCAGCCCTACAGAGGGAAGAAGCAAGGCTAGTGGTGTGGAAGGGGCAGGGAATGGAGGAGCCCAAGCCTTCCTTCAAGCACACATCTAGCCCTAGGTAGCCTGCACCCATGTGATTCCAATGGCCCAAGCCCTTCTCTGGCTGAAAGAAAGGAAAGGCTCAAAGAGACAGCAAAGTCAAGGTTATAAGAGATGACAGCAATGATGTAGATTATACTGCATCATACCATGACCAGCTATTTCCCCAGTTTTCACCACATAGTGCCCCCAGCTAGTCTGTTTCTTAGCACCCCTCAGTCTTCAGTACCTCTGACTGTACCCCTTCAGAATGATGGCCCATTTGACTTATACTTTTGATTCTCTATCTATCTGCATTACATGGGCTCTGTACCAGCCTCCTGCATGCTGGCACAACACCTGGCAAACTGCCTATCTATCTTGCCCCTGCCTTTTAGGAAAACCCTGGAATCCCCAAATCTGTGTCCAGTGCTGGAGTTAGCCCTGTGGGATATAGCTGGCCCTGGGCCTGAGCTTAGACAGAAGCACCACGAATAACACATTCTGCAATTTTACTCACCGAAGTTTGGAATCTGACTTCTTGTGCTTGTCCTGAATGCCTCTTTCAAGCTTGAAGAGTGGGGAAGGGTATATTGCACCCAAATTGGCAGATAAAAATCTTAATCACACTTTTAATTCTTTTTCAAAATATTAATCCTTTTAAAACCACAAAAAGCAATACAAATGAAATTATATAACCTCAATAGAAGGAAATTCAGCAATGTCTCCACAATTACATGTGTATTCACTATTTGACTCAGTAATCCCACTTCTGGGAATCTGACCCAAAGATACAAAATGACATATGCACAAGGTCATTCATTGCAGCACTATGTGTAATAACAAAAGACTGGAGGAAAATAAATGTCCACCACTAAGGGAGTAGTTGAATAAATTGTAGTGGAGCCATGAAATGAAGTATTATGGAATGAGACAGATTTCTATATAGTGAGATTAGGATTAACAGCTGGAATATATTGTTAAGTGGACAAACCAAGTACAGATCATTGTATATAGTATGCTACCTTTTGGGTAAGAAAGTTGGGGAAATACAAATATTTACAGAAACATTTACTTACATCTTAGAAATAAATGGTACAATGGAATGTAAATTAACTTAAATGGTTACTTATGGGGGAAGGAGGAAATAGGGTGGAGGGAATAGGCAAGAAAATGAGATGTTTCTAAAGTCCCTTGTTTTACAGCTTTGACTTTAGAATCCTGTCAATTAAAAAGAAAAAAAAATCTCTAAAAGCAAACTGAATCAAATGACCCTAACTGTGTAGCAAATTGATGGTATAACCACACAAAGAAAATGTTTATTTCAAGTAACTTAGAAACAATGTTCTGACTATACATCTCCCATGGGATATACCCCAAAGAAAAAAGGAACTGTGTTCAGTAGTCTTTTTCTAGTAGTATTATTGGTATTATTATTTTGAAACTGTTAAATGTATGTTGTAGGATAAAACAAATAAGTAATTATGATAATGTTGTCAGGAATCAAGATTTTTAACATAAAGTAAGGAAAATCATGCAGTTATAAAATTCAAAAAGAAAAAAACTCTGTAGTCTTACTTTTAGAATACAAATATCCACGTGAACTTATAATTTATTTTTCTTTTTCTAAAAAGTACATATTTTCTAGTTCTGTCCACTGAAAAGACATAGCAGAATGGTCTCTACATATCATTTCCTACCAAAAGGAGCCAATCCTCCTTGGAGAAATGATGTTTCCAGGTCTGTAACAGGAAAAATACAAAATGAGTCTGGAACATCTTGGTTTGCTAGAAAGCAAATGAGATATCAAAGACTAATGGAGTTATGCCAAAAGAACACAGGAACCATTATGAAAGGGTTCTCACTTGCCTATATTGGGACAATTAAAGATGCTGCAGTTCATGAAGCATCAAATGTATAAAATACATGAGTTCATAATGACATTTAAAAACATTGGTCACCCCTGAGTGATACTAGGGCAACAAATCATTATTGCAAAAATAAAATAAAGAGAAAAATCAAGAATTTATGTCACCTTTCCAGTATGAACTGCATTTCAGGGTAACCAAATACTTAAAGACGTTCTTTTATATGCAACAATTTCAAACAGAAAATGCAGGAGAAATTGTAGAATTAGTATATCCCCCTTTGCAATCCCTAATGAAATAATAGATCCAGGCCAAGGTTGCTTAACCCTGGCACTATTGACATTAGTGGCTAGATAATTATCTGGGGGCTGTCCTATGCACTGAAGGATTTTTAGCAGCATCTCTGGCACCTATCCACTAAATGCTAATAGCACTCCCCCATCCGCCACCCCCCAACCAGTCATGACCATAAAAAAATGTCTCCAGACTTTGTCAAATGTCCTCTGGGGGACAAAATTTCCTCTAGTTGAGAACCACTTATCTAGGGCAATGATCATGAACAGATAAAAAAGATTAGGTAAAATAGCTGTTGGAACTTTACAAAGGAGGGATCAGGTTGATACCAACTGAACCCACCAATCAATTTGAGCATCACTGAGTGGAAGAGCTACATATTAGGTGCCTCCTGATGTGATACAATAGGAAGCATGCAGCATCACCTGTGATGTATTGATAATGCCAAAAGTAAAAATTGAACCGAAATCTAATCAAATGTCTAGCTCTCTAACTCCCAGTTTATGGTGAATATAGGAGATAGAAGAACAAGTTTGATGTCACCACTGGGAAACAATCAGCCAAATCCAGAACGTGGGATATTTTATAGGAAAAATGACCTGATTAACAACCAAATTAAATGCTACATTCAGTTTGGATCCTATTTTTTTTTAAATCAGCTTTAAAAGTACTTCTTGACACAATCATGGAGATTTGAATATGAATTGGTATTTAATTATATTTAGGAATTATTAATTAAAAAATTGTGGTAATGGTATTGTAGTTATGTAAAAGAATTTTCTGTTAGAGATGCATACTCACATTAAGTGAACTCATATAATATCTAGGATTTGCATTTAAAAGACTCCCACAAATCTTAGGGTGGGGAGGATAAATGAAAGAAGAGTCGCAAAATGTTTAAAATTGTTGAAGCTGAGTAAACGGGGTTCATTTTACTTATCTCTCTACTTTTTGTGTATATTTAAATCTTTCCATGATAAAATGATTTTTCCAAACAAAGCAATAGAATTTCTGTTTCCAGAAAGATGTGGTAGGTGTACTTTTCCCTTTTCTACCTGCTAAGTAAAGTTATAGACCCTGGACATTGTATAAAACATAAACATAAGAAGACTCTGAAAAGTAGATAGTATAAGGCAGATAGCTATAGACCTCAGAATGACACAGGAATGACACAGCAGTGAGTCCCCTGAGGATGTTTTTCCCTCGTATATGCTGGACTGGGTGCTGGAGAAGCTGATAACCTGGAAACACCAATGAGCATAGACAAAAAAGGAAAGAAAGAAAGAAAGAGAGAGAGAAAGAAAGAAAGAAGCTTTAAGGCTTAAAAAAAGCCTACTCTCTCTAGGCAAAGGAACAGGAAAGGGGCAACCTTTCATGACAGAAGAGTTTTAGGTAATAATCACCACTCTACTCCAAACCAACACCACAGAAAAAATTGCGGTACCACCCATGCTAACAGAGGCCAAATGGGAAACTTGGACTTCCACCCTTGGCAGGCTGTAACAAAGTGCCCAAATCCCCCATCAGGGAGGCGTCAGAGAAAGGCAAGTTGGGAGCCAAAACTTATTAGTTCTGGGCAATAACAAGCCCCCTCTGACACAGTGCCAGTGGAGACTACATAGGAAGCCTGGACTTCCACAGCCACCTGGAAATAAGGAGGGGGTCCCTCCTCTTTTACCCACTGGAGTGGTATCAGAGGAGGTCTAGTGTAAAATCAGCACTTTCACAACCAGCCAGCAGTTACAAGCACACCCCCGACCATTACCACCATGGTGTTAGTGGAGAGCATAAGGAACCATAACAAGGCATCCCTGCCCCTCTTGGCCTGTGTGCTATCAGCAGAAGCATTGTGGGGAACATGAACTCCCACATTGCCAAGGAGTAATGGGGAGACCCTCCTCCCAGTATCAAAGGAGGCTGAATGGAGAATCTGGACTTCTACTCCACCTGACCATAATGAAGTGGCGCTCCCCTTTTCCTGTCAGACCAGTGTCAGAAGGAGGCTGATAAAACAGAAGATCCAGAGTCTCATAACTTAACACTCCAAATATCCAGCTTTCGATAAAAAAATCACTTATATCAAAAGCCAGGAAAATCTCAAATGAGAAAAAAGACAATCAAGAGACACCAACCACAAGATGACACAGATGTTCATAAAGATGCTTTGACAATAAATTACAAACATAAGCAAGACAAATGAAAAAGTATAAAGTCCCAGCAAATAAATAGAAGACATAAAAAGAACTAAATGGATTTTTTTGGCGGGGGGGTTGTTTGTTTGTTTGAGATGGAGCCTCATTTTCTCTCCCAGGCTGGAGTGCAGTGGTGCAATCTCAGCTCATTGCAATCTCCACCTCCCAGGTCCAAGCGATACTCCTGCCTCGGCCTCCCAAGTAGCTGGGATTACATGCTCCTGCCACCAGACCCAGCTAATTTTTTTTTTTTTTGTATTTTTAGTAGAGATGGCCAGGCTGGTCTCGAACTCCTGATCTCAAGTGATCCGCCCACTTTGGCCTCCCAAAGTGCTGGGATTATAGGAGTGAGCCACTGCACCCGACCAGATATTTTAAAACTGAAAAACATGATAACAAATTGTAAAACATAGTAGATGGATTCAATAGCAGAATAAAATGGACAGAGGAAAGAATCAGTGAACTTGAAGATAGAAAAATAGAAATTACCCAGTGTGAATTACAGAGAGAAAACAGTCAAGAAAAAAAAAATAAACAGACCTGGGGAACGTGTGGGACTATAATAAAAGATCAAACATTTGTGTCATGGAAGTTAAAGAGAGGAGAAAAAAAGATGAGGCTGAAAAAGTATTCAAAGAAACAATGGCTGAAAATTTCCCAAGACATAAACTTACAGATTCAAGAAGTTGAATAAGTCTCAAATAGGATAAACACAAAGAAATCCATACCAGGACACATCATAGTCTAACTTTTGAAAACAAAATCTTGAAGGCAGTAAGAGAGAAACACCACCTTGTCTATAGGGGAAAAACAATTTCGATCACAGAGAATTTCTCACCAAAAAACCATGGAGGCAAGAAGTAAGTGGCACAACATTTTTCATCTGCTGAAGGAAAGAACTGTCAATCCAGAATTCCATATCTAGCAAAAATATCCTTCAGGAATGAAGGGGAAATCAAGATGTTCTCAGTTGAAGAAAACTGAGAGAATTTGCCACCAGCAAACCTGACTTAAAAGAATGGCTGGGCCAGGTGCAGTGGCTCACGCCTGTAATCCCAGCACTCTGAGAGGCTGAGGTGGGTGGATCACCTGAGATCAGCAGTTCAACACCAGCCTGGCCAACATGATGAAACCCCAACTCTACTAAAAATACAAAAATTACCCAGACATGGTGGTGCGAGCCTGTAACCTCAGCTACTTGAGAGGCTGAGGCAGGCTTGAGCCTGGGAGGCGGAGGTTGCAGTGAGCTGAGATCATGCCACTGCACTCCAGTCTGGGCAACAGAGTGAGACCCTCTCTCAAACAAAAAACAAAACAAAAAAATATAGGTAAATATAATAGATTTGTCCTTTTCCTCTTGAGTTTCCTAAATTATGTTTGATAGTTAAAACAAAAATTATAACACTATCTGATATGGTTCTCAATGTATGGAGAGGAACTATTTAAGACAATTAAATTATAAAGGAAGTAGAGTAAAGAGAGGTAAGGTTCTACACTTCAACCAAAGTGGTAAAATGTCAACACCAGTAGAATGTGAAGAGGTCTGTATATATATTGTAATAGCTAGAGCAACCAATAATAAAAATGATACAAAGAGATACACTTTAAAAACACTATAGGTAAATAGAAATTCAATTCTAAAAAAGAAATGTTCAAGTAACTCACAGGAAGGCAGGAAAAAGAATAGAGAAACAAAAAACAAAGACATCAAACACAAATAAATAAATAAAATGTCAGACTTAAGCCCTAACATATTAATATCAAAAACTGGAAACAAAATTAGCCAGGTGTGGTGGCACTGGCCTGTAGTCTCAGCTACTAGGGAGGCTGAAGTGGGAGGATTGCTTGAGCCCAGGAGTTCAAGGCTGCAGTGAGCTATGATCACATCACTGCACCTGCACACCTGCAGTCCAGCCTGGGTGACAAACCCTATCTCAAAAAAAAAAAAAAAAAAAAAAAAGCCTGGAAACAACCCCAAATGTTCTTTAATAGATGAATGGTTAAACATATTGTGATACATCCATACTATGGAATACTATTCACCAATAAAAGGACAAACTATACACACAACTTGAATAGGTCTCAAGGGCATTATGTTGAGTGGGGACAAAATCCATTTGCAAAAGATCACAAACTGTATGATTCAATTTACATGACATTCTTGAAGTGACAGAATTACAGAGATGGGAAACAGATTAGTGGTCACCAGGGATTAGGAATGGTAGGTGGGAGGGGAGTGAGTATGACTACAAAGGGGCAGCAGGAGGAAGACCTTTGTGGTGATGGAACAGTTCTGTATCTTGCTTGTGGGATCTACATGATGAGATGATGTAGAGCTATACACACAACATTGTTCCAATGCCCATCTTCTGTTACACAAGATGTGACCATTGGGGGAAACTGAGTGGAGGTTACACAAAACAAAACAACTGTAATCTCTTGAAAAAGGAATGTCAAATAAAAATAGGAGGAAATTGAATTCTCAGCAGTAATTGTCTACCATATCATTTTCAACTAGAATGTCAAGGGTTTTTGTTCCCCCTGAATGCAGAGGTTACCAAGTATCTCCAGAGGTTCCAATAAGACTGATCCCAGAGGGGTCAGTTCTATGTGACACTATGTCCTTTGCTGTTCCCCTGGGCAATATCGATGGAAGCCCAGGTCTTCATCCAGGACCACAGCTGTTGGAGTGTCTTAGTCCATTTGTGCTGCTGTAACCAAATACCTGAGACTGGGTGACTTATAAATAATAGAAATTTATTTCTTACAGTTCTGGAGTCCGGGAAGTCCAAGATCAAGGTGCCAATAGGTTTGATGTATAGTAAGGGTCCTCTTGCTGCATCTTGGCATGGTGGAAGGCAGAATGGCAAATAGGACCTAGGCTAGTTCTCTCCAGACCTTCTATAAAGCATTAATCCATTCATGAGGGCTCTCTCTGCCTTTGTCACTTCCCCAAAGACCCCATTTCTTAATACCACCACAATGAGGGCTAAGTTTCAACACAAATTTTGGAGGGGATACATTCATAACATGGCAGGAAGTAGCCCCAGGTGCCCTATGGGCTCTCACTAGATGTATCTCCAAAATAAGGAGACACAGGGTCTGTTCTGATCTCCTTTAGACCACAGGCCTCCAGCTAGATCATAGTTAAATCCCCTTCCACCCCAGCCTAACTAGTGGCTGGTGAATACAGATCTTTTCATGTGAACACACTCCTTTATTCACACAAGACTGATTTGTATAAATTAAATATAACTTCCACGTTCGGCTATCCTGGTCGGCCCTGTGCCATTTCCTGACACTAAACTTGAAACTAGATTCGAGAATTTCTTACATTCTATGTAAAAATAATAAATAAATAAATAAAACCCAACCACTAATACTAGCAGGGCTTTCAATGTCTCCCAATTTTTTGATGCAGATAAATTGAGCTCTGTTTTATCTTCTGTCTTCAGATTGGACACTTACCCCATACTTAATACTACTTCAAGTGTGGGAAAGGCCACCATTCTGAGGCTTTTATTTTATTTGCACTCAGAAGAAAAGGTCCTCCAGCATAAGGACTTAATCTTTTTAGAGGGCAATGAAGAATTATAAGTCACAATTTTCTGCTTCTACTACTTATATAAAATAACAGTGAGCATAATTTTCACCTTTGCTTTTAAGGGAGATGTGCTCATAGGCATTTCATCCCAGAATTCATTGAAATGGACATGATCAAATACTTATTTGGAATAAATATAAACTATGTATCAATACAGTGTAAAAATCTAAGTGATTTCACTGAGTGTTTAATGTTACCTGAATTCTTGAAAATGTGCATCACCAATATTAGAACCAATTACACCAAAAGGTAATTCATCCGATTCAAATTTAACAATACCCTCATATTTCTCTGATAACACAAAAACTGATATTTGTAAGGTCCTATTAATAGTAGTAGTGGTAGTACTAGTACTGGGAGTAGTAGTTTTAGTAATTGTCGCACATTTAAAGTGACTTAGATTAATTGAAAAAGTGGATTATAAGTGATTAGAGACTCATATTAAATAATGTTATACCCATTGAAATAATGTCATACCCATTGCAATAATGTCTATGTGAACAATAAATATGACTAGGAGAGTACTTTTGAGCCAGTTATATAAAAATACAAAAGCAGGGGATGGGGCCTAGGCCTCACTAACTTTTAAATTTTTTTTTAGAAATAGTATCCTGTTCTGTCGCCCAGGCTGGAGTGCAGTGGCATGATCATGGCTCACTGCAGCTATGGTCCTGGGCTCAAGGATCCTCTCGCCTCACCCTCCCAAGTAGCTAGGGCTACAAGCATGCCCTACCAGGCCCAGCTGGCCCTCACTAGCTCTGTCCTCCTTTTTGGATTCTGCCAAATATCATGGGATACTTCGGGTGTTGAGCTAGGAGGTGAAAAGACCTGGCTTACCTGGGACTCACACACACTGATGTAATGTTCACTGGCCCCCGTTTTTGCAGGCAACAACAGACTCCATCATTATTGAAGAGTTTGGCACCTGGCTCACTGTCTTCCAATCCTCTTCTATTTTTGTCATCAATCCTGGTGACTTCACACTCACGTGGATGACCAAAATGGAGGGAAAGTTTCTTACCAGTGGCCAGGAATGAGGAGATATGCTTGAGAGAGGGATTGGGACAATTTCTATCATTTCTTTTTTCCATACACACAACACTTGAGCTTCCTTTATTTTTCAAGTGCCTGGTTTAAAGACCTAGTTATTCACTGTAACGGTGGCCCAGGGAAAAATAAACAGGCAGTAAATTATTGAACACAATTGTTATACGAGAGGTCACATATACAACATACAGCAAAACAGGTGAAGAAAGACGGCATAGGTCAGCCTGGGTTATCAGAAAAGCCCCATAGATGAAGTAGCATTTGACATGGGACCAGAAGAAAGTGTAAAAGTTTGTGAAGCAGACAAGTAAGGAGTTTGGGAGAGGGAAAAGCAAGTGAAAATCCCTGGTCATGAGAGACCTTGGTGGGTATATTTTAAGAAATTGCAGATAGGTCAGTATTGCCAAGGGAAGGAAATGACTGACTAGGAATCTAAAGCCATAAACTGGATCCAGGTCATAAAGGGCCTTGCATACCATGACAAAGAGTTTAGCAGGCATAATTGACAATAGGAAAATCTAGACGTGCCATGCCCTGGAGACAGATCATTTGCTTGTAAGCATGGAGGAGGTAGAGACTGTCCAGTTCATCCTGATGAGGGCTAGTGATGGCAAGACCCCGAGCAGTGGTTATGGTCATTTATGGGAAGAACTGATGTTTAGGTGGAACTAAGATTGATGTGGTGTGGAGACTGGGGGAGGAGACTGCCAAGAATTATGATATAGAGGGGAATTCACCATCCTGGGGGAATTTGGGGCAGAAGATTCTTTAGGTTCTGGTTTAGACCCAGTTGTTCCTAGTGGAGAGGCAGGAAAATAGGAATAGAAGAGGTAGACCACCACTCCCCCTGCCCCCCATAGATTGAATCTAAGATTTCTTCATGGGCAACAGTCCATAGTGGTGACATTTGCTGATAGGCAACACAGGCAGAGAAACAGGTTACAGGGCTGGAGAAGATTGTGTTCTCAGGTCAGTATTTGTTGACATTGCCCAGATCTGCTTATCTACTCTTCCCAGAAGAGGCAGCACTAACCAAACAAGGACTCTCTCAGCACAATTAGACCAGTGCACACACCTGGGCCCCTCACAGCTTAAGACAGCTTCTGGCCAAATTTCATCTCTGCCCCTCAAACCAAGAGCAGCCCCAACCTATTCAAGAACATCACCACTGCATCTCAGGCCAAGAAGCATTTACCCAGTTAAAAATTCATCCTGGCTGCTGCTTATTAATATTATTTCAATTATAATTATTATTATTGATATATACATAATATATAAGAATACAATATATATATTTTGAGCAACTGCAGCAACAGATTAGAATTAGTGAAGCCCTGAGTCCACAAATAGATCAGGTAAACCTCCCTCGCCCTGCCACCAGAATTGGAAAGACATCCAACATCTTCATACTGTCAGTAGCAGTTTGGGGAGCACTAAGTGTGCCAGAAAAATCTACTGCCAAGAAATGTGACATTCACAATCCTGTGGGAATTTGGGGCAGAAGATTCTTTGGGTTCTGGTTTGGAGCCAGTTATTCCTAGTGGAGAGGCAGGAAAACGGGAAGATTAAAAACAGAGAAAGGGATCACATTACCAGAATTCGTGACAGAACTTTCCCTCTCGTTGAGGTGTACAGAGGGAGCATGAACAAACTGAATAAAGTGTGGGACAACACTGACCTATTTTTTGTGAACAGATGAAAGTGGCAGGCCAGTCAGTTTCCATTCTAGAGGTCAAAGGACAACAGTTCTAATACATGGAGGGACAATTGTGGGGAGTTAGAAAGATAGTCTTGATGATTCACTAGGGAATCTTCCCTAAGATGTAGGGCAGAGTATCTTACTTTAAGAATTAAATGGAAAGAATGTGTCTGAAAGATATGAGGTATTTAGGGAGTGCCAAGGCAAGGGACAAACTTTTGTCATTGTGGTGCACCCACCCACAGCTGAGCTCCACTAATAAAGCATGTCTGCACATGAAAGTGTCAAGGCAAATCAAACAACGAAGACGGTTTTCAAGGCAAACAACATGCAGGAGGGAGGGGGGACAGAGTAGCCTGGAGGCAACTCCAAAAAGCTGCTCTGCTCACCCATCCACCCACCCTGAAGTGGGATGGACAGTTATCATTGAAAACTTTGAAGTCCAGTTGAGTCCAAGAAAGTTTTTAAGGCAAGGGAACATGTCCTAAGTACAGAAAAGTTTTCCAAGTGGCTGATGGAAGTAAGATAAGATATGAGGCAACATGCCACTAGAGATAAGAGAAAATTGTAGGGGCCTTTGCTCAGAGAGTTGATATGGGAATATGTAGAAGTAGGTCAGAGAACATATAGGGAGCATTTGAAGATGGGATCAATCAGAAGGCAATGGTGAATTCTAAGAGAGATCTTCATGAGAATCACTGGGAAGACTTTTTGCTAGTCTTCACAAGGGTTCTCCAATTAGGATGGAAAGTCTAGGCTTCCCAACCCCAGGAATGGCAATAGCCACTCAAAAAAAAAAAAAACCACTTGAAAATTTGGCACTTGGCCCATTATGTGGGCCAAGTTTCCATATGTGAAATATGGAAATACTATATAACTTTCTGATTATTACAACCCAAAGAACTAGAAAGTTAAACCAAATGATCAATGGCAACTACTTTCTTAAAAACTGTCTAGAAAACAAACTTTTAATAGTGAACTAAAGGCTTGGGGATTATGAACCCCTGCAACAAGTCAACAGTAGTTACCTTTTCAGAGAGGAATGGAAGAGACTGGGGAAGAGTAAAAGGGTAAGTTTCTTATAAAATCAAACATAAGCTTATTATATGACCCAGTGATCCCACTCTTAGGAATTTACCCAAGAGAAATGGAAATGTACGTTCACCCAAAAACCTGAATATGAATGTTTATAGAAGCTCAAAAAACAACCCAAACACCCTTCATGAGTGAATGGATAAACTAACTTTGGTCTCTCCACACAATGAAATACTATTCAGCAATAAAAGGGAATGAGCTATTGATACACACAATAATATGGATGAATGTCAAACGCATTATGATGAGTAAAAGAAACCAGAATCAGGTGGCTACATATTGTATGATTCCATGTATATCCCGGAGAAGGCAAAACTATGTGCTAAGCATTAGTGCTTACCAGCAGCTGGTGGGAGCAGGGAAGAGTTAACTAAAAAGGAGCACAAGGGAACTTTTAGAGGCATGGAAATATTCTATATTTTGATTGTGATGGTAGCACAATCAGTTGTAAACAACTGTACATGTTTGTAAGAACTCATAGAACCATACTTCTAAAAAGGGTGGAGTTTGCTGCAAGTAAATTACATCTTAATAAACCTGACTTTTTAAAATGTTGGGTTAAAACAGTTTTTAACTGATTATCTAAGAGGGATGCATTGGAAAAAAGACACCAATCTGGTGGGTTCCAGTTTCGCAAATAAACTCACCTATCATTTCTAGAAAGAGAACAGTGTCCCTACCTTTCAAGGAGAGTGGCTATGTCCTGAGGCCCCATGATGAGCAATAAAGTCTGCCTGCCTGTTATTGCATCTTATATACAGGTCTCTGCTTCCAGGGGACATGGAAGAAGTTGGTTTGGTTCTGAGCCAAGAATACCCAGAGATTTCTGATCACTTCACCCTCACAAATTTAAAACAAAGAAAGCAGAAGTACAGAGTCCCCAGCACATAACTGTTTCCCAAGGCCACAATGGGGTTGTGGGAAGAATACAGAAGGAATACCTGAACTTCCCCATTGAATTCTGGTATAGGTTTAATTTATTAACAATTCTTCACCTACAGGCATTGTTTATGAGATGGGAAAATTGGCAGCAGTACCCGAAATTCCACAAGCAGCACCCAAGATTGAATTGGGCTTAAAGTGTATATATCTTAGGAACCTCAAGGGTTTCTTCTTCTCTTTTTCTAATTTAACAGAGTCATCAGTCTTCATAATAGGGAATGGAGAAAGAAAAAGCTGCCACAACATAATTAATTTTGATGGAGGAGTCAGCTAGATAATTAAATCCATCAAAGGGGTCGTGTATTCTTACAACCTGAGCTCAAGTTGGTATAAAGATTATGATTACCTCAAACTCTAACAGAAACAAACCCCATTGCTGTTGATGTCATAGAAGAAATGAGGACAACAGTCCAAAAATTGTTGGCTTGGAAGTATAGCTATTGCCAAGGCTCATGCACAAATATTCCTGTCTGATTGATTAGAAAACCAAATGGAACTTGGTGAAGGACTATGCTCTATTATTTCAGTTTCAATTTGTCCATAAACCCTTGGTGCTAGTAGTACCCTATGACAATTGAGTGGATAGATTCTTGGGGAAGCCTCCAACTTCTCCATGGGAAATAACTATATCAATATCAATTGATGTCTATGTCTAACTTATTTATTCTATCATCTGAATAATCTTGAGAGAGAACTACTAACTGCACAATAAAACAAATTTTACTTTGAAGATGACTTCTTTGCACAGGAAAAGCTGGACTGGGGATCCAGGGACCTAGAATGTAAATAAGTTACCTTGGAAAATGAAATTTGATCTAGGAGATTGAAATTGTGGCCTTTGGGCTTCCAAAAGAACAATCTAACTTTGAGGATGTCCAGACACCATGGTAACAAAGTCAACCTATTTATTTCTGACAGTCAGTAGATTGTTGGACTAATGGGGCATTCAGTACTTGGTGAATTCTATTTGGCACGACCTCTGCAATGTTTCCTGTTACAGAATCAGTCTGACATAACAGTTAAGTGCACAGACTCTGGAGCCATTGTTGCCAGCATTCAAATCCACCTCTGTCATTTCCTAGTTAGAGGACCTTTGGCAGGTTATTTAACACCTCTATGGTTCAGCTCTTTCATCTGTAAAGATAAACACAGTAATAATAATTATCCCGTTTTAGCATTGTTGTGAGTGGTGACTTAAGGTAAAATCACCTAGAACAAGCAAGAGCTCTGTAAGTATTATCTATTAATATTACTATTTTCGTTTCCAGAGGCCCAAAGTATCATCATGAATGGAGAAATAAGAATTGGGAACATTGGATGCCTTGGCCAAAGTGTGCAGTGAGATTCTTAACTATAACACTTTTACACTGTTGGTGGGACTGTAAACTAGTTCAACCATTGTGGAAGTCAGTGTGGCGATTCCTCAGGCATCTAGAACTAGAAATACCATTTGACCCAGCCATCCCATTACTGGGTATATACCCAAAGGATTATAAATCATGCTGCTATAAAGACACATGAACATGTATGTTTATTGCGGCACTATTCACAATAGCAAAGACTTGGAACCAACCCAAATGTCCAACAATGATAGACTGGATCAAGAAAATGTGGCACATATACACCATGGAATACTATGCAGCCATAAAAAAGGATGAGTTCATGTCCTTTGTAGGGACATGGATGAAGCTGGAAACCATCATTCTCAGCAAACTATTGCAAGGACAAAAAAACCAAACACCACATGTTCTCACTCATAGGTGGGAATTGAACAATGAGAACGCATGGACACAGGAAGGGGAACATCACACATTGGGGACTGTTGTGGGGTGGGGGGAGGGGGAAGGGATAGCATTAGGAGATATACCTAATGCTAAATGACGAGTTAATGGTTAATGGGTGCAGCACACCAGCATGGCACATGTATACATATGTAACAAACCTGCACGTTGTGCACATGTACCCTAAAACTTAAAGTATAATAATAATAAAATAAAATAAATTAAAAAAACAATTTTTCAGGCTGGGTGCAGTGGCTCATGCCTGTAATCCCAGCACTTTGGAAGGCCGAGGTGGGTGGATCACCTGAGGTCGGGAGTTCGAGACCAGCCTGGCCAACAACAACAACAACAAAAAACCTCACAACCAGAGACCTAAGCTGAATCGTCTTCTCTACATTTTTATTCCTGGTTATTAGAACTTGGAGAAGCCCCAGGAACACCAAAGTATCACACACACTGCTCTCTGATGAGTTGGTCCCAACTTTTCCCTTCACAGTTCTGGAAACCCCAGTCATAACTAACCAGTCAGTATAGAATCTGTTAGTCTTCTAGGGCTGTTGTAAATTACCACAAACTGGGTGGCTTAAACAGCAGAAATTTATTCTCTCTCACTTCTGGAGGCTAGAAGTCCGAAGTTGGTGTTGGCAGGACCATGCTGTCTCTGAAGGCTCTAGAGGAGAATGTGTTCCACGCCTTTCTCTTAGCTTCTGGTATTGCTAGCAGTCCTTCACATTCCTGGGCTTGTAGACACACCTCTTCAGTCTGCTTCTGTTGTCACATGGCATTCTCCCTATGTCTCTTCTTATAAGAGATCAGTCATATTGGAATAAGGGCCCAACCTAATGACCTCATCTTATCTTAACTGCAAAGACTCTGTTCCAAATAAGGTCACATTCACAGGTACTGGAGATTAGGAGTTCAACATATCTTTCTGGGGACACAATTCAACTCATAACAGAATCTGACACTGTAGACATTGTAATGCACCTGAAATCATAATGTTGTATACATTGGATGGTGGAGAGAAGTAAACATTGAAAGAAGTCTGGTTTTCTACTTGGCTAGAATGATTCCTGTGATGGTCCCAAACCAGCCTCCCTAAGAAATGCTTTCAGATGGCCCCTTACTGGGGCATAACTTTAGGTAAACTTTGTCAAATACTTCTCAGAACTGGCTCTTCTTGGAGATAATTCCAAGCTACTCTTGTTAAGTTGAAGAGAGTGTCCCCACAACTAGAAACCACCCAATTAAGATATTTCGCTGCTAGGGAAAGGTGAGGGCACTTTCAACTCAGAAACACCTGGTGAATAGCAGACTTCACAGATATCTCATATCTCCAATTTTGTAGAAAAAAAATGAATCAGGCCTAAAGGTTGAAATGAGCTGCCTAAGGTTGAAATGAACTGCCTAAGGTTGAAATGAACTGCCTAAGGTTGTGATGTCTTAAGGTGTAATTGGGCTAAAAGCCCTTCCCTTCAGGTTGATGAGCCTGAGGAAGCAACATCTGTATATATTAGGGCCTGAATGACAACTGTGTATGGAGGCCTTAATACATTTGGGGTCCCAGAGTGGGAGTCAGGGGTAAAACACAGTTTTGCAAAGAGTTATAACAATTAGTCTAGGGTTTTACATTTTAAATCAATTAGCTATATGACAGAGTCCAAAGTCCAGGCCAGGACTCTACTTGGGCTGAAGAGGATCCTAAAATGATTGAGAATTCATCACGGCACATTGCTAGGTGCCATTTCTGTTCCCAGTCTTGAGTGGGGAGTGGGAGATGAGGGAATCTTTTCTTGGTAATGTGGAAACTGGTCCTGGCGGTATACAGGTGGGACTGGGAAACAATCAGCCCTACTTTGTACATGCATTGCTGTTAAAGTGAAATGGAGTGGCTCACACCTGTAATCCCAGCACTTTAGGGGGTCGACACAGGAGGATTGCTTGAGCCCAGGAGTTCGAGAACAGCCTGGGCAACATGGAGAAACCCCATCTCTACAAAAATTTCAAAATTTAACTGAGTATGGTGGCTTAAGCCTGTAGTCCCAGCTACTCCAGAGGCTGAGGCGGGAGGATCATTTGAGCCTGGAAGGTCGAGGCTGCAGTGAGCCCTGATTGAGCCACTGCACTCCAGCCTGGCTACAGAGTGAGACCCTGTCTCAAATAAAAGAGAGAGAGGGAGAGAGAGAAAGAAAGAGAGAGAGAGACAGGCAGAAGCCTTCAATGCTTTCCCCAGGGATCAAAACCACAGACAGAAGTGAGGCTTTCTCCTAGAATGCCACATGCAGTGGCCATAAAAATGTGCCACTGAGATCTCCTGCTGCAGGAAGCATAGTTGACTGATAGCCCCAGCTGCCACCTGACTTGGTCCACCACCATGTTTGCACTGAGGCCATGCTTCCCCAGGGCCACCAATAGCCACTGACTGAGCATGGTACAAGTACTACTTTTGGCTCATTCTTGTGGGACACAAGTTTCCTATAATTCATATGCCTGGCTCAAACTTTCTTTGAACTGTGCAGCAGTCTGGAACTGTTCCTATCCAATTCCTTCCTACTTCCTTCCTTCTCTCCTTTCATAGATGTCAGACCTGGATTATATATTATGAAGGCCCTCCTTGCCTACTTCTGCTTCTTCCTCTTTATCACCCATAGGCATTTCCTCCAATACATTTCTTGCACATCTAATCCCATCTTGGCATCTGTTTCTTGAAGGTTCTGAACAGACATGAATTGTACTGTTAATGAAGTCCAATAAAACAGATGGTCAGATGGGGTTTGGGGACTGGATCACTCACCACCTGGTGGACAAATTGCTGATGGGAAAGTTACCTAAGTTGCAGATGGGAACAAATAGTCCTTTCTACAAGGTGATGACCTAAATGCTAAAGATTTCACCAGTAGTGACCTGGAAATGTCTGGTGGAGGTGAACACCTTGTAGGTACAATGATTCTGGTATTTGTAAAACAAGCCAGCAAAGTTGGCTGGTTAGTTCTAATTTGTATTGATGCCCTACAAAAGGTTAACGAAATTGAGGGCTGTTAATAAGCAATTAATGGCTAAATGTAAGAGCCACAGGATCTCATTGGTAGCTTATAAAGATGCTCTTTTCTCTTTCAGTAGAAGAGCAGACATATCAGAGGGGCAGACTCAGGACTTGATAGAGAACAGAGTTCTCAAGATGATTAATTGCTCATCACAGGCAAGTCTGTCATGGTAAAGTCAGAGCCTTGGTTTGAAAAACCTGAAACCTGAAAAAATAGGATGGAGACATCTAGATGGATACTTCTGAGATATTGGCTCTGCAGATTTCCCTGAACTCTCAAAAACTGCAGAGCTAGCTCATCCTTCCCCAGTAAGAGCTAGCACGCCCCTTGTGCTGAAAGATGCTAGTGAGGCCTCTTCTCCATGAAGCAAATGGTTCCCCCTTCAGGAGCTGCCCCAATCTCATCTCCTAGCTGCCAGGATAATGACCTGGGTTAAGCTCCAGCATAATCCACCTGGAGATTTGGTGTGCATGATAGGGAAGGAAAGAGATTATGTGCTGAAGGGGCTGGAAAAATTGGCCAGCACATAGGCATGAGCCAGGGATTGGATTTTGAGGTGTTTGATCAAGGCAGTTAGAATATAAGATTGAATAACCCAGAATTCATCAGTTTAAGGGTACTTTCTTATGAGGTGAGTTTAACACCTAGGCAAGTGTATCAGGATGGGGCAGACTCATGGCTAGGGTGACTCTTAGAAGCCTGCCGTAGGCAAAGGCTCATGCTGAGTAAAGTCGAAATGCCTGGGTTGCCTGGAGGATAGCAGAGGAAGGAATAAAGAGGCTGAAGGAATTGGACATGTTGAAATGGATACATAATGTGAGGTCAGAAATCCTGCCAGAGGGTTATGTTCCATAGGGGCCCAGAAAACACTGTTCACCAAAGCCGTAAGGAATGTATGGGTGATAAGGGTACCAGCATCACTTAGAAGTTCAGTGGCGGCTCTCACCTGCAGGCTAGAGCTGAGGGTAGGAGCCGTGGTCACGGAGCTGGGCTCATTAACATCCATGGGGATCATGGGGCCTTGAAGTAATGGAGGCCAGGTGGTAGCAGTTAACTGCCAGAAGCTAGGAGGCTGCAATCACCATAATAACTGGCAAGGTCAGAAGAAGGACCAAGGGGGTTTGCTGTGCAGGGAATTGTGGAGATGATTAATAGAACATGGCATGCTTAGGAGGCAAAATAGGCAGGCCACAAAAGGTGCTGCTTAACATGTACAATCAGAAAAAGCCAAGAGTGGAGGGGGAGGAGGCTGAGAACAGTTACCTCAATGAAAAGTGTGACTGTAAAGGGGTAACAGGAGGGAGATCTTTGTGGTGACAGAACACTTCTGTATCATGATTGTAGTGGTTATACAAATCTATACTTGTAGGAAAATGTCATAAAATGATCCACAAACATACAAAATACAGAGTGCACATGAAAACTGGTACAATCTGAGTAATCTCTGCAATTTAGTTCATTGTATTGTGCCAATTGATTGCCTGCTTTGGAAAATGCATTATAGTTATTTAAGATATCACCATTAGGGGAATCTGAGTGGTGGGTCCATGAGAACTCCCTATACTATTTTCACAACTTCTTGTGAGTCTATAATTATTTCAAAAGTTAAAAGAAAAAGAGTTTTCTAGCAAAGATCAAATCTCAGAGGCATATTAGCATAAAGAATAATTGTGGCCCTCAGGCTGGAAACAGAAATCCATGTAACTGGTTTGTTATGAAGGAATAGTTATCTGAAAGATGGAGAAAATGTTGCAATTCCACATTTTCATGCAGAGCAACAACAAAGTGTGTTTTAGGTCTAAAGCAAGGAAGATACCTACAATAGCTGAAATTCTGTTGGGTTTTGTTATTGAGATACATTCAACAGGATAACTTCTCGCAGGCCAAGCAAGAAAGCCCCACATCAAAACTTGCAGTTTAGCAGCAACTTGGAAGAAAATCCATGGACAATAGTGGGTCTCTCTTTTAAGAAATGCTACATCACCAACCGTCTTGATGGCATGGAGGACAATGTTGTGTGGGAAAACACAGATAGTTCCAACTCTGTGTGGGAAAACACAGACAACGAACTCTGAGCTGAAAAGTGATTTGGGATACTTAGGTTCTAGATGTGAAGAAATTCTAGAAATATTTTAAGCAATTTACATTGCTTTTATTTTTATGTACTCACAATAGTGATATATGGAAAGATACTATATATAAGTCTCAAAGAACCCTTTTGACAAGTAAAAATAAAAAATTACAAGTGCTGAGAAAACATCATGGCATGGTTTAAGTGGCAGCCTTTTTACTTAATGTATTGATACATAAAATAATGGTACATCTCACACTTGATGGCATCTTAGATTTGATGAAATACAGTATCTGGGGATGGTCCCTGGCCAGACCTCAGTGAACACCTTTTCCCTCCTACAGCCCAGCCCTCACCATGGCTTTCACCTCTACCCTTTATACCTTGAAGATGCTCGTACCTAGATCAGGACCCACAGACCAGCCACTCCTGGAATGAGGCAGTCCCAACCTAGAACTTTCACCTCACTGTTCTGGAACCCTGACTTCTGCTCCCCACAACTTGAGGCATTTGTCCCCTTCAACCTGCTTCAACCCCTATATCAGGGACCTCCTCTGTTTTCCATCCATACCCCACCTAATTACTCCAGCCTGCACATGGAAGACATTTGCAACTAACAATAGGAACTTCGAGTCACCCCCAGGAGGTAGCAAAGGGGAACAAGGCCAAGGTTGACCATCGTCATCCCGCTGCAGCAGCCATCTGGCTGGGGAAGCAGCTAGGGTTTTCTTCAAATCACATCGGTATGATCTGCACTGTCACAAGCTCTGGAAGAAGCTCCTGGTTCAATTCAGGGAGAGAAAAGGATACACAGGAGGAGAGCTCTAGGTCTGGTTGGGAACTGTTGGGTTCTCTCCTAGGCCCTACTGTAGGCAAAGGCTATTTCATGATGGGAAGGGCAGGCCTGAGAGCTTCGGTTTTGACAAAGTCATCTCATGGCGTGAAAAACAAAAGTGAGAGAGCTGATCTTTATGTGTGTGGAATGTTTCAGTTTGTAAGTGCCAAAGGGATGTCTCCCAGCCTGCTCAGCAGCTGCCTAATCATGTGAGGGCCTTAGTGTAAATAGGATGCAGGGGAATTTGGAAAATAATAAATTTTAGGGGGTAGCATTTGGACAATTTGGGCAAAACTATGAAATTTTAAATTGGTATAAAATGAAATGTTTCTAATAAATAATGTATGATCTTTCAGTAAATTTGAATGACTTGGGGTTCCATTTTCAATGCTTTTATGAGTCAAGTAGATTTGTTTCAGGTTTTGGGGAGTCTTCTCCTTTTGGTTCTTTTGATATTTTTGTTTTTATTTCAATTTCATTTGAAGACAAGTGATCTTATTCTGTCTCCAGTTTTTAAAGTTTTCATATGGGCTGAAAACAAATATCTCCCAAACAGCAGTTTATACTTTTATCATTGTTTACTGAGTTCATTTTAAAACAATTTTAACTTACTGTTCTGGCCATTTTTTTAAAAAATCATCAAAAATGTTTCAATGATTTTGCATTGTACATGTCTTTTATATTCAATAAGCTTTTAATTTGCACAATTTTTTATCGAATCTCTTTTTGATACCATACACTTTTGTATCAGAGTGGAGAATGTGAATGTTCCTAGACTTTCTATTTGGACATTTGATTAAATTTTAAACCCTATGTGGCATTTTTAAGCTTTATAAAAATTATATATTTGCATGTCTTTCAGAATTTGGGGAATGAGTTTTATATATTTTAATTTTTTATATTTTCAATCTAAGTACATTATTCCTGTCCTGTTTGGCAGGTTTTGTGAAATTTTCAGTTGTAAATTAGTTTAAAATGCATGCCTCCAATCACCATTTACTTTTCTTTTTCATTGTGGTAAGAACACTTAATATGAGATTTACCCCCTTAACAAATTTTTAAGTGCACGATACAGCATTGCTAATTATAAGCACAATGTTGTACAGATCTCTAAAACTTCTTCATCTTGCATTACTGAAACTTTATACCCATTGAAGAGCAACTCCCCATTTCCTTCTCCCCCTAGCCCCTGGAAGCCACCATTCTACTCTCTCCTTCTATGAGTTTGGCTATTTTAGATACCTCATATAAATGGAATCATGCAGTATTTGTCCTTTTGTAACTGGTTTATTTCACTTAGCACAAGGTTCAGATTCATCCATATTGTCACATGTGGGCAGATTACCTTTTTTTTTTTTTAAAGACTGAATGTATAATTTAAGACATTGTATGTATATACCATATTCTCTTTATCCATTTATTTATCCATAAACATTTAAGTTGTTTCCACATCTTGGCTATTGTGAATAGTGATGCAATAAACATGACAGTGCAGATATGTCTTTGAGATTCTGACTTTAATTCTCTGGGTCATATGTTAGTTCTATATTTAATTTTTTGAGGAACCTCCATACTGCTTTTCAAAGACACTGTACCATTTTGCATTCTCATCAGCAGTACACAAGGGTTCCAATTTCTTCACCAGCACTTGTTCTTTTTTTTGTAAATAGTAGCCATCCTAACAAGTGTGAGGTGCTGTCTCATTGTGGTTTTGATTTGCATTTCCCTGGTGGTTCGTGATGTTGAGCATTTTTTCATATACCAGCTGGCCATTTGTATGTCTTCTTTGGAGAAATGTCTATTAGAGTCCTTTGCTCTTTTTTAATTGGGCTATTTGTTTTTCTGCTATTGTGTTGTGTGAGTTCCTTATATATTTTGGATATTAACCCCTTATTAGATGTATGGTCTGCAAATCTTTTCTCCCATTCAGTAGTTTGCCTTTTCACTTTGTTGATGGTTGCCTTTGCTGTGCAGAAACTTAACTTTTGGTAAGTTTTATGTATCCTATTTAGACATTACAAAATTAGGAGTTGAGCTATTCATACTACACAGATCATGGCACACTTTCATCATCAGTCAGCACAGGCTATTCTATTTTTTATTTATTTTTCCTCCTTTACCCAAAATCCCTATTCCCATTCTCCTCTCTCCAACACAGACAAATACTCTAAATGCATTTGAAATACGTCCTAGATATTTTGGCACCTTTAAAAATATATGGTATTCCTTGATGTTACAACTTTTTAAGGCACTTTTTTCTCAAATATGATTTTTCAAATTTTAGTTTCTGTTTCAGACACTAATATTCACTTTACAGATATGGCCTTGTTATATTTTTTGATTGTGCATATCACTTACATCAATGTGGGTTTTACTCATCATAATGTTTCTCAGTCCAGTGACATTATATTGCTATTTGTGGTGCTTTCAGAATTGAAGCTTTTATCTAGTAGGGTCTGTTTCATATCATGAAAGGCCAGTCTCCTAAGGTCAGAGTCAGGGATGAGGGCCTCTTTCTAGACAGGGAATAACTGTGGTGAAGCCTATAATTGGCTTGCTAAACATCTCTTCTAAGCCCTCTCTAGTGTGTCTTCCTTTATGACACAGGCTAGAAAGCTACTCCTCTGAAACATGGCAATAGACGTAATTTAGGTTCTGCTAATCAGGTTTACTCAGGTGATAATTATCTTTAAAAATCTAGTCATGTGGGGAGAGAGGTGGCAATGAAAGAGGCTTCGATTTTGCTGCTGTGGATCTAGCAGGCATGGGGTAGCTCTGGCATAACAGATTTGATGACAGTCTCCATTTCTCAGAATCACAGCAAAGGTGGCATGTTCCTAGAGCAACAGCTATGATGGCAGAGTCCTTAATCCAATCCCAGGATGTGGGCTAACATGGTCTGATTCTGAATCCAGCTGTCAGGAAAAAAAGTTCCTGATTTCCCAGCTTCCTGATTGTGGCAGAGGTAGCCATCTTCCTGGTGTGGCAGTTCTTTTGTTGTTCTAGTAGTCATTTCCGAGCTTGGAGGTTGCTCCTTCAGCCCTTCTGGTGATTTTTGTAAGCACCTTACTCCCTGTGTTAAATCCATATCCCGTTAAAATAGCTAGAGTAATTTCTGTTATGTGCAACTGAATTTTGACTGATACACATGCTGATCAAAATAAAGTTCTTCCTATAAGAATACTCTCTACTACAAACACCATGACTGGTGTTCTTTCAGACAACTACCCACAACAATGTATTCTGATTCTGAGGAGTCCTCATTAAGGCATTTCAGGTACTGCTATAGTTTGGATGTGTTTTGTTTGTCCCTACCAAAACTCACATTGAAGTTTAATCCCCAGCGTGGCAGTGTGGGGTGGTAGGGCCTGGTGGGAGGTGTTTGGGTCATGGAGGCAGATCCTTCATGAATGGCTTCGTGAGTTCTCACTCTTGCAAGACTGAATTAGTTCCTAGAGGGAATGGATTGTTTTCCACGGGAATGGATTAATTCCCTCAAGAGTGGGTTACAGCCCCTTATTGGCAGTGTAGTAACTCTCATACTCCACTGGCAAGTACAAGTCAGCTGGATCGGGGGAAGCGGGCACTGAGAACTGTCATCTATGGCTGTGCAGCTTCTCCTAGCAACAATTCCATGCCATGGAAAGCAGGCAGCCATCAATCTATTATGACCACAACCCTCCTTACTCCTTTTCAAAAAATTAGTTTCCAAATAAGTCATAGCTGGAGACAAAATTTTGGATTTTATAAAAAGGCAGTGAGGCAAAATTTCCTGAAGATAAATTAGAAATGAGCTCTTTTAGGATCTGAAAATTTGTTCAATATATAAAAGAAGACTTGAGAAGTTTTAAATGGACACAAAGGCTTAAAGGCAAAACAATATTAAGAGTAAAGTCCCTGAGCTTCCTTTTGGTATACAACATTTTCAAATATTTCAAAAACATTGGTATTATGGACTGAATGTTTATGCCCCCCTTCCAAATTCATATGTTGAAATCCTAGCTCCCAATATGATGGTATTAGGTGGTGGAGTCTTTGGGAGGTGATTAGGACATGAGTGGAGCCGTCATGAATAGAATTAGTGCCCTTATAAAAGGGACTCCAAAGAGCTTTTACTACTCTCCACCCTGTGAGATACAATGAGAAGACAGCCATCTGCAAACCAGGAAGCGGCCCCTCACCAGACACAGGATCTGCTGGCACCTTGATCTTGGACTTCTCAGCCTCCAGAACTGTGAGAAATAAATGTTTGTTGGTTAAGCCACCCAGTCTACAGTAATTTGTTACAGTAGCCCAAGCTGACCAAGACAATGGAAAATAAAATAATTGTTAACTCTGGTTTCTTAAGAGAAAATGTATGCTTATTCTTGCTTATAAGCCACTCTTCTGGATCTGACGAGACCATCCCCAGCAGGACTCTGCCGCCACTGGGCAGAATTTGGTGGGGCACTTCTGAGCAGTCAGCATGAGGAGGAGTTCCAGGAACCTGCAGGCTCTCGTTAAAGAAACTCCATTTCCATCCTCCCACCAAGCCTGTCTAACCTACAGTCCTCCAGCTAGGCACAGAAAATACCCTCCATCCCCCACCCCTACCTGGTAAGTTAATGGTGAACATGAGATCTTTCTATGCAAAGATGTCCCTTCATTCACACGAGAGTATATATAAGCCACATGTCTGCTACCCTGACTCATGGGCTTTGTTTTTCTACCATATCTAAATCTTGGAACACGATTTTACTCACATTCACCATAGAGAATCTGTGCCCATTAAACAGTGAGCATTGTAGAATTAAATGAAAATGTCCTGGGGGAAATGTATTAGGAGCATTTCCCCCCACAGAATTTAACTAGAAAGTCTCCATTAGACATTATTCCTTCTCACAAATCTTTCTTTTCAGTCTCCAGTAATCAGATCCCCCTCCCCTCACTCCCTGCACCATCTCCCTAACAGGCTTCCATTTTCCCTGACTTTGGTCTCTCCCTCAAGGATCTTGCTTTTGCTGGGAAGTTTAAGTGTCTTCCAGCTTCTACCTTCAAATTTGTACACTCCACCCACTACTGAAAACTCTCAGAACTGTGACAGGCCATTAATTATATTGAGGTTCATGACTTTGTATCTAACCCCACTGCCCCCACAAAAAAATCTCCTGTTAACAGGGCCTACCCTCCTTAGAAAGTTGTGGGTTTTATATCTAATTTCCTGTTCTGCTGCCTCATAAACATCCTGATATTTTTCAGCTGATTCGTAAGAAAGACACTATGTTTTGGGGCACTCTGTCTGTAGGAGCCATTTAACTGGACATTGTCAGATACGAAGTGGAAAGGAAATACAAATTATGGACCATGTAAAATGTAAAACACATGCAACATATTTTCACTGAAAGCTGGTCAATGTGCCTGTTCTTACAAATGAGCATCACTGACTGACACTTGAAACTGTTCAGTCCAGAATGGAATTCAAGCACGCACAGTTTGTTTACTCCAGCTATCAAAATCAGACAACTACACTGAAGTCATATTAGATGAAGCAGCTTTACAGTGGCATGGATGAATTTAAAAAGTGATTCATTTTGAAACTGCTTGGTGGCTAATATAAACATAGTAAGGTCACATGCATTGTAGCACTGAGAATGCTACAATGAATATGAGAGACCATGAGAGTATGAGAGACTATGACGAGGGCAGTATGGCTGAGTTGGGTTATATAAAAAAGATAAAATAACTTTGGGAGAAGATACTACCTCAATTAAGATTTTCATCTAGGTAATTCCTAGCTCCCAAGTCTCCTCTGGATCCTGCAAAGATCATGGGCTCCTGATCTTAAGCCAGAAAGGGTGCTGAAGTCAGCCTATGGAGATGTGGGATGGGCCTGCACAACAGAACAGAGGCTATTTCCTCAGCCATATGCTTCCAATCAGGGAAAATCAAATGCCAGAAGAGCAGTCCTGAGAACTGACCTCCCTAAACTGCTATAAATACAAGAGCTTGTTGGAAATGTCCACAAAAGAGAAAAAAAACAAAAGCAAAAACAAAAAAGCTTCCCCTAGGGAAGGGATTACTTCTGCGCTGAAGCAGGCTCTGATGGGCTCCCGAGAGCCAATTGTGGGCATTGCTTTCCAACTCTACACTCCCTTCAATGGCATCACATTGGTAGTTTAAAATTGGTCATGGTAGGAGTATTTACACCACAGAAATAGGCAAATGTTACAAATCAAGGCTTTTCTCTCCCTGAGAGCTGTTTTACCTGCACACCACTGCCCATGGGTATGTGTTTATCTAGGGAGGAGAGAAGCCTCCCCCATGACAGCCCCTTTGAATGCACAGTGCCTACCCACTCACTACCTGGAGTGGACATCTATTGATATGTTCTGTCTGCAGCATCTCTACTTGTCTTCCTTTAGTCACAACACTCCCAGTCTTTTCCTTGATCCTGATAGTTTATTTATAAATTTCTGTTTTACTCTATGGATTTGTAGTGAGCCCACTCATACTATGTATAAAAGAAAGTGGGCCACAACTACACAAATTAAGTCCAAACTGACTGCTACATCAGAGCATTTTACTACAGAACAAGGAAAGTTATAGTTCTACCAGCTCCCATGACCCTTATTAGTACAGGTTACAGCTACTGAGCACCTACTGTGTGCAGGTACTTTAAATGAATTTTTTCCTCCAATTCTCACATCCACTCCAGGTGCTGCATATTATAATCTCTCACTTGATACATGGAGAAACTGAGACGGGTTTCTAGGTGAATGGCCAAAGGAGACACTGAGCCAAATCCCAACCCAGAACTTGAACCCAGGTCTATGTGACACTAAATCCCATGTTTGCAACCACTTCACTGCTCTGCTTTTAACACATTTATCAAGCATCATGGTAACAAACAGTGTTGTGTGGGAAGATGGAACGTGCTTGGGGACTGCCATCCTCCTTTGCCCAGCCTCAGTCTCATTATACTTCAGACAGCGTGTGGCGAGAGTGCTGAGGAAAAAGAGCCAGCTGACGCGTGGGATTGCCAAGCAACAGCTTATGAAACGAATTTAAACCATGGCAACCAAACACTGCAGACCCAGCACTAGCCTCATTTCATTTACAAGAGTAAGAGGAGGGCTTTGTCAACAACCGATGAGATAAATGAGAGGACTACTGGCTATGCAAGTGCAAAGAATTATCATTATCATCATCATCATTATTTTAAAGCACACGATGCCAAATAATCTATGAAAATGATTCTTGAAAAAATACAGGATTAGACACATCATTATTCCACATATATAAACTGTGTACACATACATTTTTGAAAAATACATATCTCTGTTATCCAAAATCTCAACCGGTTGCCTTTTATTTAATAGAGCTATTTATTGGGGGATGGGGAAGGGAACACATGAACGTCTCATTTAAAACGAATTTATTTATAAAGCATCTTTTAATTAATTCCCCACAATAATGTTATGGGGTTGATATTGGTTTTTTCCACTCTACTGGCAGGAAAATATGACATGGGGGTTCCCTATGAATTTTCACAGGACACACAGTTAATAAAGCACAAATCCAAGACTCCCCATTGCAACAGTGGCTTAAGACTCAGACCCCTCTGAGAATCTGATTACGCTATATCTCTTCTCCCTTGAAAAATGCATGAAAAGCACCTGGCATAGTACGTTTGCCTGTAATTCAATGGGACTCATGGTTCCCCTGATATGCATTCATGCAACCCAGCTGGAGGAACAATATTCAGTTGCTTTTAACCATAATACACACTGCTCTCAAGACATATTGTTTGTTTTATTTAGTGTTTACAGGAAGCTTCCCCAAAATTCAGAGGGTTGTTAAGCTAGGAACCATGCAGTGTTAGTAGCTGCAGGCAGAAGGGATCGGGCATCGCCGAGTTGTTAATAATTTTGACCTGCTCCAACTTTGATCCCTCAAAATTCAATCTTGAAATCAACCTTTGCTCACTACATTGGCTAGGCACCCTTGCACTGAAATGGAAGAACCCGATGACTTAGTGAACAGCTGGGCCCAAGGCAAGTGGCTCTGTCTCTGGGTATGTAGGGCTATTTTGTTCACCTGTTGTTATCTGGACATTGTCACCTTGCTGTCAGGAGACCTCATGGCTGTTCCAGTAATGGGAGGAATGAGGTCTTTACCTGACTCTCACTACCAAGCCAGTATGGCAGTGTCTTTTTTCTCAGAGGCCCTAAAGTGGTTTTCTGAAGACCCACACTAGGAAAACTTCAAGTCTTTGACACAAACCTTTGCTTTCTTACTGTTCCTACCCTAATGGATGGTGCTAGTGTCTGTAAACACCACAGATTCTCTTCTATTTCCTCAATCCCAAGGCCCAGACTAAAAGTCTTTCTTGCCCTCCAGGGAATACCATTGTGATATTTGGAGATGAAATGAAAGGGAACCCAAACCAGTCGGGAGCAGGGAGAGGAGAGAGAGAGAGAGAGAGAGAGAGGAGGGAGAGAGAGGAGAGGAGAGGAGAGGAGAGAGAGAGAGAGAGAGAGAGAGAGAGAGATTGATTCTCCTTAAGATTTCAACATAGTCTAAAATGGAGGTTGAAATCCCCTGGCCTTGAATGTCATCGGTATCTCTCTGCCTCCCTCTCAGCCCTCCCTTTAGTGTAAGGGAGCTTTATCTAGTCTTAGATGGCTGGAAGTCCCTTGGACAAACCATATATCCTTGTATGCCTGTCGATAGGCCAGGTCCTTATGTCTTGGTATTCAAAAGACCTAAGATCTTCCAACTCAAAAAGCCTTTCGTTTAGTTCTATTTTCTCAGTGTACATTTTCTGAAATCTCTTCTGTGACTCAAATGCTGATCTTGGGCTCTTTGATTCTATTTGCATTTCTGCTGAAATAACTCTACCCTGGGGCAGAAGCCTTGGGTCTGTCATCTGCAGCAGGGCCAAGAGTACAAGGGCAAGCTGGAGCTTGGGGTGAAAAACAAAGGTTAATCATTCACAATATCACACCTTCACAGGAAGAAGGAGAAATAAGTTTGTCAATAAAGTGATGAGCTCAGGAGGAAAAAAAAAGACCCAGGCAGATCCTAAAAGTGAACCTCTGCCTCTTCTCTTCTTTCTCCCCCTAGAGGAAGCTCCATGTTGAAACAGGAGACTTTAGTCTTGTTTTTGTTCCTACTGGATGTTCCATCTCCTAGCACACTAGCCATTGTGATCTGGAAAGCACTGCCTTACACATACCTTATTGTATGTATTCTGTCATTTAAATCTATAAGACAGTGTGTTATACCTGGAAGCAGATGAGGAAATGAGACTTACAGAGAACAAATAACTTGCTCTTGGTACATAGCTAAGAATTTAAACTGAAATATATTTTCTGTCAAGTCCTATGCTTGAGAGAACGTAACCTAACAGTTTCCTAGACGTTGGCTCCTGTCCAGGTTGAAGCAGGAAAGGGATAGCACTGCGCAGTCCCAAGGTCAGAATGTGTATGCCATATTGGAATCTGGGTTATAAGGCATCTTTGTGGGCTGAGCCCCGGGTCCAGTTGTTTATGAAGTCCAAGACATTTTAAGCATGAAAGGGGCTACAAGATATTGGAAGAGGGTATCCCCTATCACTCATGATGTCACCTTCCTTTAGATATGCATGAGTATGCAGAAAAGAGTTAACATAGCATCCCTGAGACTGTTATATTTAGAAAGACCCTTGGCTGGCATCTAGGAACTTGGCACTTGTGGTAGGCAAAATACTGGATATGCAAGGATGTCCACGTCCTAATCCCTGGGACCTATGAATATGTTACTTTACATGGCAAAAAGGATTTTGTAGACATGATTAAGGGTTGGGGCTTTGGGATGGGAAGATTATCCTGGATTAACTGGGTGGACCCAATCCAATCACAGGAGACCATAAAAGTGGCGAACCTTTCCCAGCTGTGGCCAGAGAGATGTGACTTGAGAAGGATTCGACTCACTGTTCTGGCTTTGAAGGTGGAGGAAAATGCTACAAGCTAAGGAATGTGGTGGCCTATAGAAGCTGAGAATGGCCCTCAGATGACAGCCTAAGGAAACAGGGACCTCTGTCCTACAATGTCAAGAAACTGAATTCTGCCGACCTGGAATGAGTAGGAAATGGATTCTCCCCTAGAGCCTCTAGAAAGGAACACAACTTTGCCAACACCTTGATTTCAGCCCAGAGACCTAAGCTGGACTTCTGACCTACAGAATTGTTAGACGATTCATTTATACAGTTTAAGCCTCTAAGTTTGTGATCATTTGTTATGGCAGCAATAGAAAACTAAGACAGCAGTTGACATGTTCCCTAATTGAGAAGGGTGGTTCACAGTGCCTAACCAGTTTGTACCAACAACGTAGTTTATTCTGAACACCTGCTTTCCTTCCGAGAGTCTGGAACTTGGGTACATAATAGGCAGGGGGTGCCTAATGACCAGACCCTAGTAAAAATTTGGGGCACTAAGTGAGCTTCCCTGGGCAAAACATTACCCACATATTGTGCATTTTCATTCTTGGGGAAGGATGTGCTCTATGGGCCCCCTCACAGGAGAAAGAGAGCATGAGGAAGCCTGTGCGTGGACTTCTGCAGACCCCACCTGTTCTTTCTATTTCTTGCTGATCATATTGTATAACCTTTTGCTGTAATAACAGCCATGAGTACAATAATATACTGAGTCCCATGAGTCCTAGCTAATTCACTGAATGTCTGGGTGGTCTTGGGGACCCCTGAAATGTTGAAGGGTCACAGGCCACATTTTGAGTGGCCAGCAAGTTCCAAAGTGCTACAGTAGATGTGATCTGAAGGCAGGCCTTTACATTCCATGTCTCACTTGGGTTGGTGACTGATAGAAACATGGGGCCCTGGATGACTGCCTTCCCTGTTGCTAAGCAACAGTGGTGTTTTCCAGAGCAGGGCAGGTTGGGGGGGGCGGCAAACAGGAAGTGCCATGTTCCACCATGGAAGAGGCACACCTGCTCCCTCTGGTGGTCTGTGCCTTTCAGCTGGCGTGGCCAGAGATGGGCACTTGCCATCATTGATTCATAGAAGGAAATATGGAGGCCGCAGGCTGACCCATCAGCTGGATGTTGAAGTTAGATTCCAATAGACCTTGAGGCCCAGCAATCTCAAGCAATTCCACTATGGGAATGTTTCATCAATTTCTCCTGGAAATATGTCCTAAGTGCAGAATTGTTTCAAGAAAATATCTGGATGGGCCGGGCGCAGTGGCTCACGCCTGTAATCTCAGCAGTTTGGGAGGCCAAGGTCGGTGGATTACCTGAGGTCAGGAGTTAAAGACCAGCCTGGCTAAGATGGTGAAACCCCGTTTCTACTAAAAAGACAAAAATTAGCCGGGTGTGGTGCTGCATGCCTGTAATCCCAGCTACTCAGGAGAGTAAGGCAGGAGAATCGCTTGAACCTGGGAGGCGGAGGTTGCAGTGAGCCTCCTGCCACTGCCCTCCAGTCTGGGTGACAGAGTGAGACTCTGTTGCAAAAAAGAAAGAAAGAAAGAAAATGTGTGGATGGACAGTAGAATCTTGTAGCACACACTTGATTGTTCTTTTCCTCTGAGTGGAGACACTAAATGTGGAGGGGAGTCACCTCCTGGATGGGAGTCAGAAACCCTACGTGAAGGTGTAGCTTGGTATGAGTGGAGTTACCTTTCTTGATCTCCCTTATCTAACAAGACACCTCCAAAACACATCTCTTAGGTTTCTTCCGAAATTAGGGGCCCTAAGTGTCAGTGAAATTTTACAACTACAGAAGGAAGGTGGCCAGCTTAGTTTGTTCTCTTATTCCACCATTCTTTCAGTCATGTATTGAGGCACCAAGCTAGCTGCTGTTGAATACAGTGGTAAACCAGTCGGCCATGGAACCTGTGCCCCACCGCCCCCATGGACTTCCCTGTCCAAAAAAATCCTTCCATCTGGTATCACCATGACCTGTCCCCTAATAATCAATATGGAGTCTGACCACCATTTTTTTGTTTTTAAGAGGCAGGTCTTGCTTTGTCACTCAGGCCGGAGTGCAGTTGCATGATTATAGTTCACTGCTGCTTTGAATTACTGGACTCAAGCCATCCTCCCACCTCAGTCTCCCGAGTAGCTGGGATTACAGGCATGTGCAACCATACCCGGCCTGACCACTGAGTCAAACAGACCTAGATTCCCAGTACTGCCTGGGTCATATGTAGAACCTACAGCTAGATAGACAGGACCTGGAGAAGGGATGTGGGACTCTGAAGCACACATGCTCAATGCTGTTTTCCCAAAGTCAGAGCATCATCATCCCCTGTCCTACCCAGGCTCTTCTGAATAGCCCTTTTAAATTTTGGAGAAGCCCTGCATTGAGTCCTTCCTCCCAGGAGGTTGCAGTGAGCTGAGATTGTGCCACTACACTCCAGCACTCCAGCCTGGGTGACAGAGCAAGAATCTGTCTCCAAAAAAAAAAAAAAAAGAGTCCTTCCTCCCTAAGGTGGAAACCAGAACTCAGCCTAGAGGAGAGGTGTGAGCCCTAGGCTCCACCAATTAGATGTTCCCCATTCAGATTTTGAATCAGGAGAAACACGTGAAGAGACCAGCGGAAATCAGAAGAACAGAAGAAGCTATGCCTGGTGACAGTGTCAGAGAGACACTGAGTTTTCACAAGCAGCCGTACTGAGTTTTCACAAACAACTGTAAGAGATATCCTAGTGGTGCTGGACTCAGCCTCAGTAGCTCCTGTCCGCAGAGGGGGTAGGATTGCAACTCGTGGCCACCTAGCTCCCAAACCAGATTCTCTGGCCTTTTTGAGGTTTCCCTGAGCTACTCAATAGGTGTTCAAAAATCCCTTTTCTGGGTAAGCTAAAATTGGTTCTGTTGATACAACTAAGAAGCCTGACAGGAAAAGAGGAACCTGAAAACAAAACAAAACAAAACAAAACAAAACAAAAAACAGGGGACCGCCAATTTGCTTTCTTTTTGACACTGACAGGACTAGGGATCAGGAGCATCTGGTGTCAAAGATGACTAGAGTAGGGGTCTCTAAGTCCTATTCTGGCTACCCATTTGTAAAGTTATTTGTTTATTTCTTTAAGCTCTTTTTCGATTTTAAAAGTCCTAGGTCCTCCATCCCTAAGGCCTGAACTCCTACACTTACCTATGAAGAGGATTGAAAACGTGCAAAGTGAACCCATGCTGCTAATTGGCATTAATGTTGCTGTGTGGCCTGTGCCCCACTGACCACAAGATGGCGAAAGAGATTATCACATCGAGCCAGCCTGTCTTCCTCCACCATCTCCACACCAGTATTATCCGAAAGAAAACATTTATTGAGCACTTACTGTGTGCCAGGCACTGTTCCAAGGACTCGAACGTATGAAGTCATTTAATCCTCACAATAATCCTATGAAATAGGTACCATTTCACGTGAGGAAACCAATGCACAGATATATCTGTCTGGTTTAGCTTTTAGCTATTTTCATATCATTTATCTACCGCTATTGTCCATCTATCATCTATCTATATCTACATATTAATTTACTATCTACATCTTTTGATTTTAAGTGCTTTTACATTATAAAAGTAACACATGTTCATGGCAAAAATATTCAAATGATGATAATTAGTAAAGATACAGTCCTCACCCCTCCCTGTTTATCATCCCTGTAGAACTAGTAATAACCATTGTTAACAATTTTTGTGTATTCTTCCATAAATTTTCTATGAATATTGAAGTATATTTTATACCTATATCTTACACACACACATAAACAAGACCATATTCCACACACTGTTCTACAGTGCTTTTTCCACTTAGCATTGCATCTTGGATATCAGATGTGGGCTGGGATGGCTCTTGCCTGTGGACCTCATTTAGAGGCCTTGGGTATGACACTGGCTGCACTCACCTGTGTACCAGGGAGCAAGTAGTGTCATCTGGTGCACCAGAGCCCCAGGTGACAGTGAGTGTGGGAGATTGGGGAAGCTGACAGGCTGCAGGGAGTGAGGAGGTATAATGGGATGTGGGGTAAGTTTGTTGATGGTTCTCAGGTAGGGCTGGCCCTCAGCTCTGGTGTATTCTGGTCCCTGACCCTGGTCCCAGACAAAATTCAGATTTGGATGCAACCAACGTTCACAGTGCCTTTAGGACAGGCCTAGATGTTTACTTTGCACATTCGCACTTTTTTTATCTCAATCTATATAGAATCCTTGGGAGGGAGGAATTATCTGCATTTTACAAGCAATAAAGCTAAGACTCAAAGAGGATCATCTACATGTTATTATACAAAGTTTTTCAGAAGTAGAATCAAAAGCCAACTCAGTTCTTTTGATCCCCAATCCAGGGTACTATCCATTGCACTTCAGCAAAGGCTTCTGGAATAGTACCTTGTGCCTGACACAATGGTCGTAGAGTACAGGCTTTGTATCCCCTTTTACAGCTCTGATCTTCCTCCCTTATTCTTCCCCTCTTCCATGCAGGCTTCCCCCAGCCACTACAGAGCTGGGGGCCAAGTGGGTGCCAATTCCAGAAATGTTTCTGAGGCTGTGAAATGTCCCCTCCAAGGAGCCTGCCTGAGGAGTGCAGGCAGAAGCTGTGACAGGCCATCTTTTCTGCAGCCGAGCCTGCCTCCAGCCCCATCCCAGTCTCCCCTCCCACCCCAGGTCCTGCCCTTCCCAGAAAAGGATGAAGCTCCAGCTGCAGTTCTGGGGAGGCCTGGACCCCAGCTCCGAAGCGGCTGTGGCTCCCAAGGCTGCTGGGCCTGGAGAGGCATGTCCCTGGCCCATCTTATCAGCGCTCTGCAGGGTCTGGGCTTGCTCCTTGTCTCCTTCTGGGCTCCTAAGGCCATAGGTGGGTTGATGGCTTGGCAGCCAGCCTTCTGGCCCAGCAGATGCTGAGCAGCCCGGGGGCACAATCCAGCTCTTCTCTCCAAGGCCAGCTGGAGGGATGAGGCATGACAAGTCCATCCCTACAGCTGGCACTTCCCCTACAGCTGAGAGGGGGCCTAAACTACAGGACACAGTCCCAAGACCCTTAAGCCCTGGCAGCGTCCCCAGGTGGGCAGCAGGTGGAAGTGGAAAGAAGCCTGTGGAGCTAGCTGCCAGCGGGGAGAAGGGGTTGGACATGGGGCTGAGGGGCCTCTGGGAACCCCTGTGCCAAGGGGCTGCTGGCACTGGGCAGCAGGACCCCAAAGCCCATGAAGAGTGTGCCCAGAGTAAGTGGCTCAGACCTGGGGCATGGCTCGAGGGTGTCGGGCTGTAGCTGCTGGTCCCAGAGAGTGCAGCCCAGGGCAGGCATCAGGACATGGGTCGGAGGAGAAAGAGTGTTCTAGGAAGAGTCCAGTCCCCGAGTCCTGGTGGTGGCTGGCTGTAGCCTAGTGCACGCTGTCTGGCTTGTGTGGCTGTGCTGCCTGAGTATACATACCCTAGCAACATTCTCCTTGCTCAGCACGGGACATCAGCTCTCCACCTGACCCCTTCCTCCAGGGAGGGGATGGGGAGGCCTCCTAGGGTTAGCAGCAGGAGTTGGTCCTCAGGAATCAGGAGCCCTTGAAAGGAGGAAGCGTGGTTCCCATACAACTGAGGGTCGCCCTGGGCCCCATCCTTCCTGAGTCAGCTTGAAGCATTCCAGCATCCTTTCAATAAATGTCTGCCCTTTGCGGCTTGCAATGAATCTCTAAAACTAGTTCCTTGCTGTGATGACGCACCCAGTTTATGAGGCCATTCCCTTCTATCTGCCACCTCTCTCTTGCCACCAGGTGACACATGTAGAAAGTAAAAATGATGTCCAGGTTGTATTAGATTTCCTTGCATACCTACAGCAGTTCCAATACCTGGTGATGGACTGGGAGGAGTACAACCTAAAGGAAAGACCAGGAGCTCACCAGCAGGTCTGCTCCACATCCCCTCCTCAGGGTAAGAATCAGTGTTAGGCTACCTTAAAGGCAGACAAAGCCAAGTGCTTAGTTTGCCAGTAAGGAAGAGCCCCACCTCCTTATTGCTTTTTGTCTGCTTATTCTCTCAGTTACCAACTTCTTTTCCTATTCTGCCAATTTTCCCATCATATTTTGAAACCACATTAGGCTCACATTTAAAATCAAATCTTCCTAGTGAATTGAACCTTTTCTCTGTGAAATACCCCTTTTTATTCCTAGTAATGCTCATTTGCCTTAAAGCCTATTTTAATTATTTTGTGCAGAATATCTTTTGTCCATCCTTTTACTTTCAACTTCTGTAAATTTTTATGTTTTGGATGTATCTTTTGTAAACAGATATTGTCAGTTATCTATACTGTGTAACACAACAACAGCTAGAAAGTGTTCAAATGTTTGGAAGAAATACACTTCCAAGTAATCTATCGTTCAAAGAAATAATGTGAATTAGAAAATATTGAGTTGAATAACAAAAATACTAAATATCATAATTTGTGGACTGCAGCTAAAGCCCTCATTAGAGAGAAAGTTATGAAGTATACATTAAAAAGAAGACTGAAAATTAATGAACTAAACAGCTATCTCAAGGAGTTAAAAACAGCAAATTAAACACAAAGTAAAAGAATAAACGTGGGAGCCAAAATTCACAAAATGTAAAACAAAAATAGGATAGCCAAAAGTTAGTTTATTTTGAAAAGACCCTGACATTGATCAAGAATACAAGAGAGAAGACACAAATGATCAGTTCTATGAATGAAAACAGGCATTAAGAGGATAAAGAGAGGATATTATGGACTATTTTGTATAACAAAAATTTAGATAATATGGACAAAATCCTAGAAAAATAAAACCCAAAGTGAAGAAATAGAAAACTGAAATAGTCCTAATGTGACTAAAGATATTGATTCAATTTTAAACTTCCCTACAGAGAGAACTCCAGGTCCAGATATCCTCACTGGCAAATTCTATCAAACATTTAAGAAAGAATTCCAATGTTAGCTGAACTATATGGAAAAATAAAAGAAGAATATACATTCTAACTCATATTATGAAGCCAGAATACCCTTGATACCAAGGCCTGAATGGAGTGAGTATTAAAAATTTATAGGTCAAGCTCGTGAACAAAAGTGCAAAAATCCTAAACAAAACATTAGGAAAAGGAACCAGTAATACATAAAAGGACAATATATCACAAATTAAATTGGGCTTATTCTAGGAATGCTATATTAACAGCTTAATGGAGAAATATCATACACCTCAATAGATGCAGACCAAGTGTTTGATAAAATTCAACATATATTCATGGTGAGCATGGTAAGTACTCTTAGAAAACTAAGAATTTTTTGAAAAGTCCTTAATCTAATACAGGTTGAGTATACCATCCCTGAAATGCTGTTTCAGATTTTGGAATACTTGCATCATACTTACTGGTTAAACATCCATAATCTGAAAATCTGAAATCTGAAATGAGCACTTCCTTTGAGCATCACGGAGGCACTCAAACAGTTTCAGATTTTGGAGGACTTCATATTAGGTATACTCAACCTATAGAAGGAATCTACATATATTTTTAAAACCTATCATAGTGAAATGTTGAAAGTTTCCCTCTTGACATCAGGAATATGACAAGAATTCACATCATCATCACTTCTAATCAACATTGTACTGGAGGGGTCTGGCCAGTGTCATAAGGACCAGAAATGAAAGTACAAAGCCTCAAAAGGAAAAAACAGAATTATCATTATTTACATGTGGTATGATTGTGTATGGAGAAAATCCAAAAGGACGTAGGGATAAACCAACAGAATAGGCAAGTTTAGCAATGTTGCCCAACACAAAATCAGTATACAAAAATATATACCAGCTCTAAACAGAACACAAGGATTTTTTAAAGATACCATTTACAATAGTGTCAATTTCCTAGGAATAAATTTTACAAAAGACACGCATGACTTCTTCAGAGAAAACTCAAACTTTATTGAGAGAATTTTCAAATTTTCAGTCACATTTTCAATGTGACATCAGCCATGTGTGTAGCTTCAGCTTGTCTTCTTTTTAACTTATGGCTGCCCATCTCCTAAAATATAAACATAACAGTTGAGTTCATTACTTAGCAGAACTTTACTGAGATGACACTAAAAGCACACAAAGAACACTAGTTTTGGTTTCTTAAGATGAAATTAAAACCAGAACGCTAACCACTGCATAGACTTCTATGCTAATGTACATTTTCAGGCATATGTGTACTAATTTTTAAAATGCCTCACTCTAGTGGTACAAGGAAACAAAGACTTCTCAAGCCAGAACAGATTAAATGCTATGAGCCCATTTAAAGATCATTTTAAGTAGAGGGCAAAAACAGCCACTGATTTCAGTTTTGTTTTGTTTTGATTTTTTAATCAAACAAAAAGTCCAAGAAGCAAAAAACAAGCAAGCAAACACAGTGTCACTCAAATGTATTGACTAAAAACTTTCTGCTAATTATATATTAGCTAAGGAATTGTTTAGCTGACTAAAGAGAGGTCAAAGAATGCCATTCCATTTGGTTTGTCTCTTTGAGCAAAAGTGCAAAAATAATTCATTGATCTAGTTAAATCTTTATGTGGATTCTTTATACCAGGGTGGCCATTTGTCTCATTGGCACCTGTTAACCTGATGTTGTATTCATAGCATTCCCTTTCCCTCTCAAAAGTGTCCTGATTTAGATGATAAAAATTACATGGTTGGAGGCCAGATATGCACGTTAAAAAATATATACATGGTCTTATTGGTTTATTTAAGCCACTACCATATAGATGACATTAAAATGTGAGGGAAACTGCTACTGTTTCTCAGTCTAGCTCACAGTTTTTTAAAAAATCAACAAACCAACTTGGAAAATTCAAAACATACAGATCTATCTTACTTGTTAGTGCCTAAAAGCGATTTGTGATAAACAATTCTAGCAAATTTTTTTCTTAAAGGAACACTATGTGTCATTTAGATACCCAATTGCCCCTGGGGTATGTTAAGTAATGTATATACTTTTAAAAGTATTTGATCACTTGCCTTGAGTTTTGGAAGATTTCTACTCCAAAGTAATAATACTTTCATATTTTATAATTCAACAACATGGCTTTGACCTAATTCATTTTTCCCCTGACACTGTCTTTGAATCAAGTATTTGGTGTCTGAACTACCTTTCAAATAATATTTGTATGCGAGACTTGTTATTAAAGTATATTATAGAAAAAGAGTAACCCCATGACTTCCATTCCGAATGAATAACGTACCTGCTTCTTTAGTCTTAGCATGCTTAGGATTAGGTGGAGTCTTCTCTTTTACATCAGAGCCATCTCCACGCTCACTCCGAGTCTTTTCCAGATCCATTTCCTGGCAATCACCTTCTACTTTACGTTCTTATATAAATAAAAAAGTTATTGATATAAGTAAGCAGTAAATTATAAATTAGTGTTATTAAATAAAGCTCTGTAGGCTTGTATTCTAACAAATGTGATGCATGAGTGCAATGGGCATTGGAATTTTCTACTAGAAAATGGGGAAGAATATTATCTCTACTATGAAGTTTTCTTTTCCTACGACTGTTTAAGACAACTTAGTTGTCACTTTCACAATCTACATATACTTCTGTTACTGTAAATCACTCATTACAGCAGTTATTTGTTTACATGAATTTCCCTGATTAGATTGTGAGCTCAAGGCAGAAATCATTATCTCATTTATATCCTCAGCACTTAGTACATTACCCGGCACCTAGCAAGCCCCAGTAAATGAATGAAAAAAATGTCTGTAAAAATATTAACATAAGACAAACCCAAATTAAAGAACATTTCACAAAACAATTGGTTTGGATTCTAGTTGTCAATGTCATGATATGCAAAGAAAGACTGAGGAACACTTCCAGATTAAAGAAGACCAGAGAGATATGGCAACTAAATGCAATGAGTAGTCTTGAATTAGATCCTGGATCAGGAAAAAAATCCTATAAAAGACATTCCTAGGCCAATTGACAAAACTGCAATGGACTATATATTAGATGTTTTCTCAATGCTAATTTTCCTGAATTTGATAACTGTTCTGAGGTTATTTAAGAGATTATCCATATTTTTAGCAGATACATACTGAATTACTTACAGAGTAAACAGTTGTGATATTTGAAACTCTCAAGTGGTTCAGCAATAATATATTAATATGGTAAAAACAGGGAGATAAATGGCAAAATGTTATAGCAATCAGTGAATCAAGGTGAAGAATACACAGGAGTTCACTGTACTTGGATAACTTTTCCTTACATTTTAAGTCCTTTCTAAGTAAAAAGTTAAAAAATAAATATATGACAAACAGATTATGGTTCAGAAAGACAAAAGTATTGAAGACTTTTAACGGTAACTAAAAGGATTTCACATTTTTATTTCTCTGAATTATGACATTTTCTAAAAATTGCTATGTAAGATCTAACCATAATATATGGTTTGCTCAAACTTTTAATGCAATGACTTATGCCCAGAAAAATAATATCCCAATAAAACCAAGTTTAACTCATGAAACAGTTTACAATTTTGTCTAAATTTAATGTAGTTTCCTTTTGTTTGCTAATATAGAGTCTTGGCAAGGATTGTATTTTCCAAGTATGCCAAAGAACTCTTAAGATATAAGATAAGTAAAATGCTGAAGAGAAAATTTATCACAAGGACTACAGCAGCTGAAAACTACACTATTCCCTTACCAAGGATTACTTTACAGGTTTCCAGCCAATTTTTAGGGGATGGTTTATTTATTCCTGTTACTAGTATAAAATCATACATGAAACACAAAATGCTCCTCCATGCCCTTCTCACCTTCGATCGGAGGTGTTCCTTCTCTCTCTTGTCCAGGTTCAATATCCTGATTGTCAGTTGGTGGTTCCTCTTGCTGAGATTCACCGGGCTTTTGAGAGGTGGGGGAGAGTAGATGCAAATAGAATATTGTTATTAATATCATGGCAATAGAAGTCACAAATATACATACTATGTGAAGGTAGCTAGTCACAAATAAATCTGAAGAGGTTTTTCCTATCTTCTCTGTAAGTACTCTTAAGAAAAGTTATTCTTCCTATATAGAATATACTTTAAGGAGTTACCTGCAAGGACCAATAATTCTGGAACCCATTTTCATCTTCTCTGGGCTGTATTATTTATTAATAAGCATGATAGGAAAGTCATAAGACTATTTCCAGACTCTTAAAAACATACATATGCAGACAATATCAGAAAATAAGTCTCCTTGCTCAATGTCTCATTAATGTGATTTAGTTTGCAACTATTTTCAGCAGGGAAGTCCTTTATATAACAGATCTATATTGGTTAACAATGTTTTAGATTTTCTTTCAGAAAAATACATTTCTGCCAATGGAAATAAGATACTGAAATGTACTCACAGCCACGAATGCAACCACATCGGGAGCCTCCTGACCATCTCCTCTTCCTCTGGATCTTGATCTCACTCGTGCACTCATCGCTGCAACTAGAAGATCGTGAACTGAAGACTGCAATAAAAAGGAGTAATTATACTTGACTCTTTCCATGGCCATCTGCTGATTGTAATTTTTTTTAATTTTGTGAGATTTCCATAATAGGTCCTGAGTTAATAATAACTACGCCTGGTTTCCAATCACATCAAATAAATCTATCTGCAAACTGCTTTGTTTCTTCCACAGCCAGCTCGGCAGAGAAGTGATCTTCAAGTCCTAGATCAAAACATGGGGTCTTTCCTAAAGAGACTTAATTTCATAACTAAACTCCATTATGAAGAGATTTTTTAATATACAGCCACCCCAGGTCCCCTCCTCCCCAGGTCCCCACTGAGAACTCCGAAACCTGTCCTCTTTCGGCAGTTTCAGGTGCCTCTGGGACTCAAAGATACCTCAAAAAGTACCCCCCAAGTTTTGCTCCATCTGATCCCTCTCCCCTCCGTGGCCCAACTTCCTCCCTCGCCCCAGCCCTGCCACAACCACAAGGTCATGGCGGCGCCACCACCTGTGAGGCCCTTCCTCCTCCGAGGCCACGGACTGTGCTGCCCGACCCTCCTGAAGCCCACCAGCTCCTCTTCACACTTAAACTCCCATGGAGGAACGATCGGTGGACCCACCCACTGAGTCTCAGTCTCAGGTGAAAGAGTCCCGACAATTGGAATGCAAACGGCACCCTCACAGCTCCGCGGCAGTTCACCTCGTGGGTGAAGGGGCTGATGGGAAGACCCCCAGTGAACACGAGCACTGAGGCAGGCGCTGTCAAGCGCGGGCTGTCCCACCCTTTCCCTGGCCCCCACTGAGGACCCCAGCATCCGTCCTTTATGGACAGTTTCATATGCCTCCAGGACTCAGATAGTGTCCCGCTCCAAAACTCACAGCATCTTGGCTGACCCTCCTCCCCTTCATGGCCCTCCTTCCTCCCCTGTCCCTGCCCCGCCGCATAGCTGCCTGCTAGGAGAAGGATGATGACCTCGAGGCCCTTCCTTCTCTGAGGCCAGGGACCACAGTGCCCGACCCACCAGAAGCCCGCCGGCCCACTCACTCACACCTGTTCTCACTTACACTTGAGTCAGCAGAGAGCCTGGCGAAGAATGAAGGGAAGAGAAGTGGCACCTACCTACTTCTGCCTCCTTGTTTAGACCTCAGCAGTGTCAACCCCACCAGCCAATCCCAAACCTCGGGGGTGTGTCACGTGGGTTGTCTTTCCAGCCCTCTCCCGCCTCCTAGAGGCTCTGTGCCACCTGGAGGAAGGGCCTGCTCGGTGCTGAGAAGGGCTTGTTTCTGGCTTCTGGCCCCTCCTGCAAAATGTTCTGTCCTTCTGGATCTAGGAATGTTCCCAGCTCTGCATTTCACCTGCAAATTTACCCTTTAATTTTTTCTCAGTGCTGCTACCTCAGTGGCCCTTAAGAGGGTATTCAGTCTTCCCAGAGATGCGTGAAAGCTTAGGTTCTCAGAGAGTGCAAAGCCATTTTAAGCATGATAGGAATCCAGAAAAAAATGTAAAGGAGAAGGATGATAAACCCACATACATAAATAAGCCTAAACATTTGCACAAAAATCCAGGCCAGGTGCGGCAGCTCATGCCTGTAATCCTAGAACTTTGGGATGCTGAGGTGGGTGGATTTCTTGAGCCCAGGAGTTCGAGACCATCCTGGGCAACATGGCAAGACCCTGTCTTTACAAAAAATACAAAAATTAGCTGGGCATGGTGGTGCACACCTGTAGTCCCAGCTACTTGAGAGGCTGAGGTGGGAGGATAGCTTGAGCCCAGGAGGTTGAGGTTGCAGTGAGCCAAGATCACACCACTGCACTCCAGCTTGGGCAACAGAGCAAGACCCTGTCTCAAAAAATAAAAAATCCTGTGACCCAGCATTTCTACTTCTAGGACTTTAATGTTAAGGAAACTGTCTTGAATGTTGACAAATATTCCTTGCTTGGCCAAACTTTTAAGTCAGGCTTCTGAAACTTCTCCTCCTAGGCCCATCTGTGCATTTCCTTGTAAAACCCAGTTTTAGCAAAGAGCCCTGCTAAGTCAATGTGGCATGAACCCTCCATCCTCAATATCTGATCATACTTGCTATCGCATGGGGTTCTTCATCTTCCACCATCCCCCAGGTGATGTCTGATTCCCCTTGGCCTGTCTTCAGCAAGAATCCTGCTAGGTGGGTTTAGCCAGAATCCCCCTTACCCCTGATGTTTCCTTTTAGTAATTTTCCACCCACGGACCGCCATACTGCTCCTTCGCTATACATTCCCACTGGCCTGCGCTGTATTCAGTATTGAGCCCAATCTCTCTCCCCCACTGCAAGATCCCATTGCAATGGTCCCTATACCCATCACCACAGTCCTAAATAAGGTTTTCCTTACTGTGCTTTAACAACTACCACTGAATGTTTTTTTTCTTTAACCATGTGAACAAAAATTTGGATACATGGGACTTCCAAAACAGCTTAATTTATAATAGCATGGTCATGGACTTGCTATATAAGTAAATTATGGCACACTTGAAAATGAAATATGGGTGACTACCAAAACCAGTGCTGAATAATATTTCCTGTAATAGTGGTGCTGTTCATTTTAAGTTATTAACTTGAAACATCCAGTTATGTAGCACTGTGTATGTACAATATGATCTCAAAAGAAAAGAGAGGTTCAATAGTGCTACCACACCACCAGCCTTCCTCTCAGACAGTAAGTGTGCTTTGTTCTTGTGCAACCAGCATGTTCTGGGGCTCCAAAGATATATGGTTCTCCAAGGGGAACCCAGCAGATAAAAGGCAGTGCTAGGGGTCATAGGTCTCCTGCACCTGGTGCACGTCAAAGAGCTTCACCATCACCTAGGTGGTCTGATCCTCTGCTGTCAGAGAAGGTGTGGGGGGTTGGGGGTAGGGGGACAGAAGCCCACTGTTACTGCTTTGGGCAAAAGTTAGATGGGTGCCTGCAAGACAGAAAGGAGCTTGCCCTGCACATCCCTGTCCAACCCCTCCTGCCCCCGCTAAACCCCTGGGGGAAAAATATCCTTTCTGTCCGTGCATGCCTGGACCTGGACCGTTCTCAGACTCTGCAGGTTACCCTTAAAGAAGCGCACATTCTTTGAGAGTTAGAAAGATCCCCCATGGCAGAAGTAGAATTGCCAGATCTCCCTCTCCTTCTCTCCCTCTCTCCTACAGATAAGATGTAGAGTCAATACAGAGCCAAGTGTGAAGAATATATAATTCTTCCTTGATATCACCAATCAGGGATAACCACTTTTTATATCTAAGCAGGAGCTGCTCCTACTACTCAGATCTTTATGTAGATTAAATAAAGATTTATTGAGAGACTGAGATCTCACACTCTGCAATCAGTATAAACTGTGGGCTCTAGTCTCAGCCTCCTGTTTCTCCTCAGGTAAAGTGCTTTCATTAGCTCTCAGGTGTTTCCTATTATCACTTGGAAAGGCTATCTGCAGCCTGCTGCCTCCCTGACCTTGGTGCCTGTCGGTTGGCAGCTGCTGTGTTCTCTGCATAGGATCAAGTTTCTCTAGGATGCTGTGAAGGAGTGAGAGGACAGGTAAGGTCCTTTCTGTGTGAGAGCTTAGATCTGAACTGAAAAAGAAATCCCGATTTGCCCAGCACCATGAGCCTTCCCAGAGAACCTCATCCTCAGGCAACATTAGTGCAAAGCAAGCACTCTGATCAACGATGTAGGTGATCCCAAGCCCTTGTTTGTATCATTGTGATGATTATAGATGTCACTTTCATTGTATTCATTTTATGTCACAGGTGATATCTGCTCCTTACAAATAATCCAATCACTAAAAATTGACTAATTCTACTGTTTTCTGCTATTTGATGGGAGGAAACACCACACTACTATTTGAATTTGCACTTTTGATAAATAATACGTTTGAACATTGTTATTCAAGTAATTCATGCTCATAAACAATCCACAAAATCAGAAAGAGGAGAATCAAGAAATAACTCTGGAGTTCCAGCATTCATTAAAAACCTATCTTCTATTTGTCATTTTAGTGCATGTGTTTCCATATATTTATCATTTTAGATGATCATTCATGCTGCAGCAAACATCCTCATGAACCATTTTCAGTCCACTTCCTTAAACATTTCTTCATGAAAAAAATTCCTACATGAAGAAATAGGGGCTTGAGAGTATGTACAACTTGTCTAATGTCACACCCTCTGGCAAGTTATGCCTGGAATTAAATCTGTATCTTTCCGATTCTGGTTTAAGCCTGAATCATAAACATAAACATGTATGCTTCTTCACCTTGTGCTACCCTATGGATCCAGTAGTTCCTTTGAATCCCTCAGCTCAAGGAGAAGCTTAGTAACCCCATGAGCACCATCCATGAGAGGTGATATGGTGTAGGTGCCCACATGTGCAGAATGCAGGACTGGCAGAAGAAACATCATGTGCTAAGTCTTGGAAGCATGCTTGCAAACTGCAGAGGCCACTGGAGCTGGAGACCGAGGCTGTGGGTCAGAGGAGGATCTTTTCTCTGGTGTCCTTTGACCTACTGTATGCCACAATAAGGGCATGAATATAAATATTATGAATATAAATATTTTGTGAGATGATTTTTCTAAACACTGACTGGTAAACATAAAGGCAATTTTCATGATTGCAAAGGAGAGTTCCTGGAAATCTTGACATGGATTGACAAAGTATGTTATTTTAAACTGTTACTCCAACTACCTGTGAACTCCTTCAAATACTACTCATGCCCATTCAGTTGCTGCACACATGCTCATATCTATTCAGATAGCTATTACTTAGCGTCAGCATTTCCGAGTAGTTCACCTGAAGCAACTGGAGAGGAAGGAAGATTCTGTCCTTGACAGCTCCACCATCGGAAGGAGAAGCCCTTGTTTCCCAGTCTCCTTATATAGAAACCACCAGGTTCACCTTTCTGTGCCAACTGAGCCCCATTTCATAGTTGTGCTTGTCACTTCAGTCTTCACTGATGGTGTGCAGGCCTCTCACTTGTGCTAGAAAGCTCATCTGGCTTTGGACTTCTTTCTCTTGGGCAAGCCTCCTCTTATGCATGTATCCCTTCACAGGTAATTAGTGAGGGTACGTTGGTCATGCTGGCCTTTGCTGGTTGTTATGTCTCTACCTGTATACCTTTGCCAAAAATCAGTTGTTTGTATAGGTGTGAGTTTATTTTTGGACTCTCTGTGCTGTGCTAATCTATTTGTTTATCTTTATGCCAATGTCACACTACTGTGACATAGTTTTGTAGTAACTCTTGAAATCCTACTTTGACTAATCTTGGTCTTTTGCATTTCCATATGAATTATGGAATCAGCTTGTCAATTTCTACCCCCCAAAAAACCTTCAGTAATTTTGATTGAGAATGCACCAAATTTATAGATCAATTTGGGGAGAATTGACATCTTAACAATATTGAGTCTTCAGACCCGTGAACAAGATATATCTCTTCATTTATGTAGGTCTTTTTTTTTCTTTTTTTGTGTTTTTTCAATTATGCAGGTCTTAGTTTCTCTCAGAAATATTTTGTAGTTTTCAATGTATAGATTTTTCATATATTTTGTCAGGTTTATCCCTTATGTTTTTCATGTTTTATGATATTGTAAATGGTATTGTTTTTATTTCCATTTTATTGTTTGTTGCTAGTAGACAGAAATACAACTTATTCTTTATATTGAGCTTGTATCCTGCAATTTTGCTAAACTCACTTGTTGGTTTTAGTAGATTTTCATTGGTTTAATTAGATTCTATCATGTTTTCTACGTAAACAATTGTGTTATTTGTGAATAGACGATTTTACTTTATTCCTAATCTGCATGCATTTTACTTACTTTCGTTCCATGACTACACTACCTAGAACCTCCACTACAATGTTGAACACAAGTGGGGAAAGTGGAAATCTCTGTCTTGTTCCTGATCATAGGGCAAAAGTTTTCAACATTCTGCATCTATTAAAATAATCATATTTTTTTTCTTTTTTAGCTGTTAATAAGGTGAATTTTATTGATTCATTTTCAAGTATTAAACCAGCCTGCATTCCTGAAATAAATTCCATTCAGTCATGATGTATTATTCTTTTAATGCATTGCTGGATTTAATTTGTTAAAATATTGTTTAGAATTTTTGCATGTATATTTATGATGGATGTTGATTTATATTTTCCTTTTCTATTAATATCTTTGTCCAATTTTGGAATTAAGAAATTCTGGCCTCATAGAATGAGTAGGGAAGCATTCTTTCCTCCTCAATATTTTGGAAGATTTTGCATAGAATTGGTATTACTTCTTCCTTAAATATTTGGTAGAATACTTCAGTGATGCCATCTAGGCTTGGAGTTTTCTTCTTGGAAACATTTTTAAGCTACAATTTCAATTTCTTTAAAGGGTTATTCAGATACAGAGTTATTCAGCTTATCTATTTCTTCCTGAGTGAGGCTTGGTGGTTTGTGTCTTTCAGATTATTGTCTATTGTATCCTTGCTGATTTTCTGCCAACATGTTCTATCAATTATTGAGAAAGAAATATTGTAATCTCAGACGTAATCGTAGATTCGTGTATTTCTCATCATGTATTTTGTGACTCTGTTATTAGATGCATAAATATTTGGGGTTCTTAGGATTGTCACTAACATAAATGTAAGAATCCGCAACAAAATATTAGCAAATTGAATCTAGCAATAAGAATAATACAGCACAACCATAGGAAGTTTATTCCAGGAATGCAATGCGAATTCAATATTCAATAATCAATCAATTTAATATTTGATATTAACAGTCTAAAGAAGAAAAATCATATGATAATATCAATTGATGCAGAAGAAGTATTTGACAAAATACAGCATCCATTCATGATAAAAACTCTTGGTGAAGTAGAACTAGAAGGAAATTTTCTCAATTTGTAAAGAGATCTGCAAAACACCGACAGCTAACATTGTATTTGATGGTGAAAGACTGAATGCTTTCCTCCAAAGATCAGAAACAAGACAAAGATTTCTATTCTAACTACATCTGTTCAACATCATGCTGGGAGTCTTAGCCAGCATAACAAGGCAAGAAAAAAGACATATAAGGCATTCAGATTGGAAAGGAAGAAGTAAAATTACCCTATTTGCAGACAACATAATTGTCTACATAGAAAATCCCAAGAAATCTACAAAAAAAACCTTCCTAGAACCAACAAGTAACTTAAGCAAGGCAGCAATATACAAGGTCATCACACAAAAATCGATTGGATTTCTATATATTAACAACATATAATTGGGGCCAGGCATGGTGGCTCAGGCCTATAATCCCAGCACTTTAGGCGGCTGAGGTGGGCAAATCACTTGAGGCCAGGAGTCCAAGACCAGCCTGGCCAACTTGGTGAAACCCCCATCTCCATTAGAAATACAAAAATTAGCCAGGTATGGTGGTACGCACCTGCAGTTCTAGCTTCTTGGGAGGCTGAGGCAAGAGAATTGCTTGAACCTGGGAAGCAGAGTTTGCAATGAGCTGAGATCGTGCCACACTGCACTCCAGCCTGGGCGACAAAGTGAGCGTCTGTCAAGTGTGGCACATATACAGCATGGAATACTATGCAGCCATAAAAAATGATGAGTTCATGTCCTTTGTAGGGACATGGATGAAGCTGGAAACCATCATTCTCAGCAAACTATCGCAAGGACAAAAAACCAAACACCGCATGTTCTCATTCATAGGTGGGAATTGAACAATGAGAACACATGGACACAGGAAAGGGAACATCACACATCGGGGCCTGTTGTGGGGTGGGGGGAGGGGGGAGGGATAGCCTTTGGAGATATACCTAATATTAAATGACGAGTTACTGGGTGCAGCACACCAGCATGGCACATGTATACATATGTAACTAACTTGCACATTGTGCACATGTACCCTAAAACTTAAAGTATAATTTAAAAAAAAGCAAACAAATAAAAACAACATAGAATTTGAAACTGAAATTAAGAAAACATTTACAGTCAAAACACTGACGTGCCTAGATATAAATATCACAAAATATGTACAGAATCTGTGTGCTGAAAACTATAAAACACTGATCATAAAAGTCAAAGAGGACCTAAATAAGTGGAAATACATGCTGTGTTCGTGATTTGAAAACCCAACATAGTAAAGGCAAATTGATATATAGATTTAACACAATACTAATCAGAATCCTAGGAGAACTTCTTGTACATATAAGACAGGCTGATTCGAAAATCTATAAGGAAAAGCAAATGAATTAGAATGGCTAACGCAATTTTGAAAAAAAGTAAGAAAGTTGGAGGAATCTCATTAACTGGTTTTGAAGAGTGCTTGCAGGTAATTTTTAGACTGCCCCTCAATTTGAGTTTAATTGAGTCTCATGATTGGACTAGGATAATGGATTTTGGGGAAGAATACTGTTGAGGTAAAGTACCCTTCTCATCACATCATATCAGAGGGTACGTGATGTAAACATGAATTCTTACTGGTGACATTAACCTTCATCACTTGATTAAGATGATGTATGTCAAGTTTCTCCACTGTAAAATTACTATTTTCCCCTTTTCTTATTCTATTCATTAGAAGTGTATCACTAAGTCCAGCTCACACCCAAGGGGAAGAGAGTTAAGCTCCACCTCCTGCGGGGAAGAATATAAAAGAATTTGTGGATATATGTTAAAATCTCTACAGTAACTAATGCGTATTTGAGGGGAAATACTTTGAGGCAATGCAAATAACCTTTTTCTCCTTAACGTTTAGGCGTCTAATTTTAGTATTAATCCATGGACCTTACCTAGAGCAATTATTACTGTGCTGTTCTAATAGTGATTTTCTATTTCATTTATTCCTTCTACATTTATTGTTTGGAATTATTCCATAAGAAAGATCTGTCTCTTCTCCATTTATTTACTTATTAAATTGTTCATTTATATCAGTATGGACTCATGGATTCCTTTTTATTTTTTGAGTTCTATTCCAATACAGTTGCCATGTGTTTTGTGACTCAGATTTTTCTAGCTTAGACATTGGGACCTCTTTCAGATTGGTTCCTACACACTTTTGATATCACAGTCATCTTTTTTTGTTTTGGTTTTTTAGCTTTTGTTTACTTGCTGGCACTGCATGATAAGACAAGTTCACCTGCTCTAGAATCAGCCATTTCTCCAGGTTTTTGGCTTCCTTGTATTAAGAAATGGTATTTAGAAACTAAGATCTGGACACTGAACAATCTGATTTTTAAAATTATTATAAAGTGACAGTAATCAAGGCACATAGATCAATGAAAAAGAATAGGATCCAGAGATTGGCCTACACAAGTATGGCCAGTTGGTTTTTGACAAAGGTGCCAAAGCAGTTCTACAGATAAAGGATAGTATCTTCAGTAAATGGTATGAGGAAAATTGGATGGTCATATGCAACAAAAATTAACCACTATTAAACCTCATACCATATATAAAAATTAACACAAAATGGGTCATATATCTAAATGTAAACTGTAAAACTATAAAAGTTTTCAAGAAAGTTTTATAAAAAGAGACTTTTAGTTTATCAATGAATTCTTAGACATGACACCAAAAGCACAATTCATGAAAGAAAAAAATTGATAAATCAGACTTCATAAAAATTTGATAGTTTTGCATTGTGCTCTTAAAACTGTTAATAGAATCAAAAGAAAAACTTCTCCAAATGCATTGTGGTATCCTGGAACATTAAAAGGATATTAGTGGAAAAATTAATGAAATCCGAATAAAGTTTATCATTTAGTTAGTAGTATATTACCAATGTTAATCTCTTAGTTTTGACAAACGTACTGTGGTTATATTAGATGTTAACATTAGGTGAATCTAGGTGAAAAGTATATGAGAAGTTTCTGTATTATCTTTACAACTGTTCTATAAATCATTTCAAAATAAAAATGGGTATTAAACAAAAAAAGTAGCCAAACCTAATAATCAAACAATTAGAGCTACTGCACTTGAAGCCAGAGAGGAGAGGTCAGAGGTTCATCATCTCTATCCCTGCACTCCCAATTTCTTAGGCAGCCTCTGCGAATCCTCTACAGCACCAGTCCTCAACCTTTTTGGCACCAGGGACCAGTTTTGTGAAAGATAATTTTTCCACAGACTGGGGAGTAGGGAGAGATGGTTTCGAGATGAAACTGTTCCACCTCAGATCATCATGCGTTAGCTATATTCTTATAAGGAGTGCACACAACCTAGATCCCTTGCATGCATAGTTCACAATAGGGTTTGCTCTCCTATCAGAATCTAATGCCACCAGTGATGTGACAGGAGGTGGAGCTCAGGTGGTAATGCTGGCTTGCCCACCACTCACCTCCTGCTGTCCAGCCCAGTTCCTAACAGGTCACGGGACTGTACTGGTTTATGGCCTGGGGGCTGGGACCCCTGCTCTATAGAACCCCTGGGTTCCTTGGAGTATGATTCCTAAACCATCCAACTTAATCATTAATAAGATTATAAGATAGAAATAGAAGCCAAACTTAGGCCTGAAGAATAAAAATGGTATTAGTGTCTCTTGATCATTAAGGTTTTTCTATCATAGAAGATCATTAAGTTGAATTGATACAATCTTTTCTTCACAAGGTCAAGCCTTTTGCTACCCAGCATTTTGACCTTAGAACTTCAAATCACTTGATTCATTGTTCAAGGTATCTTTAAAATGTCAAAGCTAGGGTAATTGGCTTCTGATTATGCAAGAGAAGGGAGGATTAGGCTATAATTTGAGGACATATGTGTATGATAAAATTCTACCTATGTTTACATTTTCATGAGCCCTCTTCAATGTCCTTAAAACAATAAAATACTAACTTCAAAAAAAAGACAACTATAGACTGGGAGATGTTTGTAAATCATCTATCTGACTAAAGCCTTATATTCATAAAATTTAAAGAACTCTCTAAACTCAATAACAAGAAAACACACAACCCAATTTGTAAGTTGGCAAATGTCATGGTCACTAAACCAAAGAGAATATACAGATGGAAAATTAGCAAAGGAAAAGATGCACAGCATCACTGGCCATTTGGGAAATGAAAATTAAAACCGCAAAAGATACCATTACTCACTTACTTGACTCACTGAAAGAAAAGTTACTGACAATATCAAGCATGGGTAAGGATGTAGAACTACTAGATCTCCCATATGTTAATAACATGAGTGCAAAATTGTACAGCCACTCTGAAAGACAGTTTGGCAATTTTCTATAAACTTAAATATATATATACCATATGACCCAAAAGTTCAGAGATGGAGCAATGAAGAAATTTTGCTCCTATCCCATCCAAGACAAAAGCTGGTTAAACTGTAAATTAATTACTTTTCTTTTTCTTTTTTTTTCCTTTTTTTTTTTTTTGAGATGTCACCCAGGCTAGGGTGCAGTGGTGCAATCTTGGCTCACTGCAACCTCGCCTCCTGAGTAACTGAGATTACAGGCACCCACCACCACGCCTGGCTAATTTTTTTTTTTTTTTTTTTTTAAGTAGAGACATGGTTTCACCATGTTGGCCAGGCTGGTCTCGAACTCCTGACCTCAAGTGATCCGCCTGCCTCGGCCTCCCAAAGTGCTGGAATTACAGCTGTGAGGCACCACACCTGGCCAACTTTTCTTTGACTCATCAGAGGACCAAGGTCATAGGGTAAATGCTATACCAAAATCTGGAGAGAGACAGGCACCTGCAGGGAGACACAGGACTCTGTGCCTTACGCTTACAAGGGGGCAGGAACCAGTGTGTAGATTAAACAATAAATTTTGATGAAGTCCTGAGAACCTAGTGTGAGCTAGCATGAGAATGTGAAGCTCCCAAAAGACTTATTCATGTGAGGTTACCCTCTTGTAGGCTTCTCCCCTAGGACTACCGCTAGGCTTACACAGAGAATCCAGAGAAAGTTCCCCCATGGTGCTGGCAAGAAGAGCAGCTGCTGCCAAACTCCACTTTGGTGCATTTTTCCTATCTCCCTTACAGAAATAAAGGCTTAAGCTGCAGGCACTGATCACACTATAGAAACTAAGGAAGGTGGGTCTGGGCAGAGTTTCAATGGTGACTTCCATATTTTCTCCCAACTGCTGTGGGGTTGCACCAGTGACCTCAAGCAATAGGTTTTCTTCAGCCTGTGAATTAAAACTTTTGTTTTATGTGGGGCATTGAGAAGATTGGGCAGAGTGGAGTTTCAACAATGACTTCTGTCACCCTTCCTTAGTCTTTTCAGGATTCTCCCAACCTTCCCTGTCAGTGCCTCCTGGAGTTGCTAGAGGGAAAACCTGCAAGCAAGTGCAAAACTACCATGTCTGCAGCCCCCAGGACCTCACACTCTCACACTAGCCCACACTCAGCCCTTAGCAAGTTATTTGGAAGTTTCTACCTTAATTTTATTGCTGACATATATGGCATTCAGAGGCATCTGTCTCAGATAATCAAATGCTCAGGTGCTGTGTCTCCCTATAGGTGTTTGTCTTTCTAGATTTCAGGTTAGTTGTTTTCCCAGAAAACTTATTTCCTTGATGATTTCAAGAAAAGTATTTAATTTGAAGTTTGCCCAGCATTTTTCTTGTTGTGAGGATGGAAGTGATGCCCTTTCCAGCCATCTGTATCTCTACACTGAAACCAGCCATCTTTTTACTTTTATCCTACCTATATCGTTGTATTTGCAGACAGCATATAGTTAGGTCATGGTTTTTAATTCATTTTGACAATTTCTTTTAATTGGTGTGTTTAGATCATTTAAATTTATTATTGATATAGTTGTATTTAGACCTACCATTTTATAATTCGTTTTCAGTTTGTTCTGTCAGTTTTTCATTCCTCTGTTTTACCTTTCCTCCCTTGTTTTGGGTTATTTAAAACTTTCAGTATTACATTTTAATATATCTGTTGTGGTTTTTACTATATCCTTGCATACACAGTCGTCCCTCAGTATCCATGGAGGATTGGTTCCAGGACCCTTGTAGATACCAAAATCCATAGATGCTCAAATCCCCGATATAAAATGGCATAGTATTTGCATACAACCTACACACATTCTCCTGTATACATTAAATCATCTCTAGCTTACTTGTAATACCTGATACAGTGTAAATGCTATGTAACTAGTTGTCATACTGTATTGTTTTTATTTGTATTATTTTTATCATTTTTAATTTTTTTTCTGAATATTTTTTATCCTCAGTTGGTACAATTCGAGAATGCAGAACCTGCAAATATGGAGGGCCAACTGTAGTTTTTTAGTAGTTACTCTAGGAATGACTGCTGCCAAACTCTACCCTGGTGCATTTCTCCTATCTCCCTTACAGAGAGGGAGATACACACTTAACTCTCCACATTCTACTTAGACTCAATGTTTTGTAATTTTAATTGGAATGTAGAAACCTTGCCACCTTATAGGCCTCTTTATCATCCCTTGTTCAAGCTCTAGTTGTCTTATGTATTACATCTGCATACATTGAAAACCCCATCAGACAATGTTATACATTTTACTTTTAAGCATGAAGCATATTTTAAAGAATTCAGGAGAAGAATCGTCTATTATATTTACCCAAATATTTACCATTTGTGAGTCCCTAGGTTTGAATCTGAGTTATGCAGGATGAGCGTTGAGAGTATGAGGCCTCTGAATACTTTATCTGTGTTTAGGGTGTGAGGTCTCTGAAATCTTGAGAGTCTGTGTTCTGAGGTTTGATTCTGAATGGTTTGGAGGTCTGTGTTCAGGGTGTGAGTTCTCTGAACTCTTTAAGGTCTGTGACTCAAGGTTTGGACTCTGAGCTATAGTATTTGGTGATCTGTGTTCACAAGTGTGAGGTCTTTGAAGTCTTTGAGGACTGGTGTTGTAAGGTTTTAGTCCACAGTCATCGTGGGTCTATGTTGAGGATGTGAGGCCTCTCAAATCTTTTGGTATCTTTTTTGTTTTGTTTTATTTTGTTTTTGTTTGTTTGTTTATTTTGAGACGGAGTCTCACACTGTCACCCAGGCTGGAGTGCAGTGGCACGATCTCGGCTCACTGCAACCTCTGCCTCCCACGTTCACGCCATTCTCCTGCCTCAGCCTCCCGAGTAGCTGGGACTACAGGCGCCTGCCACCATGCCCGGCTAACTTTTTGTATTTTTAGTAGAGACGGGGTTTCACCATGTTAGCCAGGATGGTCTCAATCTCCTGACCTTGTGATCCACCCACCTCGGCCTCCCAGAGCGTGAGCCACCGTGCCCGGCCAGGTATCTTTGTTTTAATGTTTGAGTCTGAGGTATTTGGGGGTCTCTGTTCAGGGTGAGATGTCCCTGCAATCTATGGGGGTCTGTTTCCAAATGTTTGTTTCACATATTTGGAGGTCCGAATTCATGGTGCGAGGTCTCTGTACTTTTAGAGGATCTGTTTCCCAAAGATTCAGCCTGAGTTATCTAGGGGTCCATATTCAGAGCTCGAAAGGCTTTGAAATTTTCAGTTTCTGTTCCAAGATTTTAGTCTTAGGGATTAGGAAGCCTGGATTCAGGACATACGGTCTTTGAACTTTTGGTGGGTCTAAGTCCACATTTGGGTCTCAGGTATAACATTTGGGATCTGTCTGTGTTCAAGAAGTGAGGTCTGTGGATTCTTTGAAGGTCTTTGTTCCAAGTTTTTTACTTGCGGTGTTTGGAAATCCATGCTCAGGGTGTGAGGTCGCTGATATCTATTAGGGAGTATGTTCCACATTTTGAGTCTGAGATACTTAGGTGTGTGTACTTATGTTCTCTGAAATATTTCATGGTCAGTACAAAAGTCTAAGGTAACTGGTGATTCTGTGTTCAGAGTGTAAGGTCTCTGAAATTTTTCAGTATTTGCATTGTAAGGTTTGAATTGGAGGTAACTGGGGGTCTGTGATCAACATGCAAAGTCTTTGAAATTTTAGGCTTTGTTCCCAAGTTTTGGACCTATTTTTGCTCTGCATTCAAAGAATTAGATCCTTGAAATCTTTTAAGATCTGGGTTCCCATTTGTCAATTTTGGCTTTTGTTGCCATTGCTTTTGGTGTTTTAGACATGAAGTCCTTGCCCATGCCTATGTCCTGAATGGTAAAGCCTAGGTTTTCTTCTAGGGTTTTTATGGTTTTAGGTCTAACGTTTAAGTCTTTAATCCATCTTGAATTGATTATTGTATAAGGTGTAAGGAAGGGATCCAGTTTCAGCTTTCTACATATGGCTAGCCAGTTTTCCCAGCACCATTTATTAAATAGGGGATCCTTTCCCCATTGCTTGTTTTTCTCAGGTTTGTCAAAGATCAGATAGTTGTAGATATGCAACGTTATTCCTGAGGGCTCTGTTCTGTTCCATTGATCTATATCTCTGTTTTGGTACCAGTACCATGCTGTTTTGGTTACTGTAGCCTTGTAGTATAGTTTGAAGTCAGGTAGTGTGATGCCTCCAGCTTTGTTCTTTTGACTTACGATTGACTTGGCGATGCGGGCTCTTTTTTGGTTCCATATGAACTTTAAACTAAAGAGCTTCTGCACAGCAAAAGAAACTACCATCAGAGTGAACAGGCAACCTACAAAATGGGAGAAAATTTTCGCAACCTACTCATCTGACAAAGGGCTAATATCCAGAATCTACAATGAACTCAAACAAATTTACAAGAAAAAAACAAACAACCCCTTCAAAAAGTGGGCAAAGTACATGAACAGACACTTCTCAAAAGAAGACATTTATGCAGCCAAAAAACACATGAAAAAATGCTCACCATCACTGTCCATCAGAGAAATGCAAATCAAAACCACAATGAGATACCATCTCACACCAGTTAGAATGGCAATCATTAAAAAGTCAGGAAACAACAGGTGCTGGAGAGGATGTGGAGAAATAGGAACACTTTTACACTGTTGGTGGGACTGTAAACTAGTTCAACCATTGTGGAAGTCAGTGTGGCGATTCTCAGGGATCTAGAACTAGAAATACCATTTGACCCAGCCATCCCATTACTGGGTATATACCCAAAGGACTATAAATCATGCTGCTATAAAGACACCTGCACATGTATGTTTATTGCGGCATTATTCACAATAGCAAAGACTTGGAACCAACCCAAATGTCCAACAATGATAGACTGGATTAAGAAAATGTGGCACATATACACCATGGAATACTATGCAGCCATAAAAAATGATGAGTTCATGTCCTTTGTAGGGACATGGATGAAATTGGAAATCATCATTCTCAGTAAACTATCGCAAGAACAGAAAACCAAACACCGCATATTCTCACTCATAGGTGGGAATTGAACAATGAGAACACATGGACACAGGAAGGGGAACATCACACTCTGGGGCCTGTTGTGGGGTCAGGGGAGGGGGGAGGGATAGCATTGGGAGATATACCTAATGCTAGATGACGAGTTAATGGGTGCAGCGCACCAGCATGGCACATGTATACATATGTAACTAACCTGCACATTGTGCACATGTACCCTAAAACTTAAAGTATAATAATTTTAAAAAAAAAGATCTGGGTTCCAAGTTTTTTGTCTAAGTTGTTTAGACATTTCTGTTCAGGGTGTGATGTCTGTGATCTCTTCGAGAATCTGCATTTAAAGGTTTGAATCTGAGGTATCTGGAGGTCTGTGTTTGCAGAGAAAGGTCTCTGAAAGCTTTAAGGGTCTGTGTTGTAAGGTATGAATATAAGGTACTTGGGGGTCTCTGGCAGATAAAGGTTTAAATCTGAGATATTTGGAAGTCTGGGTTCAGGGAGAGGAGTCTCAAATTTTTAGTCTCTCAAGTTTGAGTGTGAGGTGTTTGGAGGTCTGTGTTATGTGTGCATGCTCTCTGAAGTTTTTGAGGCCTGCATCCCTAGGTTTGAATCTGAGGTATGTGGGGATCAGTGTTCAGGGTGTGAGGTCTCTGAATAGTTTCTGAGTCTATGTTCAGAGCATAAGCTCTCTAAATTATTTGAGGGTCTGTGTTCCAAGGTTTGAATCAGGAGTTCTGAGGGGTCTGTGATCAGGGAGTGAGAGGTGTCCGAAGTTTGTTTGGTTTTTTTTTTGTTTGTTTGTTTTGTTTTTGTTTTGTTTTGTTTTTTGAGACAGGGTCTTGCTCTGTTGGCCAGGCTGGAGTGCAGTGGCATGATCATGGCTCACTGCAGCCTCAGACTCTCAGGCTCAAGCAATCCTCCCTCCTCAGCCCCCAGAGTAGCTGGGACTACAGGCATGCACCACCATGCCCAGCTAATTTTTTTTTTCTGTAGAGACAGGATCTCACTATGTTGCCTGGTCTGGTCTCGAACTCCTGGGCTCCAGCGATCCTCCTACCCTTGGCCTCCTAAAGTGCTGGGATAAGCCACCATGCCCGGCCTGGTGTCCAAACTTATTAACTGTCTGTGCTCCATTGTTTCAGCCTGAAATATTTTGGGGTCCATGATCTGAGTGTGAGGTCTCTCAGTGCTTTAAGGGTATTAGTACCAAGATTTGCTTGTGTTCTATGAGGATGTGAGTTCCAGGTTGGAGATTCTAAAGTGCTTTGATGATGTGCATTCCCAGGTCTCTTTCTGACATAACAAGGGATCTGGATTGTATGTTAGGTCTCTAAAATCATTAAGTGTCTGTACTTCAAGCTTTTAGTCTACATTGTTTGGAAGTCAGCAACCAGAGTGTGAAGTCTTGAACACTTTGAGGGTTTTTTTTCCAAGTGTGGAGTTTGTGGTATTAGGAGATTTGTGTTGAGGGTGTGAAGTCTCTGAAATCTTATAGTGTCTGTGTTCCAAAGTTTCAGTCTAAGATACAGTATTGGGCCAGTGTTTAGGCTGTGAGATATCTATAATTTTAGGGGATCTGTTTTCCAAGTACTAATCCTGAGATATTTCGGAGTCTGAGTTCAGCATATGAGGCCTGACTTGTTGAAGTACTTTTTAAAAATAAGATTGAGTCGGAGGTACTGGAGTCTGGGTTTAAAATGTAAGGCCTTTGAACTCTATGACGGTCTGTGTACTAAGGGTAGAGATTGATGTATTTGCAGATAGTTGTTCAGGGTGTGAGTTCTCTTTGAAGGTCTGTGTTTGAAGTTTGAAGCTCAGGCATTTGGGATCAGTATTTAGATTGTAAGTACTCAGAACTCAGTATCTGTGCTTTCATGTTTTCTCTATCTGCATTCCAAGACTGAATCTGAGGGATTTGGGGGTTCCGCATTCAGTGTTTGAAGGCTATGATTATCATTGAGGGTTTATCTTTCATTGTTTGAGTTTGAGGCATTTCAGTATTGGAGTTTGGAATGAGAGGTCTCTGAACTCGTTGAGGGCCTATTTTTCAAGTTTTTTCCTACGGTATTTAGGGCAAATGTTCAAGATACAAAGTCTTTGAGCATCTGTGACCTGTTTTCTCCTGCATTAATTTAACTCCTGGGAGTGAGGTTCTTGATTTTTTTTTGAGACTCCATGTCCCAGAGTTTGAGTCTGAGGTGTTTGGGACTCTATGTTTAGGATGTGATAGTCTCTGAACTTTTTGAGGGTCTGTGTCCTGAAGTTTTAGTTGATGTTTTTACGGATCTATGTTTAGGGTGTGAGGGCTCTGAAATCACTGAGGATCTTTGGTACAAATTCTGAATCTGAGCTTCTGGGGGTCTTTATTCAGGGTGTGAGGGTTCTGACTCTTTGAGATTGATGGGTCGGGATTGTGGGAGACCATAATATGCCTCCCCCAAATAAGGATTGTTGAGCTGAACACAATTAAGAGAAAATAGGCACAGGAGAGCTTTCTGCCCTTCCTCTATTTGTCTAAAAACTGGACATAATTTATAATAACAAAGGTATCCTGCTCCCCTCCCTACAACCAGGAAGAGTGAAGGTTAACAAATGAAGACAGCTTTAGACTTTCATCAGCCTGGAGATGGTTCCAGAGGAATTTATATTGGCAAGTTTTGCTAACTCACCTTTATCTGCCATTTGTTTGTCTTTCCCCAACTTGCTGCCTATAGATACTCAAGATCCTTTTCCTTTGTCTTGTGACTTATCTGAAAAGTTACTGTTCTTTGTTAATAAGGCTATATAAGCTGTAATTCAAAGCCATCTCTTTAAGAACTACTAATTATCTGGGTGTTCCCCATGTATATATGAAATATACGTGTTAAAAAACCTTCTGTTTGTTTTTTCTCTTGTTAATCTGTCTTTTGTAACAGGGGTCCATTCCAACTAAGAACCTGTTGGGGATTATATTACTACTCCCCCACAGGGTCTTAGGCATTTGGTGGTATATAATTAGGGTATGAGGTATCTGGTTCTTTGAAGGTTTTATATATATATATATATATATATTATATATATATTATATATATTATATATAAAATATATATAATATATACACACATTTATTTAATATATAATATATTAAATTAATATAATATATTAAATATTTGAGATATATTAAATACATATATAATATTATATATAATTATATTAAATAATAAATATTTATTTTCATATTTGTATATAATTATATACTATATAATTGAGTTTGAGTTATATGCACATCTGCATTTGGAGTGTGAGATCTCTGAGGTCTCTGAGGGTCTGTGTCCTATATAATGAATTTGAGGTAGGTATTTGCACATCTGTGTTTAGAGTTTTAGTTCTGTGACATCTTTGAGGGTCTATGTTCCAAGACTTGAGACTAAGGCATTTTATATCTGTTTTCTGAGTGTAAGCACTCACAAATATTTTAGGGTCTGTGTTTTAATGTTTATATGACATATATGGGTTATTTTTAAAAGGCATAAATTCTCTGAACTCATTGAAGGTCTGTGGTCCAAGGTTGCTGTTGAAATGTTTGGAGTCTCCTTCAGGATATGTGATATCTGAAATCTTTCAGGTTTTGTGTCATGAGGTTTGAGTCTCATTTGTCTGTAAGCTAATGTACTGGGTTGAGGTCTATGAATTCATTAGGTGAGGGTCTAGGTTCCAAATATTGAATCACTAGTATTCAATACTCACGTTGTGATGTTGTCATTCAATATTTAGGTGTTCAGGTTGTGATGAGGCAGAACACTCACATGGTATGTGTTCCAAGTTTGGAGTGTGAGGTGTTTGGAGTCTCTTTTCAAGGTTGAAGGTATCTGACCTCTTTGAGGATTTGTTTCCTAAGTTTGCTTCTGGGATTTTTGTTGTTGTTGTTGTTGTCATCTAAATTCATTGTGTGAGGTCTCTGAACTTTTGAGAGTCAGTGTTCCAAGATTTATGTGTGTTTGTCATGTAGTAAGAAGTATATATTTGTTCTCTACCCCTCCCAAAACCATTGGGATCTCCAAAGTGATGTGTCTTTGGCATGCTAATGGATTGATTGGTGGCTATGGGCTCCTAGATAGCCTCAGGATGGGGGCTGGTTGCCAGGGGCAATGATTAGAGGGTTGGAACTTTCAGCCCCACCACTGACCTTGGAGGGGAGAAGGGCTAAAAGTTGAGAGATCCTGTCCAACAAGCATATGAAAAAATGTTCAACATCAACTAATCATTAGAGAAATGCAAATCAAAACCACAATGAGTTACCATCTCACACCAATCAGAATGGGTGTGAGATTAATTATTAATTATATGTATTATAGTATATTAATTATATTAATATCTTATATTAATTACATAATATAATTATTTATATTATATAATAATATAATATAATTATTTATATTATATAATAATATAATATAATTGTTTATCTTAATATAATTATATCATATAATTATTTATCTTAATATACTTATATCATATAATTATTTATCTTAATATAATTATATCATATAATTATTTATCTTAATTAATTATATCATATAATTATTTATCTTAATATAATTATATCATATAATTATTTATCTTAATATATATAATATAATTATTTATCTTAATATATTTATATAATTATTTATCTTAATATACTTATATGATATAATTATTTATCTTAATATAATTATATTAATTAATATATTACTTATAATATTATTATATCATATTTATTATATAATTATAATTATTAAATATTAATTATTAATTATAATAACGAATATTTAATAATTATAATTATATTTATATAATTAATATGTAATTATATAATTTATGTAATTATATAATTAATTATATAAATATGATTATATAATTTATGTAATTATATAATTAATTATATAAATATGATTATATAATTTATGTAATTATATAATTAATCATATAAATTATATAGTTATAATTACTTATAATTATAATTAATTATATAGTTATAATTAATTATATAGTTATAATTTATATAATTATATAAAATATATAATTAATTATATAAATTATATAATTATATAAATAATAATAATTAATTATTTAAAAGTCAAAAATAACAGCTGCTGGTGAGGTTGCAGAAAAAAGGAAATGCTTATACACTGTTGCTGGATATGTAAATTAGTTCAGCCATTGTGGAAAGCAGTTTGGCGATTTCTCAAAGAACTCAAAGCAGAATTACCATTCGACCCAGCAATCCCATTTTGGGGCATATACCCAAAGGAATATAAATCATTCAGCTATAAAGACACATGCACATGTATGTTCATTGCAGCAGTAGTCACAATAACAAAGACATGGAATCAACCTAAATTCTATCAATGGTAGACTGGATAAAGAAAATGTGGTGCATATACACCATGGAATACTACACAGCCATTAAAAAGAATAAGATCATGTCCTTTGCAGCAACATGGATGGAGTGGGAAGCCATTATTCTAAGTTAATTAACACAGGAACAGAAAACCAAATACTGCATGTTCTCACTTATAAGTGGAAGCTAAACACTGAGTACATATGGACACAAAGAGGAGAACAACAGACACCCAGGACTACTTGAGGGTGGAAGATGGGAGGAGGGTGAGGATCAAAAAACTATTGAGTACTATGCTTATTACTTGGCTGGTAAAATAATGTACACCAAACTCCCATGACATGCAATTTACCTATATAACAAACCTGTACATGTACCCCTGAACCTAAAATAAAAGGTGAAAAGAAATGATTTGGATTGTAATAGAAGGAAAATGAGCGTAAATCTGGCTGGGTGCAGTGGCTCATGCCTGTAATCCCAGCATTTTGGAAGGCCGAGTTAGGCAGATCACTTGAGGTCAGGAGTTCAAGACCAGCCTGGCCAACATGGTGAGACCCCGTCTCTACTAAATATACAAAAATTAGCTGGGTGTGGTGGTAGGCACCTGTAATTCCAGCTACTCGGGAGGCTAACGCAGGAGAATCACTTGAACCCAAGAGGCGGATTTTGCAGTGAACCGAGATCAGGCCACCGCACTCCAGCCTGGACAACAGAGTGAGATTCCGTCTCAAAAAAAAAAAAAAAAAAGGAACATAAGTGTAAGTCTGTACAAAGATAAATATTTTCCAAATGAAATTCCAATAAAAAGTTTTATTTAAAAGATTGAGTGATTTAACTGATGAAGCCTCCATAGAAACACAAAAGGGCAGGGTTTAGAGAGCTTCAGAGTTGTTGAACTCATGCAGGTGCCTAAAGGTTGGTGCACCAGGAGAGGGCATGGAAGCTCCATGCCCCTTCCCACTTACATTGCCCTATACATCTCTTCATCTCTCCATCTCTATACTTTGTAATATCCTTTATAATAAACCAGTAAATGTAAGAAAGCATTTCTCTGGATTTTGTCAGCCATTCTAGCAAATGATTGAACCCAAGGAGGGGGCCGTGGGAGACAATTTATATCAGTCAGAACTACTGAAGGTCTGGACTTGCAATTGGGTCCTGAAATGGAGGGCAGTCTTGGGGGACTGAGCCCGTAACCTATGCGATCTGATTCTAACTCCAGGTAGATACTGTCAGAATTGAGTTAAATTGTGGGATATCCAGCTGGAGTCTACTGGAGAATTGATGTGTGCAAAAATTCCCATGTATCTGGTATCAGAAGTGAAGTATTGAGTGATGTGAGAGTATAATAGGAGAAAAAAGTTTGTTTTTCCCATATTCGGTGGTATTTGGGTATTTATGTTCTGGGTGTAAATCATTAAATCTTTGAAGACTTCTGTTCCAACTTGAGAATCAGAAGTGTTTCATTCCTCTGAGCAGGGAATGAAAGGTCTCTGAACTAATTGTGTTCCAGTGTTTAAATCTGAATCATTTTGGGATCTCCATTCAAAGTGTGAGATCTTTTTGACAGTATTTTTTTCATAGGATTGAGTCTGAGGTATTTGTTCTTCTGTGTTTAGAGTGTGAAGTCCTTGGATTTTGGGAGCCTGTGACATAAAATTCCAAGTTTCTGTATTGTGGGACTTTCTGTAGGGTTTTGGTCTCTGAAGTCATTGAGGGTCTTTGTTACAAGGTTTGAATCTGAGGTGTTTGGGTCTGAACTCTTTTAAGGTTTTTGTCCTAAGTTTTGTTCTGAGGTTCTAATGTCTCTCTTCAAGGTGTGAGATCTCAGAGACTCAGTACTCTTGGAGATTCTGTGTTCCAAGATTTGAGTTTGTGGTATTTGGGGATTTATATTTAGGATGTGAAGGCACTGACTTCTTTGAGGGCCTGTGTTCCAGAATTCAAATCTGAGATATTTGCAGGACTGTGTTCACAGAGTGGTACCTGGGGATCTCTTTTCAGGGTATGACTTCTCAGATCTTTGAGGTTCTCTCCCAAGATTTGAGTCTGAGGTGACTTGTTTTCAGGGTATAAAGTGTCTGAATTCTTTAAAGGTCTGTATCACAAGGTTTTTGGGGAGTTTTCAGGGAGTAAGGTTTCTGAACTCATATAGGCCTCTTCCAAGATTTGAGCCTGAGGTATTAGAAACTGAGTTTAAGGTGTGAAGTCTCTGAACTTTTAAATGTTCTATGCCCCAAAGTTTGAGTATTAGATATTTGGGGGTTCATATTCAGGATGTGAGGGCCTTGAAATCTTTGCAAGTCTGTGTGGTTTTTTTTTTTTACATTTTAGCCTTAGGTGTTTGGGAGTCTGTGTTCAAGGTGTGTGAGGTGTCCGGACTCTTTCAGGGTCTGTGTGCCAAATTTTGAGACTTAAGTATTTGGCATACTCTGGTTAGGATGTGAGTTCTCTGAACTTTCTGAGGGTCTGTGTTTCAAGATTTGAGTCTCAGGTGTTGGGCAGTCTATGTTCAAGAGATGAAGTCTCTGAAAATCCTTTGAGGTCTTTTTTTCAAGTTTTTGATCTCCGGTATAGGTGGTCTGTGTTCAGAATGTGAAGCCCCTGAATTCTTTGTGGATACATATCCACATGGTTTGAATCTGAGGCTTTGGGGATCTGAGTCCAGGATGTGTTGTCTCTGAACTTTTGAGGGTCTGTGTACCAAGTTTTAAGTCTTAAGTATTTGGAGTACTCTGGCCGGAGTTTGTGGTCTCTGACTTTTTGAGGGTCTGGGTTGAAGATTTCCATATGTAATGTTTAGGGCATCTGTGTTTAAGGTCCCAGAAAATTTTTGAGTGTCTGTTTTCTAAGATCTGAAACTCAGATATTTGTTGCCTGTGTTCAGGTTGGGAGCTCTCTGAATTCTTTGAGGGTATGTATCCTAAGCTTTGGAGCTGAGATTTCGGGGGTCAATGTTCATGGTGTAAGGCCCCTGAACTCTTTGGCATTGTGCGTCAAGGTTTGAGTCTGAGGTAATTAGTGGTCTGTGTTCATAAAGTGAGGTTTATGAACTTATTTAGAGCCCTTTTAAAGATTTGAGTCTGAGATATTCAGGGACTGTGTTCAGGGTGTTAGTCTCTGAAATTTTAGTGGGTCTGTATCCCAGGTTTGAGTCTGAGGTATTTGTTGAGTCTGCTTTGTCTGCTTTCAGGATATTAGGTCTCTGAAATCTTTGAGAGTCTGTGTTCCAAAATTTTAGTCTGAGGTATTCAGGGGTCTATATTCAAGTTAGAAGGTCTCTGAAATCTGTGGGGGTCTGAATCTCAAGGCTTGACTCTGAGATATTTAGGTGTCTGTTCAAGGTGTGAGGTCTCTGAATTCTTTGAACATCTTTGTCATGTCCCAAGGTTTTAATTCTGTGTAACTCAGGGTCTGAGTTAATGGCTTGTGGAATCTGAACTCTTTGAAGGTCTGTCACAAGGTGTGATTCTGAGATATTTGATGATGTGTTTTCAGTGCATAAAGTCTCTGAACTCTCAGAAACTATGTAAAAAGATTTGATTCTGAGGTTTTGGGGGGTCTGTGTTGGTGTGAGGTCTCTTAACTCTTTGGGGGCTCTGTTTTCCAAAGATTTCCTGATTCTGAGGTAATCACGGGTCTGTTTTTAGGGAATGAGGTTTCTGAACTCATTTAGAGCGCTTTCCAAGGTTTGAATATAAGGCATTTTAAGACTCTGTTCAGGGTGAAGTCTCTGAACATTTAGAAGATTTGTACCCCAAGATTTGAGTCTGAGGTGTTTGGGGTTTGTATTCAGGTTGTGTGGTCTCTGAAGTCTTTGAGATTCTGTGTTCTGAGGTTTGGGTACGAGGTACTTGAGTGTCTGTATTTAGTGTGCAAGGTATCTCAACTCTTTCATGATCTTTGTTCCAAGTTTGGGTCTAAGGTCTTTGGAGTCTTAAGTTTAGTGTGTGAGGTATAGTTGAGTGTCTGTGTCCCAGGTTTTTAATCTGAGATATTTGGGGAGTTCATGTCAGGGTATGAGGCCTCCAAACTCATTGAGTGTCTATGTTTTAAGGTAGAGACTTTGCTATTTGTTGGTTTGTGTTTAAAGTGTGATGTCTTTGAAATCTCTAAGGGCCTTTATTCCAAGGTTAAGTGTGAGGTTTTGGGGTTGTGTTCAGGGTATGAGGTCTTTGAATTATTTGGGGTTCTGTATTCCAAGATTTAAATCTGAGGTGACTGAATGAAGTACCATTTCCTATTGATGGGTCCTGTAAATGAATAGCCAAGTGGTAGAGGGGATTTTTAAAAATCATAAGCACATTTCCAAAATGATGTCTGTAAATTTAAATGCCCTAAATAAATCTTGCTTTTGCTTGCTATAGATTCCATTATATTTTCAGAGGGAAAAGAAATGTTTGTCCTGAAGACAGCATAACGGTTGTTTTTAAAATGCAGCACATAATTGACAGGAAAAGTATTTCTCAGAAAAATATATTGTTTATAGTAATACAGGTGTGTCCTCCATAAGCAGTTGTTTTAGAGGAAGAACTCTTGTGTACATCATATTTTTCTAAACCAAATAATATTCCAATTCCAAGCGCATTAAAAATCAGGACTATGTTTAAAGAACACCTCAAATGCCACATCCTGTACAAAACTCCCTTAGTCTTGTAGATGCTAAAATGTTACCTAAAACCTTTCTGGAAATCCAGCCCACTCACCACACTTACCTCTTATTCGCCCATCTTCACTCCTATGGCATTATTATAACATGAATTTTTTTGTGAGATTTAGTTTCACACTATCTGTTGTGCCTCTTCCCACTGAGGGCAAAGATTATCTCTTCTTCTCTCAGTATCTCTGTTCCCTACCACAATGCCTGACTCATAGTAGGTGATAGATATTACTGCTGTTATGTTTTTATCCATTATTTAATTAATTAATTAATTTTATTTATTTGTTTATTTATTTATTTATTTATTATTTTTTGGAGACGGAGTCTTGCTCTGTCTCCCAGGCTGGAGTGCAGTGGCATGATCCTCAGCTCGCTGCAACCTCTGCCTCCCAGGTTCAAGCAATTCTGCTGCCTCAGCCTCCTGAGTAGCTGGAACTACAGGCGCATGCCACCATGCCTGGCTAATTTTTTGTATTTTAGTAGAGACAGGGTTTCACCGTGTTGCCCAGCCTGGTCTCGAACTCCTGAGCTCAGGCAATCCGCCCACCTCCGCCTCTCAAAGTGCTAGGATTACAGGCGTGAGCTACCGTGCCCGGACCCATTACTTTAATAAGACATCATGCCTTTAATTCTCTCCATCTCAAGGTGCCCTGCATTGTCACTGACAGTGTTGAACTGCTTTCAAGTGTTCCTATAAGGACCCGTGGTGGACATTAATTAACTACCCAGTCCCCCTCCAATGAAGGGCTTATTACCTCAGTTGCTGGGTGTGCTATTATCAGACAGCTGTCAGCCCCTTCAAGGACTGTCTCAACTGTAGGCAGATGCTTCACTAAAGATCACACTCCTTCCCTGGATAGCCCCCATTTAATGACTGATCAACATAGGGGTATAAAGGCACAGTCATCTAGACCCAACTCAGAATAACTGATGGGCCATTCAAGAGCTTCCCAAGGAGGTGACCATGCAGAAATTTGGTCTGAATCAAAGTTTGACTTCTTTCCCCACTTGACATATCTATGTTGTCAAATTTGTTGGCTGAAAGTTGTTTACTATTTTTCTTATTATCCTTTGAATGTCTGCAGGGTCCCTGGTGAAAATCTCATGTATGTTCCTAATATTAGTGATTTGTTTCCTCTCTTTAGTTTTCTTCTTTAGTTTAATTAGAGGTTTGTCAAGTTTGTTGATCTTTTCAAAGATCTGCTTTGGATTTGTTAATTTTCTCTATTATCTGTTTCCTATAATGTTGAGTCCTATTATTATCATTATTTTTCCTTCCTTCTTGTTACCAAGGGTTAACTTTGTACTTTTTTGTTTAGCTTCTTAAGGGGAAACCTTAGATAATTGATTTTATGTACTTCTTTTCTAATATTACCATTTAAAGCTATAAATTTCCCTCTAAGCATCTCTGTAGTTCAATCCCCTGAATTTTGATCTGTTCTACTTTATCATTCAGCTCAAAACATTTTCTAATTTCCCTTGTGATTTCATTTTTGACCCATGAATCATTTAAAAGTGTGTTGTTTAATTTTCAGATATTTGGAGATTTCCAATATATCAGATTATAATTGATTTCTAATCTAATAACCATAGAATGTACTCTGTATGACCTTGACTCTTTAAAATTTATTGAGGTATATTTTAAGGTTCAGCCTCTGATCTATTGTGGTGAAATGTATCATGTGCTCTTGAAAAGACTTTATATTCTGTAATTGTTGCATGAAGTATTCTATAGATGTCAATTAGGTCAAGGTGCTTGATAGTGATCTTCAAACCTTCTATGCCTTCTACAATTTTTTTGGTCTTGTTATTCTATCAAGTAAGAAGTGTTGTTAAAATCTATTACAGTTCTGTCTATTTTTACTTTATGTGCATTGAGACTCTATCATTAGGTGTATACCATTTATAATTGTTACATATTTCTAAGGTACTGTCATCTTTATGATTATGACATTTCCCTTTCATTTGTGATAATACTGTCTTCAAGTCTATTTTGTCTGATTTATAAAACCCACTCCAGTCTTCTCATATTTTTTCCTGTGTATAGTATAACTTTTCTATCCATTTACTTTTGAAACTCTCTGTCTCTTTATATTTAAAGTATGTCTTTTATGTGTAGTATTTAGTAGGGCCTGGCTTTTTATTTACTCTATGTATCTCTGCATTTTAATTGAATTGTTTATACTGTTAACATTTAATGTAATAGTTGGCAGGGTTGTATTTTGGCTCTGAGGTTATTGGGAAGGGACTTGTTCTGTTTATTCCTTCTGGCTTTTATTTGCTTATTTATCTGTTCTTTTTCCCCATTTCCTGCCTTCTTTTGAATTATTTGAATATATTTGGTCTTCCTTTTAATTTATCTGTTGTCTTTTTTGTCTCATTATTAGAATTATAATATACACATCTAACCTTTCACAGTGTCTAGTTTGAATTTATATCATACCACTTGATGTACTTGCTTTGAGTTTAATTTGCTATTATTTTTCTAGTTTCTCAAGATGAAAGCTAAGGTCATTGCTTTGCAAGCTTTCTTCTTTTTTCCTTTTTTTGTTTGTTTTCTTTTCCATTTCTTTTTTTTTTTTTTTTTTTTTTGAGACGGAGTCTTGCTCTGTTGCCCAGGCTGGAGTGCAGTGGCGTGATCTTGGCTCACTGCAAGCTCTGCCTCCCGGGTTCACGCCATTCTCCTGCCTCAGCCTCCCGAGTAGCTGGGACTACAGGTGCCCACCACCACGCCCGGCTAATTTTTTTAAATGTATTTTTAGTAGAGACGGGGTTTCACCGTGTTAGCCAGGATGGTCTCGATCTCCTGACCTCGTGATCCTCCTGCCTCGGCCTCTCAAAGTGCTGGGATTACAGGCGTGAGCCACCGCGCCCAGCCTTCTTTTCCATTTCTTAATTGACAAATAGCATTTATATATATTTATGGTATACAACATGATGTTTTGATAACTGTATACATTATGGAATAGCTAAATCAAGATAATTAATACATATATTACCTCACATACTTATCTATCTTTGTGATGAGAATATTTAAAATCTACTCTCTTAGAAATTTTCAAATATACAATATATTGTTATTAACTATAGTCTACAACTTTCTTAGCTATGAATTTCTTCTTTTCTAATACGGGAGTTTGATGTAATAAATACTCCTCCAAGTATGCCTTTAATGGCATCCCACAAATCTTGATATACAGTACTTCTATTTCCATTTAGCTCAAATACTTTTTAATTTCCCTTTGATCCATGGGTTACATAGAGTTATTTAGTTTCAAAACGTTTGGAGATTTTCCAGAGATCTTTATGTTATTGATCTCTAATTTCACTGGAGTCAGAAAATAGACTTTGCATGACTTGAATCCTTTTAAACTTATTGAAATCTATTATATAGCTCAGAATATCTTGGTGCATGTTCCATAGGCACTTGAAATGAGAATGCATTCTGCATTTGTTGTGTGATGTGTTCTACAAATACCAATAGGTCAACTTGATTAAGAGTCTTGTTCAAATCTTCTATATGCTCACTGATTTTCTGTCTGCTTGTTCTATCAATTATTGAAAGAGGTACTGAAACCTCTAACTGAAGTTGGAGACTACCTATTTATGCATGTAGTTCTGCTAGTCTGGGGAAAGGTGATTCTGGCTCCTATTACTCCATCTTGGCCAGAAGCAGAAGCCTACCACTTCATGTGAAATGTAGAAACATTGCAAACATATAGTTCCCTTTATTCCACTCCCAGTGACCTGTATGTTACAGTGGTCAGATATATTACATCTACATCTATGAAAACCCTCATCAGACAATATTATAATTTTTTGTTTAAGCAAACATATGTATTTTAGAAAACTTCAGAGGGAAAATTATATTTACCTAGTTATTTACTATTTCTGTTGCTCTTCCATCATTACCAACTATCTTCATTTCCTTCTTATATCATTTCCCTTCAACTTGAAGAACTTCCTTTAGTATTTCTTAATAGAGCAGGACTGTTGTTTCTTTCATCTGAGTATGTCTTTATTTTACCTTCATTCCTGAATAATATTTTCACTTGAAATAGATCTCTGGGTTGACCGTTCTTTTCTTTCAGGACTTCAAAGATGGCATTCCACTATCCTCTGGCTTTCATGATTTCTGATAAGAAATCTGCAGCCATTTGAATTGTACCTTTCTATGTAATGTGCCATTTTCTCTGGCAACTTTCAAGACAGGTTTTCTTCATCTTTGCTTTTCAGCACTTTGATTATGATGTGTCTGAGTGTGTGGTGGTCTTTTACCAAATTTGGGGAATTTTCAGCCATCATATCTTTAAATGTCTTTTATATTACTATCTCTTTTTTCTCTCCTTCTGGAACTCCAATTACACTAATGTGAAAATTTTTGATATTGTCCTATTGGTTTCTGAGGATCTGTCCATTTAAAAACTAATGTCTCTGGTCTAAAAATTATATCATTTTTATTGATCTAGGTTCAAGTTCATTGACTCTTTCCTCTATTTTCTCCATTCTTCTTCTTTTATTTTTATTTTATTTTATTGTATTTTTGGCAAAGTCTTGCCCTGTCACCAGGCTGGAGTGCAATGGCTTGATCTCGGCTCACTGCAACCTCCGCCTCCCAGGTTCAAGCGATTCTCCTGCCTCAGCCTTCCAGGTAGCTGGGATTACAGGCACATGCCACCACACCCAGCTAATTTTTTGTATCTTTGGTAGAGACGGGGTTTCACCATGTTGGCCAGGCTGGTCTCGAACTTCTGACCTCATGATCCACCCGCCTCAGCCCCCCAAAATGCTGGGATTACAGGTGTGAGCCACCACTCCTGGGCTCCATTATTCTATTTTAACCCATACAGTGAAATTTTTGAGATATTTTATTTTTCAGTGCTAACATTTTCATGTAATTCTTCGTTAAAATTTCTATTTCTCTGTTGAGAATTCCTATGCTTTCATTAAATTCAAGTATATTTTCCTTTACTTCATGGAACACAGTTAAAATAGCTACTTTCAAGTCTTTGTCTGAAATTTCCAACAACTAGGTCATCTTGGGGATGGCATTAGTCTTTTCCCTTGAGAACTGGAAGCATTTTGCTGTATTTTTTTTCCAAGTAATTTTTTAGTTTTTTGTTTTTTATTATTGTTACTATTTTATTTTATATATGTATAGTATGCAATATGATGTTTTGATGTGCTTTTACATAGTAAAATGGTTGCTATAGTCAAGCAAATTTTGATTTGTGCCTTGGCCATTATATGTAATATGTTCTTCTGTAGATTCTGGGTCCTTTGAAGAATGTTGATATTTTAGTTTTAGCAGGAAATCAACCCAGTTAGAGTCATAACTGAACTTCTATCTGTTCCCATATGAGTGGTGGTTCTAATCTCAGTTCAACTCTCTAAGCTTTTGCTACTTTGGTTTGTGTCTGCTCTGTACATGTATAGTTCAGATGTTAGTCTTAAACTAGAGAGGGCAGTTCAAATCACAGCTCAGTTCCCTCAGTTTTTGCTACACTGGTCTTGGTCTGTTCTACACATGCATAGCTCAGGGACTAGGCTAAGACTTGTGCAGGATTCATATGGATCCCTATTCCTGTTTCCTCTGGCCAAAGGATAGTGTTTCTCTCAGAGTATTAGTCACCTGCACTACCTGGACTGGGGTCAACGTCATGAAATAAAAAATAAAGACATCCAGTAATCTAATCCCAATAGCTTCTGTAAATTTTGCCTCACCCCCACAATCCAACTGCTTTAGCTTACTTTTCAGAATCCTCAAGTAATTGCTTTTGTATTTTGTCCAGAGTTTTGAGTTGTAGTCAACCAGAGAGACGGGCTATAATGGACTTCTGCTGCAATAGTAAACCAGATCTCCCCAAGTTAATTGTTTTTAGAAACGAAATTTGAACCAAGTTTTTTTGCCAGAACTTTGACAAATTCGATTTGTCAATTGTAATCATTTCACCTTAAAAGGACATTAAAATAGTCATATTTAACCCAGGTTTTACAAATGCATCCAGCCCTCACCTCCAATTTAACATAAAACACCTCCATACAGGGACTTTGCACTGGTGGAACAAGGTTAAGATATTAGCACCGACTCCAAAGATGACAAAGTATAGTGGGGGACCCTAAAAATCTCTCAGACAACTTACAACCAAGTAAAATAAAAGGTAATACAGAGAGTAACCCAGAGGAGTAGGGGAGTGGAAGGGTACAGAGAACACACTGCATCAAAAACCTTATCCTTAGTAAGATCCTGAATACTCCCTTTCTATACCTCAGAATAGGAGCTAGCACCATCTGTGACTTGCATTAAGCCCTCATCATCCTCTTCACATGGAGTCATAGTCATTATTACCTTCACGTTTTCTTTTCATTGCATTTGTGGACTCAGTGGCTTCAAGTAACTTGTGATGGAATCACACAGCGGGTGATAACAGTGTTTCTGGTCAAGTTATCAAAGGACGAAACAACACCTTGTCCTGAAGGTGGGATAGGATCTGCTCACTGGAAATTCATAGATCAATTAGGAACCACAAAGTTCCTCCATCCTGCCTTCCTCATACCAAAGCTGATTGCCTGACCCTGGGTACAATCCCATAGCCTAGATACAGAGAGGAGGGATGGTAAAAGAAATAGCACTAGAGGACACTGAGCATATGGCCACAGCAAACCAAAAACAGGTGTTTTCATGAGGCCGGGTAGAAGCAGCTTGGAGGAGGAGATGGAGACTTAAGACACTCAAGACAGAATAACCTTTGTGTCCACCAAGGGCTGTCATAGATCCACTGCCAAGGTGAAGTGGCCCTTGTATGTCTTCCCAAGCACCAAACCCAACACACATGATAATTTATCTTGAAATGGGTGGCCCCTACTCATTGGAACTTCCCAAAGTGGGCTGTTCCATCACCGCTCCTGGGAGAGGCCTGTTCCATCCCTCACTCCTCATCCCCACCCCTGCCTACTCCCTGCCCACCTTTATGCACTCTAGAGATGAACCCCTGGAGGGGCTGAAGCCAAAGGACTAGATTCAGACCCCAAAGAGTTCATAGACCTGACACCCCGGGACAAAAATCCTGAAGCAGCGAAGAGACTTTACACTGTGGAAAGAGACCCCCAAAGGCCTCACACTATGGATACAGATCTACAAGTAACAGAGCCCAAATCCTAGAAGGACACAGACCCCTACACAGCTCATAAACTTCACATCCAGAACAGACAGTTCTGAACAGCAGAGTCTTCACACTCTGGCACAGATCCTCAAACATCTTGCTAAAATACCCTGGATCGCACATACTCAGCTAGATCAGAGACCTCACATCAGGGACAAACACACCCTTAGAGTTAAGTCATTTTACACTGAGGATCTAGACCCCTAAATATCCATAGACTTCACTACCTTGAGAATGGATGTCCGAAGAGTTGAGTGACCTTCAAGCCTAGGCAAAGACCCTTAACTAGGTCAGAGACTTAAAACCCTGGGCACAGAGCCCCAAAGACCTTAGAGAGCCCACACCTTGGACCACTTCTTCCAAGCAACTCAGACAACTCACAGTCTTGACAGACATGTGAACAGCTCAGAGAGCTCATATCTTGTAAACAGAACACCAAAGAACTCAAAAACCTCATGCCCTTGGAACAGACCTCCAAAAGGCTCACAAGACTCACACGCTAAACAGACTCACCAAAAGTTCAGATACCTCACATTCTGGGGCACAGAACCCTTCCTCAAAGAGCCATAGAAAACATGTACTGGAAAATAGACCATCAAACTCTTCAGAGAGCTGACAATATACCCTTATAGCTTTGATTCCCAAATCCTCTACAGTGTAGAGTCTACACAATCCCTGCAAAGAGCTCAAGGAATCCACACCCTGAACACAGACCACCTAGAAGCCACAGAACTCATACCATAGGAATCAGACCACCAAACAGTAAGTAGATCTTACATCCTAGACCACAGAGTTGTATAAGGCACAAAAAACTCACACCCTGAGAGAAAGGCCCCCAAGGAGCTCAAGACCTCACCCACAGTCAGACCATAGATTTGGACAACTAAAGAATTCAGAGACCTCACAACCTGCACACAAACTCCCAAACAGTTCAGCATCCTTACACTTTGGGACAAAGGGTGTTCTGAGACCTCACACCAAAAATCCAGACCCAGAAGACCTCAGACACCTCAAAATTTGGGACACAGATCCCCACAGAGCTTACAGATATCACAGCCTGAACACAAGCCTCCAAAAAGCTGAAAGATCTCACGCTTGGAAAGAAACAAACAATTCAGAGATCTAATATCCAGGGCAAAGACCTAGAAACAGATTTACAGACCTCTGAACCTGAACACAGATCCCCTTACAGGTGAAAGACCTTGAACATTGGGAAACAGACCCACAATTAACTTAGAAATCTCACACCTTGGACCACTTTGTCAAAGTCATGGTCAGAGAACCCCCCTCAAAAACCTCAAAAAAGCTTAAAACCTCACCTTCTGGGACACAGACACCAAAAGAGATCATGGACTTTACACCCTGGGGCACAGACCCCCATTCTGTCCAGAGACCTTCAAAAGTCCCAATAGTTCATTCTCTGAACAATGAACTCCAAAGCTAAATGGTCTTCTACCTGGCACACAGACACACAATTAGCCAAAGACCTCATAAACTGAACACAGACCCATAAGCAGAACAAATACCTCATAACCTGGCCAAAGAATCCCAAAATCTAAGAGACCTCTCACTGTGAAACACAGTGTTCCAAAGAGTTTAAAAATTTCAAAGCCAGGAACACAGATTCAAAAAAATTTTCAGAGACCTCACACTTTAAACACAGATCTTAAAATAGCTCCAAGAACTCATACCTTAGGGAGTCCACAACAGTGCCCAGTTCACACACCCTGGAACCAGACCCACAAACAGGAATACTTCATCAGCACTGATTTAGAGAGCCCCAAAGAGCTCAGAAACTTCACACCCTGTAACTGACCAAAGAGTATAAAGACTTCACTCTCTGCACGAAGACACCAAAAGAACTCAGCAACCTCTCACACTAAACACAAATTCACAGACACCTCAGAGACCTCTGCACAAATCACAGACCTCACACCCTGAACACAAAGCCCTAAACAGTTCAGCATCCTTACATCCTGGAACAAGGACACACGCCCCTCTCACCCCAGTTATCAGGGACAAAACATGGGAACATAGGCCCTAATACTCAGACTGAAATCTTGAAACACTGCTTTTTTTTTTTTTTTGAGACAGAGTCTCACTCTGTCACCCAGGCTGGAGTGCAGTGGCATGATCTTGGCTCACTGCAGCCTCTGCCTCCTGGGTTCAAGTGATTCTTCTGCCTCAGCCTCCCGAGTAGCTGGGACTACAGATGGGTGTCACCACACCCAGTTAATTTTTTTTTTTGTATTGTTAGTAGAGACAAGGTGTCACTATGTTGGCCAGGCTGGTCTCGAACTCCTGACCTCATGATCTGCCCACCTCGGCCTCCCAAAGTGCTGGGATTACAGGCATGAGCCACCGTGCCTGGCCGAAACACTGCTCTTGAAGAATTAAGAGATTCTCAGCTTTGGAACATAGACCCTCAGTGAGTTAAGAGACTTCACACCCTGAACACAGACTCCGAATGAGTTCAGAGAAGACGTACTCTCTATACTGGTCCTAAAAACAATAGACTCGAGCTGTGGGAAACAGACCCTCAAAGACTTCAGAGATCTCACTCCCTGACCGAAGACCTCCAAATACCTCAAACTGAACATTTAGACTACAGACCCTCAAAGAGTTCAGAGAACTCACACCATGAATGCAGTCCCCTAAACACCTCAAACTCAAACTTTGGAACACACACCTTGCTGAGTTCAGAGACCTCATGCCCTGAATACAGGCCTCAAAACACCTAAAACTCAGACCTTGGAGCACAGACACCAAAAAGCTTAGAAACTTCACAGACTGAAAACAGACCACTCCCGAACCCACCAGGAAACTCATATTCAAAACTTGAAACAAAGGCGCTCAAACAATTCAGAGACCTCACACTTTCAACACGGACAACCAAACACTTCCAACTCAAAACCTTGGAATACAGACCCTCAAAGACTTCAAGATTCACCCCATGAACAGAGACACACAAATACCTTAGATTTGGGACTCAGACCCTCAAAGAATTCACAGACCTCACACCCTGAGCACAGACCCACAAATTAAAATTACTCAAATATTGAGATGCAGACCCTCCAAAAGTTCACAGACATTAAACTTTGAACATAGAGCCCAAGTACATCACACTCATACCTTGGGACACACCTTCAAAGAGTTCAGAAGCTTCACACTCTGAACACATATCCCCAGATACTTTGGACTCAAACATTAACTGAGATTCCCCAGAGTTCAGAGACCTAACATTCTGAAAAAAGATCCAAAAAATGTTCAGAATCCTCACACTTTAAACACAGATCCTAAAATAGCTCCAAGAACTCTTACCTTAGAGAGTCCACAAAAGTGCCCAGTCCACATACCCTGGAACCAGACCCACAAACAGGAACATGTCATCGACACTGGTTTAGAGAATCCCAAACAGCTTAGAAACTTCACATCCTGGGACTGGGGTTCAGAGACCTCATGCTCTGAATACAGGTCTCAAAACACCTAAAACTCAAACCCAAACAGCACAAACATATACCATGGGACACAAAGGCTCAATAATAAAGAAACCTCATACCCTGAATGAAAATCCCCAAATATATCAGACTTAAACGTCAAAGTACAACCCCTCAAAGATTTTAAAGTCCTCACAAACTGAATACAGACACCCCCCGGCCCTGGCCACCAGGTACCTAGATTCAACCTTGGAACACAAACCCTCAATGCATGCAGAGACCTCACACCCTAAGCACAGACCACAAATGCCACTGACCCAAAATTGGGAAAAACACAGACTTCACACCCTGAATTCAGACAACACATAATTTATGCTAAAACTCTGGAACAAAGACCTATAAAAATTCAGAGAACCTTAACATTCTGAAACTGACCCCCACAAACTTCAGACTCAAGCACTGGAACACAGAACTTCAATGAATTTAAACAAAACACATCCTGAATATGAACACCCAAATATTTTAGACACAAAAATTGGAACAGACACCAATTGGTACAACTTGAGACTCAGACTCTCAAAGAGGTCAGGGACCTCAAATCTTAAACAAAGGTCCCCAAAATACCTTAGACTCAATTCTTGGGACACAAACTACCAAAGAGTTCAGAGACCTTAAACCCTTAACACAGACCTCCAAATACCTCAGACTAAGACATTAAGATACAGACTCTCTAGAAAAGTCAGAGGCCTTACACCTTAAACATTGACCAAAAAAATTGATACAAAAAGCCTTAATCACACCTAAAAGTTCAAGGACCTCACACCCAAGTACACACCCCAAATATGTCAGAGTCAAAGCTTAAAACACAGACCCTCAATAGTTTAGTGAACTCATGAGCAGACACAGAAATTCCTCAGATTCATACTTTGGAACTCAGACTTTCAAAACTCAAACTCTGAACACAGGTCACCAAATAGCTCTGACTCATATCTTGGACACAAAACGCCAATGAGCTCAGACACCTCACAACCTGAACATGGGCCCACATACCTCAGTCTCAAATATTGAGACACTGGCCCTCTAAAAAGTTCAAAGATCTCAAACTCTGAACACAGACCCAAATAATTCAGACTCAAACCTTGAAACAGACCCTCAAAGGGTAAAGAGACCTCATGCCAAGTACAGAGACTCCCCTTTACCTTGGTCTTAGGAGTTGAGACACAGAACTTCAGAGAATTCAAATGTCAAACACCGTGAAAACACACCACAAAAATCATGACCCAAGCTTGAAACAGAGACCCTTAAAAATTATGGACTTCACACCCTAAAATTAGACCCCCAAATAATTGACCCTAAAAAACTGGGGTTAAAGCTCTTCTAAAAATTGAGAGACCTCACACCCTGAACACTGACGCTCAGATTTAAACCCTGCGATGCAACAGTCAATGAGTTCAAATACAACACACTTTGAACATGGACCCCTACATACTTCAGACACAAAAATGGGAACAAACCTTGGGACTCAGACCTTCAAAGAACTCAGAGACCTCAAACCCTAAACACAGACCCTGAAACACCTCCAACTCAATCTTGGGACACAAACTGCCAAAGCATTCAAAGATCGCAAGCCCTGAACACAGACCTCCAAACACCTCAGACTAAAACCTTAAGATATAGACTCTCTAGAAAGTTCAGAGGCCTCACACCCTGAACGCTGACCCAAAAATTGGCACACAAAGCCTCCGTCACACTCTAAAAGTCTACAGGCCTCACACCCTGAGCAATGATCCCCAGATAGCTCAGGTTGAAAGTTCAGGACACAGACCTTCAAAGAGTTCAAGGACCACACTCCCTAAATACAGATTCCCAGACCTCAGACTCAGGCATCAAAACCCAGATTCCTCAGCGTTTAAAGTCCTAACACTATGAAAAGACCCTCAAATACTATAGACTGATACCCTGGGACACAGATCCCCAATAGTTCAGAAATTGCGTACCCTGAATATAGATCCCCAAATATGTCAGACTCAAACATTCAAATATGAACCCTCAAAGATATGAGAAAACAGTCTGACCATTGACCTCCCAACACCTCAGACTTAAACCTTGTAACTCATACTCTCAAAGATTTCAGAGTCCTTGCACTCTGAATATGAACCTGCAAATACCTCAGACTCAAATATTAAGACACAGACATAATAAAAATTCAGAGACCTGATACCCTAAATATTGACCCTAAAACACATTGGTTTCAAGCCATGGGGGACAGACTTCAATGAGTACATAGTCCACACCACTCTGCACACATGTTCTTATATCTCAGATTCAAACGTTAAAATCAAAATCCTCCAAGAGTTCAGGGAACTAACATACTAAACACAGACCCCTAAATACTCCAAACTCATCCTTTGGGACATAGATCTTCAATAGTTCAGAGGATCCTCAGTGCCTCAGACTCAAACATCAGACTCTCATAAATTTGGGAGGCCTCTTGACCAGAATACTGACGCCCAAGTCCTCAGACTCAAACCTTGCAAAAATAGACCCTCAAGGAGTTCAGAGACATCATACCCTGAACAAAGACCACAAATACCACCAACTCAAACTTGGGACAGACACCCTTTAAAAAATCACTCAGCTCAAACTCCAACTCAGACCTTAAGTAATTCACACTAAAGCGTTAGAACAAAGACCCTCTAAAATTCAGAGACTTCACACCCTGAACATTCACCTCAGATCCCTCATGATATGGTTTGGTTCTGTGTCCCCACCCAAATCTCATCTTGTAGCTCCTATAATTCCAACATGTTGTGGGAGGAACCTGGTGGGAGATGGTTGAATCATGGGGTCGGGTCTTTCCCTTGCTGTTCTTGTGATGGTGAGTGAGTCTTACGAGATCTGATGGTTTTAAAAATGGGAGTTTCCCTGCACAAGCTCTCCTTCTTTGCCTGCCGCCATTCATGTAAGATGTGACTTGCTCCTCCTTGACTTCCACCATGATTGTGAGGCCTCCACAGCCATGTGGAACTGTAAGTCTATTAAACTTCTTTTTCTTCCCAGTCTCGGGTATGTCTTTATCAGCAGTGTGAAAACGGACGAATACACCTCAGATTTAATGCCTTCAAACACAACACACCTTAAACATGGACTCCCAGACACTTTGAGCTGAAAAATTGGAACAAAGGCCCTCAAATAGTAGAGACCCCAAATCCTGAACACAGATCCCCAGAAACATCAGACTCAAATCTTGGGACAGAGACTTTAAAAATTCAGAGCCCTCAAAAATTCAGAGACTTCCTGCCCTGAATACAGACTCCAAATAACTCACAATAAAAGCTTGGTACATAGACACTCTAAAAGTTCAGAGATCTCACACCCTGACTACAGACCCCCAAATACCTCAGAACCAAGTATTTGGATACAGAAACTCCAAAAGTTCGGATACCTCATACCCTGTACACTGCTACTAAATGACTGACTCATAAAATCTTGGTAATTTCCTAAAGTTCCAGAGACCTCACACTTGAATATGACCCTCCAAATATGTCAGACTTAAACATTAAAACACAGACCTTCAATGTTTTCAGAGATATCACACCATTAGATATTGACCCCGAATACCTGATTCCAACATTGGGACACAGATCCTCAGAGAGTTTAGAGACCTCACACTGTGAACACAGTCCTCCAAAAACTTAGACAAAAAAAAAATTGAGACACACACCCTCAAAGAGTTCAGAGACTTTATATCCTGAACAGAGACACCCACATGTCTCAGACTCAAACCTTGGATTGCAAACTCTCAATGATTCTTGAGAACTTACAACCTGATCAAAGATCCCAAAATGCCTTAAACTGAAACCTTGCAACACAGACCTTCCATGAGTTCAGACCTGACACTCTGAACATAAACCTCCAAATGCTTCAAACTCAAAACTTGGAATACAGACCCTTAAAGATCATGTATCTCACACCCTGAATTCAGGCCCCAAATACCTTAACCCAAACTTAGAACTCTACTGGACACATGTCCAAACATCTTAGACTCTATCCTTGGGACATACACCTTCTAAAAATTCAAGGACTTCACATCTTAGGCAGAAGCCCAAATAATTCACACTAAAACCTTAGGACAAAGACCCTTTAAAAGCTCAGAGACCACACAGCCTGAAAACAGGCCCTCAAATACCTCCAATCCAAACCTTGTCAGCAACCCTCTATAAGTTCAGAGACTTCACACTCTGAAAAAGACACCCAGCTTTCCCATATTCAAACCCCAAGAAATACACTCAGAGATTTCAGAAACCACACACCCTGAACACTTACTTCAGACCTTAGGCCACAGATCATTCAAGCACTTAAAACCCCAAATCCTGAACTCGGACCCCAAATCAACAGACTAAAACCTTGGGGAAAATGTCGTCAAAGATTTCAGCGGCCTCATACCCTAAACACAGACTGAAAGTACTTTCGACTTACACCTTGGAACCCATACCCTTAATTAGTTCAGAGACCTCACACCTGGAATACAAAACCCCAAATACCACAGATTCAAACAACTTGAAATACAGACCCTCAAAAAGTTTAGAGACTTCATAGCCCTAACAGACTTTGAAATACTTCAGACTCATACCTTGGAACACAGAACTCCAGAGTTCAGAGACCTCATCCCTGAGCACCAACCTCCAAACAACAGACAGACATTAAATATGAAACAATCAACTTAGAGACCTCACACTCCGATATGAGGACCCTCAAACTGCTGAAACAATTCACACCTTGGACAGGGACCCCCAAATTGCTCAGAGATCTTATACTCTGGACAAAGATGGCCACACAACTGAGAGATCTTATATCATAAACAGAGATTTCCAAATGGCTCAGGAGATTGACTTTCTCAAGCACAGGTACTCAAAGTGTGCAGAAGCATCACATTCTGAATGCAGACTCCCCAGACACCTCAGAGACCTGACAGTCTGAGAACAGACACAGAAACAGCTCAGAGACCTGCAGACGGACACATCTTAGACACAGACCCAAAACTATATACATAAAGAATGCAAATTCCCAAACAGCCAGAGACCTCACACCCTGCAAAACAGCCAACCAGTTCAGGACCCTCATAAAACAGAGTCCAAATAGCTAATAGATCTTACACATTGGCACAGACCCCTAAACAGCTCAGAGAAGTCACACTCTGAGTTCAGAAACCCCAGAGCCCAGAGACCTCAAATTCTGCACAGATCACACCAAATAGCTGGGAGACCTCAAATCCAGCATACAGACCCCTAAAGATACAGACACCTCATGATGTGAACACAGACCTACCACGAGCCCAGAGACACTGTGATACAAACTCCCCGGGAACACAGATCTCACACCCTGGGATGCAGACCCCCAAGCAGCACAGAAATATTACGTCCATGGATACAGACGCTCAAAGAACTCAGAGCTTACACACTAGAAAAAAAAATCCCAACCTGTTTTAAAATCTCACATCCTGAAAAAGTATCCCCCCAGATCTCAGAGACCTCATCCACTGGATAAAAATAAAATCCCCAGACAACTCAAAGACCTCATATCCTAGACATAGAACCCCCCGACGCCCCCTGCAAAGAGCTCAGAGACCTCATATTACAGACAGAGACTCCCATAAAGCTCAAAGACTTCACACCCTGGACACAGAGCCACAAACAGTTCAGACCTCACATCCTGAGACACAGATCTCCCAATGTACCAGATAATTCATATCCTGGACAAAGATTCCCCGAACAGCTCGGGGACCTCACTCCCTGGGATACAGACCCCACCATACAATTCAAAGACCTCATACAGGACACAGACTCCATAATATCTTATACACTACAAACTCTGGACGGAAAAACTTGAGCAGTTCAGAGAGCTTATGTTCTGAAGAAAAACAGCAAAGAACTCAGGGACCTCATGCCCATGACATCTCCCAACTTCCTAGAACAGTGCCCAGCAGAAAACAGGCACTCATTAGGTGTTTGTTGAATGAATAACTCCCTTGATGCAGCAATGACAGTTCTAAGAATGTGTCCTAAAAAAACCCACGTGTGCACAGAGCTGTGTGCACAAGAATGAGAGGATTGACATGTTTTATTAATGTGTAATATTATGACTATTGTCATTGCTATGCATCGATATGTTTTTCTTTCCCCTGGGAGGGGAACCTCATTCCCCTTGGAGTAGGCCCCATCTGTCTTTTCCTTTTTTTTTTTTTTTTTTTTTTTTTTACTTTAAGTTCCAGGATACATGTGCAGAACATGCAGGTTTGCTACATAGGTATACGTGTGACATGGGGTGGTTTGCTGCACTTATCAACCCGTCACCTAGGTTTTAAGCCCCACATGCATTAGCTATTTGTCCTGATGCTCTCCCTCCTCTCCCACCGCCACAGGCCCCAGTGTGTGTTGTTCCCCACCCTGTGGCCATGTGTTCTCATTGTTCAACTCCCACTTACAAGTGAGAACATGCGGTGTTTGATTTTCTGTTCCCGTGTTAGTCTGCTGAGGATGACGGCTTCCAGCTTCATCCATGTTCCTGCAAAGGACATGACCTCATTCCTTTTAGTGGCTACATAGTATTCCATGGTACCACATTTTCTTTAGTACCATTCAGGACATAGGCATGGGCAAATATTTTATGATGAAATTGCCAAAAGCAATTACAACAACAGCTAAAATTGACAAATGGTATCTAATTAAACTAAAGAGCTTCTGCACAGCAAAAAGAAACTATCATCAGATCGAACAGGCAACCTACAGAATGAGAGAAAATTTTTGCAATTTACCCATCTTACAAAGGTCTAATCTCCAGAATTTACAAAAAACTTAAACAAATTTACAAGAAAAAAACAACCCCATCAAAAAGTGGGCAAAGGATATGAACAGACACTTCTCAAAAGAAGACATTTTTGCAGCCAACAAACATATGAAAAAATGCTCAACATCACTGATCATTAGAAAAATGCAAATCAAAACCACAATGAGATACCATCTTATGCCAGTCAGAATGGCAATTATTAAAAAGTCAAGAAATGGCCAGGTGCAGTGGCTCATGCCTGTAATCCCAGCACTTTGGGAGGCCGAGGTGAGTGGATCACCTGAGGTCAGAAGTTCGAAACCAGCCTGGTCAACATGATGAAACCCCATCCCTACTAAAAATACAAAAATTAGCCGGGCATGGTGGTGGGCGCCCATAATCCCAGCTACTCGGGAGGCTGAGGCAGGAGAATCGCCTGAACCCGGGAGGTAGAGGTTGCAGTGAGCCAAGATTACGGCACTGCACTCCAGCCTGGGCAACAAGAGCGAAACTCTGTCTCAAAAAAATAAAAATAAAAATAAATAAATAAATAAATAAATAAATAGTCAAGAAACAACAGATGTTGGCGAGGCTGTGGAGAAATAGGAATGTTTTTACATTGTTGATAGGAATGTAAATGAGTTCAACCATTGTGGAAGACGGTGTGGTGATTCTTCAAGGATCTAGAACCAGAAATTCCATTTGACCCAGCAATCCCATTACTGGGTATATACCCAAAGGATTATAAATCATTCTATTATAAAGTTACATGCACACGTATTTTTATTGCAGCACTATTCACAATAGCAAAGGCATGGAACCAACCCAAATGACCATCAATGATAGACTAGGCCCCATCTGTCTATCTCTGTGGCCCCAGTGTGAGGCTGCAGTGTGAGGACAGGGCATTCACCACAAAGGTCTGGGGGAGAAAGAAGGGATATGCACATCTTCTTCCCTCCCAGGTTCCCATTTAGGTCAGAAACACCCAGTCTTGTAGCCCCTAGAAAATGGTATACCTGGGATGCTGATGTGGTGGCCTTGTCTCCTCATCAGCCTCAGTGACAGAGGAAACTGAAGAGGGTACAGGTACCCTGAGGAGGATGTGTTGGGACAGTTTGCCTCTCGAGGGGTCAGGCCAGGAATGGACCAGGCATACATGGAAGCCCACACTCTGCACATTTGCAAAAAGCCAACCGCAAATTTAGAGAGAACTGTCCACACAAACCCACCGTTACTACTGACACCAATTGTAAATGCAGGGGGTTCTCAAAACCACCCTCAGTTTTGATAATTTGCTAAAGTGACTTGCAGAACTCACTGAAAGCGGTTATATACATAGTTACATAGTTCATCACAAGGAATGGATACAGGTTAAAATTTAAATAAGCCAAGAGAAGAGACAAACAGGGCAGGGTCCAGGCAGGGGGCAAACGCAGACCTTCCAGTTGGCCTCTTCCGCAGAGTTAGAACAACATTACTCTGCTGGCATTAATATGCATGGAGTGTTGCCAACCAGGGAAGCTCACCTAAGCCTTGGTGTCCAGAGTCTTTATTGGGGCTCCATCATGTAGGGACTGTTACTGCCCACATGGCTGATCTCGGTTTCCAGCCCTCAGGAGGTAAAGCTTCATGACCCAAAGCCCCTATCCTACACACCACTGTTGGTGTGGCTCAGAGTCCCTGCTATACATCACATAGTTACCATCTGGCTGGACCAAGTTCCCTATCCTAAATCACATTTTTGGTGTGGCTCAAAGCCCCTACCCTAAATCACATTGCTTCAATCTGGCTGGTCCAGGGCCCCTAAGCAAATAAAGGCACTCCTATCAGGCATGACAGCTCAAGGGCTTACAGATTACCAACTGAAATCTGAGGGCAAAGGACAGACCTCTCTTTGAATAAGGTTAAATTCTTTACTATGTGACATTATACACACATGGGGGGACATCATGGAGAGTTGTTAATAGTGGAGAATCACTAATATTCATTAATAGTTTACTGAGTGTCACTGATCCAAACACTTTACATTAACTAACTCCTTAAATCCATAAACAACCCTGTGAGGGTAGATCTGTTAATATCCCATTTTGAAGACAAGGATACTGAGGTATAGGGAAGTTCATTAAATTCTCCAGATTCCACAGGTGCTTGGTGGGGGAAGCATGAATCACCCACTGCATGTTTTGACCCTGGGGGTCCTGCCCTTAAACAACCTCTATTCCACTTTGGGTAATAGTACCAGGTTTTCAAAAATGGTGCCCACATGCCCATACTTACACATGATGTCTCCAACATGCACGTTGGACACGCATAGTAGTAATGTATGAATAATAGCAACATGAATAATAGTAATCTCATGGTAGAAACAGCTGTTTAACCTCTTCACTGACAGAACCCAGAGAGCTTCCCTCACCCTCCTCCTCACGGGACACCCCCCTTCCCCAACCACCAGGGAAGAACAGCCAAGCCCTTTAAGCACAGCATTCAAGACTCAAGACTGGCCTGGTTTTCTGGTTATTCTGATTACTCTTCTCCTACATTCATTCACTCATTCAGTAAACTAATATTTATTGAGGACCTACTACATGCCAAGCGCTGTACTAGGACCTGGGGAGACAGCAATAAACAAAACAAAGTTTCTGCTTCCACAGGGCTTGTATTGTAGAAGAGGGGTCTGCAAAATTTTTTTCTGTGAAGGACCAAATAGCAAATAGTTTAAGCTATGAGGACCACACTGTCTCTTTCACAACCATTCAACTCTGCTGTTGTAGTGTGAAAGCCACCATACACAATACACAAAGGGATGAGTGTGGCTGTATTCTAATAAAATTTTATTTACACAATCAGACAGTGGGGCCAGGCGTGGTGGCTCACATCTGTAATCCTAGCACTTTGGGAGACCCAGGCGGGCAGATCACTTGAGGTCAGGAGTTCGAGACTAGCCTGGCCAACATGACGAAACCCTGTCCTTATTAAAACTACAAAAATTAGCTGGGCATGGCAGCATGCGCCTGTAATCCCAGCTACTCAGGTGACTGAGGCACGAGAATTGCTTGAACCCAGGAGGCAGAGGTTGCAATGAGCCAACCTCATGCCACTGCACTCCAGCCTGGATGACAGAGCAAGACTCCATCTCAAAAAAACAAAAATAAAAATAAAACAGACAGTGGGCTGTGGTTTGCCAACCTGTTCTAGAAACAGGCATTAAATTAACATATAATAAATATATGCCAGGTGGTGATAAGTTCTATGGAGAGAAATTAAATGGGGTGAGGAGGCAGAGACTGATTGTGATGCTCAACTATTTTCCAAAGGTGTCAGAGAAGACCTCACCATGAAGAAGATATGGAAGAAAGAGACCCAGAGGAGATGAGGGAGTCAGCCATGTGGCTATCTGGGGATAGAGTGTCCCAGGCAGGGGAAGCATACAAGATATAAATCCTAAGGTCAGAGTGTGATTCTCTATCATCATTTCTCTCTGCTCTCTGCTCAAATGACCCCTGGCAGTGAGGCCTTCCCCACTCACCCTAAATATAATCCCTCCACCACCAGAATAGTCCTTCCCCTGACCCTGCCTTATTTTTCTGTGTAGCACTTGCTACACTGTGATGTGCTATATATTTACTGATCAACTCTGATGAGGTTAGGGACTTTGTTGGTTTTGTTCTGTGTTGTATCCCTAGCACTTAGAGCAGCACCCGGGCACAGAACAGCTACTCAGAAAATTCCTGTTGAAGGATGGCTGGGAGCCAGAGCTTTACACGTGTATTAGTCCGTTTTCACACTACTATAAAGAAGTTCCGTGAGACTGGGTAATTTATAAAGGAAAGATATTTAATTGACTCACAGTTCTGCATGGCTGGGGAGGCCTCAGGAAACTTACAATCATGATGGAAGGGCACCTTCTTCCCAAGGTAGCAGGAGGGAGAAGTGAGAGCACAGGAAAAAAACTGCCACTTTTAAAACCATCAGATCTCATGAGAATTCTCTCATTATCACAAGAACTGCATGGGGGAAACTGCCTCCATGATCCAATCACTTCCCTCCCTCAACACGTGAGGACCATAATTCGAGATGAGATTTGGATGGGGACATAGAGACAAACTGTGTCACAACTCATCACCAAGATGACAAACCGTGTCACAACGCACCACCAAGTTTAATCTCCAATGTGGTAATGTCACAAGGTGGGGCCTTTGAGAGGTGATTGGGTCATGAGGGCTCTGCTGTCATGAATGGATTAATGGGTTAATAGAGTAATGGGTTACCGTGGGAGTGGGACTGGCAGCCCTATAAGAAGAAGAAGAGAGATCTGAACTAGCACACTCAGCCCCATTGCCATTTGATACCCTGCATCACCTGGGGACTCTGACAGAGTCCCCACCAGCAAGACCATCTTCACCAGATGTGCCCCCTCAACCTTGAACTTAGGCTCCAGAACTGTAAGAAATAAATTTCTTTTCTTTATAAATTACCCAGTTTCAGGTATTCTTTTATAAGCAACAAAAAAATGGACTAAGATAGTCACACAACCAGGAGTTGAGGACTCCAGGCTCTAAAATTAGGTTTGCAGGCTCTGAAGCCCACATGTCCTGGATTATTTGAGATATCTCAGTAAGGCTTGAGGGGAGATGGACCCAAACATCTGAGGACAAGATGAACAGAGGAACAGATGCTACAAGACTCAGAAGAAATTCCCTGCAATGAGATCATCAAAAAGCACCCATGGCAGCCATGTGACCCCCACTCCAAAACCAAGGGAGGCTGTGAAGGAAGTAGCCACCTAAACATCATGATGTTGTAGATTAGTTCACAAAAAAACCATATCACACACAATTTTCACAGTCATTTTGGATGAAGACTAGAGTGGCATGTCAGGGGAGGGTTCATATCTGTAATGTGGTCTTTGATGAAGTCTCTCAGAAAGACCTCATGGAGAGACAAATGAACTCTGGGTGAGATGAGGTTGATGAGTTTGTATCCACCAAGTGGCTTCTGTAGAGGCTTTCACAATACACATTATAAACTGTTATAAACCATTAAAACTGTTATAAACATTATAAACCACACACACACACACACACACACACACACACACACACACACACACACACACAAAGGGGAAATGGTAATAGTAATAGCAATAGTAGAGATACATTATAATACCTAGAGTAGTAGAGATACATTAAAATACTGAGCATTTCCTTTATGCCAGATTCCATTTAAGAGCTTTTTTCTTTTTTTTATCTTACTTAGAGATTTTTATTATTATTATTATTATTATTATTATTATTATTATACTTTAAGTTTTAGGGTACATGTGCACAATGTGCAGGTTAGTTACATATGTATACATGTGCCATGCTGGTGTGCTGCACCCATTAACTCGTCATTTAGCATTAGGTATATCTCCTAATGCTATCCCTCCCCCCTCCCCCCACCCCACAACAGTCCCCAGAGTGTGATGTTCCCCTTCCTGTGTCCATGTGTTCTCATTGTTCAATTCCCATCTATGAGTGAGAACATGCGGTGTTTGGTTTTTTGTCCTTGCAATAGTTTACTGAGAATGATGATTTCCAGTTTCATCCATGTCCCTACAAAGGACATGAACTCATCATTTTTTATGGCTGCGTAGTATTCCATGGTGTATATGTGCCACATTTTCTTAATCCAGTCTATCATTGTTGGACATTTGGGTTCGTTCCAAGTCTTTGCTATTGTGAATAGTGCCGCAATAAACATACGTGTGCATGTGTCTTTATAGCAGCATGATTTATAGTCCTTTGGGAATATACCCAGTAATGGGATGGCTGGGTCAAATGGTATTTCTAGTTCTAGATCCCAGAGGAATCGCCACACTGACTTCCACAATAGTTGAACTACTTTATAGTCCCACCAACAGTGTAAAAGTGTTCCTATTTCTCCACATCCTCTCCAGCACCTGTTGTTTCCTGACTTTTTAATGATTGCCTTTCTAACTGGTGTGAGATGGTATCTCATTGTGGTTTTGATTTGCATTTCTCTGATGGCCAGTGATGGTGAGCATTTTTTCATGTGTCTTTTGTCTGCATAAATGTCTTCTTTCGAGAAGTGTCTGTTCATATCCTTTGCCCGCTTTTTGATGGGGTTGTTTGTTTTTTTCTTGTAAATTTGTTTGAGTTCATTGTAGATTCTGGATATTAGCCCTTTGTCAGATGAGTAGGTTGCAAAAATTTTCTCCCATTTTGTGGGTTGCCTGTTCACTCTGATGGTAGTTTCTTTTGCTGTGCAGAAGCTCTTCAGTTTAATTCGATCCCATTTGTCAATTTTGGCTTTTGTTGCCATTGCTCTTGGTGTTTTAGACATGAAGTCCTTGCCCATGCCTATATCCTGAATGGTATTGCCTAGGTTTTCTTCTAGGGTTTTTATGGTTTTAGGTCTAACGTTTAAGTCTTTAATCTATCTTGAATGAATTTTTGTATAAGGTGTAAGGAAGGGATCAGGTTTCAGCTTTCTACATACGGCTAGCCAGTTTTCCCAGCACCATTTATTAAATAGGGAATCCTTTCCCCATTTCTTGTTTTTCTCAGGTTTGTCAAAGATCAGATAGTTGTAGATATGTGGCGTAATTTCTGAGGGCTCTGTTCTGTTCCATTGATCTATATCTCTGTTTTGGTACCAGTACCATGCTGTTTCGCTTACTGTAGCCTTGTAGTATAGTTTGAAGTCAGGTAGCGTGATGCCTCCAGCTTTGCTCTTTTGGCTTAGAATTGACTTGGCGATGCGGGCTCTTTTTTGGTTCCATATCAACTTGAAAGTAGTTTTTTCCAATTCTGTGAAGAAAGTCATTGGTAGCTTGATGGGGATAGCATTGAATCTATAAATTACCTTGGGCAGTATGACCATTTTCACGATATTGATTCTTCCTACCCACGAGCATGGAATGTTCTTCCATTTCTTTGTATCCTCTTTTATTTCATTGAGCAGTGGTTTGTAGTTCTCCTTGAAGAGGTCCTTCACTTCCCTTGTAAGTTGGATTCCTAAGTATTTTATTCTCTTTGAAGCAATTGTGAATGGGAGTTCACTCATGATTTGGCTCTCTGTTTGTCTGTTATTGGTGTATAAGAATGCTTGTTATATTTGCACATTGATTTTGCAGAAATACAAACTACCAACAGAGAATACTACAAACACCTCTATGCAAATAGACTAGAAAATCTAGAAGAAATGGATAAATTCCTCGACACATACACTCTCCCAAGACTAAACCAGGAAGAAGTTGAATCTCTGAATAGACCAATAACAGGATCTGAAATTGTGGCAATAATCAATAGCTTACCAACGAAAAAGAGTCCAGGACCAGATGGATTCACAGCCGAATTCTGCCAGAGGCACAAGGAGGAACTGGTACCATTCCTTCTGAAACTATTCCAATCAATAGAAAAAGAGGGAATCCTCCCTAACTCATTTTATGAGGCCAGCATCATCCTGATACCAAAGCCTGGCAGAGACACAGCCAAAAAAGAGAATTTTAGACCAATATCCTTGATGAACATTGATGCAAAAATCCTCAATAAAATACTGGCAAACCGAATCCAGCAGCACATCAAAAAGCTTATCCACCATGATCAAGTGGGCTTCATCCCTGGGATGCAAGGCTGGTTCAATATATGCAAATCAATAAATGTAATCCAGCATATAAACAGAACCAAACAAAAACCACATGATTATCTCAATAGATGCAGAAAAGGCCTTTGACAAAATTCAACAGCCCTTCATGCTAAAAACTCTCAAGAAATTAGGTACGATGGGACGTATCTCAAAATAATAAGAGCTATCTATGACAAACCCACAGCCAATATCATACTGAATGGGCAAAAACTGGAAGCATTCCCTTTGAAAACTGGCACAAGACAGGGATACCCTCTCTCACCACTCCTATTCAACATAGTGTTGGAAGTTCTGGCCAGGGCAATTAGGCAGGAGAAGGAAATAAAGGGTATTCAATTAGGAAAAGAGGAAGTCAAATTGTCCCTGTTTGCAGACGACATGATTGTATATCTAGAAAACCCCAACGTCTCAGCCCAAAATCTCCTTAAGCTGATAAGCACCTTCAGCAAAGTCTCAGGATACAAAATCAATGTGCAAAAATCACAAGCATTCTTTTTTTGTTGTTGTTGTTGACAAAGTCTCGCACTGTCACCTAGGCTGGAGTGCAGTGGCACAATCTCGGCTCACTGCAAGCTCTGCCTCCCGGGTTCACGCCATTCTCCTGCCTCAACCTCCCGAGTAGCTGGGACTACAGACGCCTGTCACCACGCCTGGCTAATTTTTTGTATTTTAGTAGAGACAGAGTTTCACCATTTTAGCTAGGATGGTCTCGATCTACTGACTTCGTGATCCGCCCGCCTCGGCCTCCCAAAGTACTGGGATTACAGGCGTGAGCCACCATGTCCAGCCCTCTATTTAAGAGCTTTATACTTTCCATGTGGTAAGTCATTCAATCCCTTTCTACCAGGACCCTATATATCTTCCAATGTTACATTTAAGAGCACTTTCTTCATGAAATCTGCCCTGACCATTGAACTTGAAAGTGGCCTCTTCTTCCTCTGAAAGTCTATGATGTTCCATGTGTACCCCTTGGAAGTTCTGGGTATGTCTTCATCTTGGTTATTTGTTTGCATGGGCTTGCTTTCCTTCAAGATTATAAAAAGATTTTTTCCAAGACCTTGTCTCTTACATCATTTCAACCTTCACCAAGCTAGCATGGTGCCAAATACGCTTGAAAGAGTCTAGGCTTAGCGACCTTAGGAGCATTTGGCTGCACCCCACATCTCAGTTCTCTTTTTCTGTCAAATGAAGAGAATAATAATACCACCCTGGTAGAGTTTTTGTAAAGAATAAATGAGATAATGTATATTAAATGCTTCATGTAGTGCCTGGTGTATAATTAACACTCAATATTAACTATTATTTAATTATTTGTGTTATTGATTGTATATTCAAAATGATGAATAAATGGAAATACTAGTACACATCAATAGACAAAAAAGCTTGAGTTCCTACTATGCACCAGAAACTTGCCAGAATACTCCCTATGACAGGCCAGGCATAATTATCATAATGTTATAGTTATGGCTCAACAAAATTACATTCACCTAGTAAATGGTGTATGACTCCACAGCCTGTATTTTCCACATTCATGCACTAGATAATTTATGCCTTGGCCTGACTTCAGAGAGACCAAGAGCTTTTTCTTTTATGTCTTTTTTTTCTTTTCTTTTTTTCTTTTTCTTTTTTTTTTTTTTTGAGACGGAATCTAGCTCTGTCACCCAGGCTGGAGAAGAGTGGCACCATCTCAGCTCACTGCAACTTCTGCCTCCTGGGTTCAAGCCATTCTCCTGCCTCCCGAGTTTACAGGTGCATGCCACCATGCCTGGCTAATTTTTGTATTTTTAGTAGAGACAGGATTTCACCGTGTTGGCCAGGCTGATCTCAAACTCCTGACCTTAAGTGATCTGCCCACCTTGGCCTCCCAAAGTGCTGGGATTACAGGCATGAGCCACCGCACCCGGCTCCAAGAGTTTTTTCAACATACACCTAGGGAAACCACTGCCTCACCCCACCCTGTCTACCTTGTGTGTTAGAATGAGTGTATTGCATTCCAGAGAAACAGCCATGTTTACTTAGAATCCCACCACATCAGTTTACATTTAAGAATAATACTCCAGGACATTTGTCAAAAATATAGATTCCTGGCATTATCCTAGGTTCTCAGGAAGAACCTACGAATCAACTTTTGTAATAAATATCCCAGATGATTTAATGCAAACTGACCACAAACCACTCCGTGAAATGAGTGGGTGATTGGGTTATATTTAGGTAATTATCTGCCACAGCTTGTAAAGAGACCAAGAATTCCTGAAAGTGAGGCCAAATTCAGATTCAGTAAATTTAGAGTGGGGCCTGAGAATTTGCATCTTTAATAAGCTCCTGTCTGATGCTAAGATCATATTTTGAGGTGCTAGAACAAAGCATTGTGCCCAGGATTCCTGGGTCAAGATTCTGGGGTTGCATTAGGGATCAGCTGGAAAGAATGCTGTTAACAGACTTGTCATGTTCTCCAAGGGAATAGCCATGGAGGCTGCTGGCAGGAATGCCAGATGTTGGCCATTCCGCGTCCCTCTAAAAGCACGCCACTTTACTTAGGACACATGAATCACTTCATCATAATGCAGAGTGTAATCTCTCCCATGCAAAGATAAAAACAACTGACCCCCCTTCCTCCATCAGCACAAACCATGTTCTGTTTTATTCATGGACGAATGGAGATTGCCTCACACAACTATGTCCCCTTCTTTTAGCCAATAGCAATGAGTACTGGGAGTAGTTGGCAAAGTTTGGAGGTACCACAATGGCTGACAGGTGATGAATCTGTGACTTGGATTATGAACCAGATGTGCCTAAGAGTTGGAGCTGAATATCTGAAACCATGTGGAGAATTGGACTGGAAGTGGGGACATACTGGATAGAGTGGAAAAAGAACGAGATTTCACAAAGTGAAGGAAAACTTTATTTTCACCATTTTGTCCAGGAGAAGAAGAAGAAGGAGGAGGAGGAGGAGGACGAGGAGGAGGAGGAGGAAAGTAGTACATATTTGTAGTAAAAGAAGGAGGAGGAGGTGGAATAAGACTAATTAAAAACTCATCTAGGGCCAGGCACAGTGGCTCACTCCTGTAATCCCAGCACCTTGGGAGGCCGAGGTGATCGGATCACTTGAGGTCAGGAGTGCGAGACCAGCCTGGCCAACATGATGAAACCCTGTGTCTACTAAAAATACAAAAGTTAGCCAGGCATGGTGGTGGGCGCCTGTAATCCCAGCTGCTTAGGAGGCTGAGGCATGAGAATCAATTGAATCCGTGAGGCAGAGGTTGCCAGAGGTTGCAGTGAGCTGAGATCATGCCACTGCACTCTAGCCTGGGCGAGAGAGCGAGACTCTGTCTAAAAAAACAAACAAACAAAAAAAAAAACCATCTAATCTAGGAGAGTAGAACAATATGGCAGAATAGAAGCCTCCACCATTCATCTCTCCCCACGACAGGAACACCAAAATTTAACAACTATCTGCACACAAAATTACCTTCACAAGAACCAAAAATCAGGTGAGCAATCACAGTACCTGGCTTTAACTTCATATTGCTGAAACAGGCATTGAAGAGGGTAGGATGGACAGTCTTGAGTCTCTGACACCACCTCTCTTCCATCCCCCAGCAGCAGTCATGCTGTGTGAAGAGAGAATCTGTGAACTTGCGGGAGGGAGAGTGCAGCAACTGGGGGACTTTACATTGAACTCAGTGCCACCTTGTCACAGTAGAGAGCAAAGCCATGCTGGGCTCAGCCAGCACCCATGAACAGAGGGAGCATTTGGGCCAGCCCTAGCCAGAGGGGAATGGTTCATCTCAGTGGTCAAGACATTAGTTTCTTGGCAAGCCTCACTGCGGTGGGTCAAAGTGTTCTGGGGTTCTAGGTAGACTTGAAAGGCAGTCTAGGATACAAGGACTGCAACTCCTAGGCAACTCCCAGTGCTAGGCTGGGTTTAGTGTCAGTGGACTAGGGTGGCCTGTGACCTAGAGAAACACCAGCCAGGGCAGCTAAAGGAGTGCTTGTGCCATCTCTCCTCCAACCCCAGGAAGTGCAGCTCACAGCAACAAAGATGACTCCTTCCTTTGGCTTAAGGAGAGGAGAGCAAAGGGTAAAGAGGACTTTGTCTTACCTCTTGGATATCAGCTCTGCCACAGTAAGAGAGGGCACCAGGCAGAGTTGTGAGTCCCCCATTCTAGGCCTTAGCTTCCGGATGACATTTCTAGACCCACCTTGGGCCAGAAGGGAACCTGCTGCCTTGAAGAGAAGAACCCAGTTCTGGCAGGATTCATCACCTGCTGTCTAGAGAGCCTTTGGGCCCTGAATAACCAGCAGCAATACCCAGGTAGTACACAATGGACCTTGGCTGAGACTCTGAGACATGCTGGCTTCCAGTGTGAACCAGTATATTCAAGTTGTGGTGGCTATGGTGAAAGACTTCTACTTGAGAAAAGCAGAGGGAAAAGTAAAGGGGACTTTGTCTTGCCCCTTAGGTAGCAGCTCGGCCACATTGGGGGGTAGAGCAACAAGCAGGCTCTTGGGGTCCCAGAATCCAGGCCTAGGCTCTTGGACAGCATTTCCAGATCTTGCCCTGGGCCAGAGGGGAGCCCACTGTCCTGAAAGTAAGTCTCAGGCCTCCCAGAGTTCACCACAAGCTGAATGAAGAGTCCTTGGCCCTTGCACTTTAGGTGCACATCAGCATGGCCTGGCAGAAACCCCTGTGGGCTATGGTGTTGGTAGCCACAGGGAGAGGCTCCTCTGCCTGTGGAAGGAGGAGGGAAGAGTGGGAAGGACTTCGTATTGTGGTTTGAGTGCCAGCTTAGCCACAGTAGAAGAAAACATCAAGTAAATGTCTAATATTATTGACTCTAATCCTTGGCTCTCAGATAGCATATCTGGACCCACCCAGGGCCAGGGGCAGCTCACCACCCTGAAGGAAAGAACACAAAACTTGGCTGGCTTCACCACCTGTTGATCATAGAGCCCTAGGGCCTTGAGTAAACATAGGTGGTAGCCAAGTAGTGGTTACAGCAAGCCTTGGGCAAGACCCAGTGCTGTGTTGGCTTCAGGTCAGACCCAGTGCAGTCCCAGTGGTGGTGGCCACAGGGGTGCTTACATCACCATACCCCCAGTACCAGGCGGCTCAGCACAAAAAGAGAGACTCCATTTGTTTGGGAGAAAGTAAGGAAAGAGTACAAGTAACTCTGCCTGGTAATCCACAGAATTATTCTGGATTTTACCTATGACCACCAAAGTGGTACCTCTATGAGTCTGACAAACCCACAGTGTTATTGGGCTTGGGGTCCAAGTCCCTTTGAAAACCTGGAAAGCCTTCCCAAGAAGGATGGGCACAAATAAGCCCATATTGTGAAGAATACAATAAATATCTACCTCTTCAATGCCCAGACACTGACAAACATCAACAAGCATCAAGACCACAAAGGAAAACATGACCTCACCAAGTGAACTAAATAAGGTGCTAGGGACCAATCCTGGAGAAACAGAAATATGTGACCTTTCAGACAGAGAATTCAAAATAGCTATTTTGCAGAAATTCAAGATAACACAGAAGGAATTCAGAATGCTATCAGATAAATTGAACAAAGGGATTGAAATAATTAAAAACAATCAAGTAGAAATTCTGGAGTTGAAAAATGCAACTGATATACCGAAGAATGCATCAGGGTCTCTTAACAGCAGAATTGATAAAGCAGAAGAAAGAATTAGTGAGCTTGAAGATAGAAGATAGCCTATTTCAAAATACACAGTCAGAGGCGACCAAAAGAAAAAAGAATTAAAAGAATGCATCACACCTAAGAGATGTAGAAAACAGCTTCGAGAGGGCAAATCTAACAGTTACTGTCCTTAAGGAGGAGATAGAGAAAGAGATGGGGTAGAAAGTATATTCAAAGGGATATCAGAGAACTTCCCAAACCTAGAGAAAGATATCAACATTCAAGTACAAGAAGGTTATAAAACACCAAGCAAATTTAACCCAAAGAACACTACCTCAAGGCATTTACTAATCAAACTCCCAAAGGTCAAGGATAAAAAAGGGATCTAAAAGCAGCAGGAGAAAAGAAACAAATAACATACAATAGAGCTCCAATACATCTGGCAGCAGACTTTTCAGTGGAAACCTTACAGGCCAGGAGAGAATGGCATAATATATTTAAAGTGCTGAAGGAAAAAAACTTTTACCCTAGACTAGTATATGCAGCAAAAATATCCATCAACTATGAAAGAAAAATAAAGACCTTCCCAGACAAACAAAAGCTGAGGAATTTCATCAACACCAGACCTGTGCCTACAAGAAACGCTAAAGGGAGTTCTTTCATCTGAAAGAAAATGATGTTAATTGAACAAGAAGAAATCATCTGAAGGTACAAAACTCACTGGTAATAGTAAACATACAGAAAAACATAGAATATTATAACCCTGTAATTGTAATGCATAAACTGCTCTTACAATAAGTAGAAAGACTAAATGAACCAATCAAAAATAATAACTACAACAACTTTTCAAGACATCGACAGGACAGTAAGACATAAGAGAAACAACAAAAAGTTTAAAAAGTAGGGGAACAAAGCTTAAGTGTAGAGTTTTTATTACTTTTCTTTTTGCATGTTTGTTTCTTTGTTTATGCAATCAGTGTTAAGTTGTCATCTTTTAAAATAATGGGTTATAACATAGTATTTGCAAGCCTCATGGTAACCTCAAATAAGAAAACATACAACAGATACAAAAAAAGCAAGAAATTAAATCACATCATCAGAGAAAGTCAACTTCATTAAAAGAAAGATAGGAAAGAAAGAAGAAAGAGAAGACCACAAAATAACTAGTAAATAAATAACAAAAATCAGTAGCACTTATATATGCCAACAGTGAACAATCTGAAAAAGACATGAAGAAAGTAATCCCATTCACCATAGCCACAAATAAAATTAAATATTGAGAAATTAACTTAATCAAAGAAGTGAAAGATCTCAACAATGAAAACTATAAAGCACTGATGAAAGAAATTGAATAGGACATCACAAAATGTAAAGATATTCCATGTTCATGGAATGGAGGAATAAACATTGCAAAAATGTCCATACTACCCAAAGCAATCTACAGATTTAATGCAATCCCTGTCAAAATACCAATGACATTGTTAACAAAAATAGAAAAAACAACCCTGAAATTTATATAGAACCACAAAAGACCCAGAATAGCCAAAGCTATCCTAAGCAAAAAGAACAAAACTGGAGGAATCGTATTACCTGACTTCAAATTATACTACAGAGCTATAGTAACCAAAACACCATAGTACTGGCATAGAAACAGATGCATAGCCCAAGGAACAGCATACAGAACCCAGAAACAAATCCACACACCTACAACTAACTAATTTTTGACAAAGGTGCCAAGAAAAGACAGTCTTCAATAAATGGTGCTGGGAAAACTGGATATCCATAGGCAGAAGAATAAACTCGACCCGTGTCTCTCGCCATATACAAAAATCAAATCAAAATAGATTAAATATTTAAATCTAAGACCTCAAACTATAAAACTACTACAAGAAAATATTGGGGGGAAATCTCCAGGACATTGGTCTGGGCACAGATTTCTTGAGTAATACCCCACAAGCACAGTAATACCCCCAAAGCAAAAATAGACAAATGGGATCACATCAAGTTAAGCTTCTGCACAGCAAAGGAAACAATCAACAAAGTGAAGAGACAACCCACAGAATGGGGGAAAATATTTGCAAACTACCCATCTGACAGGGAATTAATAACCAGAATATATAAGGAGCTCAAACAAGTCTATAGGAAAAAATATACTAATCCAACCAAAATATGCCAAAAGATTTGAATAGGCATTTCTCAAAAGAAGACACAAATGGCAAGCAGGCGTATGAAAAGGTGCCAACATCATTGGTCATCAGAGAACTGCAAATGAAAACTACAATGAAATATCATCTCACCCCAGTTAAAATGGCTTATAGCCAAAAGACAGACAATAACAAATGCTGGCAAGGACGTGGAGAAAAGGGAACCTTTGCACACTGTTGGTGGGATTATAAACTAGTACAACCACTATGGAGAACAGTTTAGATGTTCCTGGAAAAACTAAAAATAGAGCTACCATATGATCCAGCAATCCCACTGCTGGGTATATACCTAAAAGAAAAGAAATCAGTATATCAAAAAGATATCAGCATTCCTATGTTTGTTGCAGCACTGTTCACAGTAGCCAAAATTTGGAACCAACTTAAATGTCCATCAACAGAAGAATGGATAAAGAAAATGTAGTACTACCCCAAACTATAAAAACCCTAGAAGAAAATCTAGGCAATACTATTGAGGACATAAACAGAGGCAAAGATTTCATGACAAAAACATCAAAAGCAATTGCAACAAAAGCAAAAATTGACAAATGGGATCTAATTAAACTAAAGAGCTTCTGCATAGGAAAAGAAACTATCATCAAAGTGAACAGACAGCCTACAGAATGGAAGAAAATTTTTGCAATCTATCCATCTGACAAAGGTCTAATATCCAGAATGTACAAGGAACTTAAACAAATTTATAAGAAAAAAACAACCCCATTCAAAAGTGGGCAAAAGATATGAACAGCCACTTCTCAAAAGAAGACACTTATGGGTCCAACAAACATATGAAAAAAAGCTCAACATCACTGATCATTAGTGAAATACAAATCAAAACCACAATGAGATACCATCACACACCAGTCAGAATGGTGATTATTAAAAAGTCAAGAAACCACAGATACTGGCGAGGCTGTGGAGAAATAAGAATGCTTTTACACTGTTGGTGGGAATGTAAATTAGTTCAACCATTGTGAAAGACAGCGTGGTGATTTCTCAAAGACCTAGAATCAGAAATACCATTTGACCCAGTAATGAAATTCCTTTGGTATATACCCAAAGGAATATAAATCAGTCTACTATTATAATCTTTATGATATTACAATATTACAAAGATACATGCACACATATGTTCATTGCAGCACTATTCACAATAGCAAAGACATGGAATCAACCCAAATGCCCATCAATGATAGACTGGATTTAAAAAATGTACCATGGTGGTACATATACACCATAGAATACTACGCAGCCATAAAAAGGAATGAGATCATGTCCTTTGTGGGATATGGATGGAGCTGGAAGCCATTTTCCTCAGCAAACTAACACAGGAACAGAAAACCAAAAGCTGCATGTTCTCATTCATAAGTGGGAGCTGAAAAATGAGAACGCATGGACACAGGGAGGGGAACAACACACACCAGGGCCTGTAGGGGGATGGAGAAAGGGAGAGCATCAAGAAAAATAGCTAAAGCATGCTGGACTTAATACCTAGGTGATGGGTTTATAGGTGCAGCAAACCACCATGGCACTTGTTTACCAATGTAACAAACCTGCACATCCTGCACATGTATCCCAAAAGTTAAAATTTAATTTAATTTAATTTAAAAAAGAAAAGAAAATGTAGTACTTATACACAGTGGAGTACTATTTAGCCATGAAAAAGAATGAGATCCTGTCATTTGCAACAACATGGATGGAACTGGAGGTCATTATGTTAAGTGAAATAAGCCAGGCACAGAAAGACAAACATCGCATGTTCTCACTTATTTGCGGGATCTAAAAATCAAAACAATTGAACTCATGGACACAGAGAATAGGAAGATGGTTACCAGAGGCTGGGAAGGGTAGTGGGGGGTTGAGGGAAAAATGAGGATGGTTAATGGGTACCAAAAAAACTAGTTAGAAAGAATAAGACCTCGTATTTGATAGCACAACAGGGTGACTATAGTCAAAATAATTTAATTGTATATTTTAAAATATCTAAAAGAGTATAACTGGATTGTTTGCAACACAAAGGACAAATGCTTGAGAGAATGGATAGCCAATTTTCTACACATGCCTATGTGTAAAATATCTCTTGTACCCCATAAATATATACACCTATTATATACCCATAAAAATTAAAAAATTAAAAACACACAAAACAGAAATTTTAAAAACTCATCTATAATTCTACAGTGTAATTCTGTTCATATTTTAGAATGAAATCCTTATGAGTACATCCTTGTGCATCTGTATTTTCTTTGAAGTGAAACTCCAAAGTTAAAGGGCTGTATACTTTACATAATAACTATTTGTACTTGGTTAACTGTCTGTGTCCTTAGCCCATTTTTCTGTTATTTATCTTCTTTTTAAATGAGGATGTATTATACATTATCTTTTCAAATATGTTCATTTTTAATTCATCTGGAATTTATTTTGGTATAAAGTATGAAATGCAATCTTAAAATGTTGCATTTATTATTTTTTTCTAAACAGTGAAGCTGTTTTCCCCTTAGCATTTACCAAATAATGAAAACTCCTACCTTAAAAACATTACATTGTTTAATCCTCATAACCCTATGAGGTAGGTACACTTATTAGCTCACTTTACAGATAAGAAAACGGAGGCATAGAGAGGGCGAATAGTTTGGTAAAGAGTGGAGCCAGACTTTGTTTTAGAAGCTGTCAATAAAACGTGTTCATATTAAATCAATGTTGAGAAGATCACTTTATTCTATCCTTCAATCAATTGATTTCCATAAAGGAGCTAGAGCATTCTGTCTCCAGAGTCCCTACTTCCCTAAGGACAGCAATGCCAGCAGGCTGATACTGAATGGCTCCTCTTCTCTGAGAAGACATTTAAAATGTCAAATATATAATTTATCCAAAAAAATGTGAGAAGGAGGAAACGGAATTTTCTATCTTTCTCTGTATTTTACTTTTTCAACTAAAAACTTGTAAATCATATGAAGGAAAAATGAAGCAGAAAAAAAGTAAAAACTTGTAAATGATGATATTCAATGCTACATTATTAAAAACAAAATAAAACAATTGCATCTGTGGAAACAGAAGGGGTATAGTTCAAATCTTTTAGAGTCTGCCAAGAAGACCTCTCTGACTCCTTCCATACTGTCCTCATTCTATTACCCTTTCTTCGTAGGGATTTATTTTTATATTATCTCAAACTTTTCTCAGCACTACTGCCCTGATCTAAAATTTTCAGTGATTCTTTATGGCAATGAGATAATGTCCAAACATCTTTAAATGTCCTTCAAGGCCATTCACGATGCAGCCCCAACCTGCCTTTCAATCAGATTCTTTATCCTTCTTCAGGAGCAGGACCTATGCCGGATGTTACTTTTTCTAAGAGGCATCTTTTTTTATTCTTCTGTGTTTAATACAAAAAAGAGATCAAGAGAATTTTAGAACCCGGACCTTAAGGCTCATCTAGCCAAACCTGGACATTTTAAAGAAGAAACTGGTGCCAGACAGTGTAACTTGCTCCAGATCATATAACAAGATAGAGGTCACAATGCAGACCCCTACTTTTACATAATAACTATTTGTACTTGGCTGGATGTCCTGGAAGATTAATTTTTTTAAGACTAAACAATAACTATTTGTACTTGGTGAACTGTCTGTGTCCTTAGCCCATTTTTCTATTTTTTATCTTCTCTTTTAATGAAGATGTATTATATATTATCTTTGAAGAGCTTTGGTTTTTCTTCTCTTGGATCAGCCACCTCCTGAGCATTAAACTGTGCTTGGCAAATACTTGTTGGATGTGTTGTATAATTTGGGTGTATTTAATGCATTCTGTTGACTTGGCAGGAGTTGCATTTTTGTTGTGAATGAGTGAAATGAGCCACATGTGCATCGGTTGAGCAATTCCACAATTCCAAGGCAGTAAAAACAAGACAGAAGACTTGCTGGAAAGATCTGTGTATCATGGAGTCAGCTGTCCATTAACCATTAGAAGCCATGGGGAGGAAGGGACTTAGCAGGAGGGTTGGTGCATTTCAGCCCCACAGAGCTTGTCCCCTCAGCCCCCATTAGGAATGAGCTAAAGCCTTGTATGGGAAGGTCTGTCAGCAAAGGTTTCTCATTTTCACTGCCTGGTCCTGGTTATTATTAGATCACATTAGAATCCCAAATCATTAGAATTTGAGGAGACTTGAGAGATTCTTCATTTTTAGGTGAGGAAACTAAGGTCCAACAGTATAGGAACTGGTATACAGGATTCCTACATGGAAAAAAAATCACCAAGAAACCCCATGAATTACCTCAGCAGTGTTTTTTGTTTGTTTCATTTTGTTTTGTTTTTGTTTTAGAGACAGGGTCTTGGTCTGTCACCCAGGATGGGGTATAGTGGTGTGATCATAGCTCACTGCAGTCTCAAACTCCCAGGCTCAAGCAATCCTCCCACCTCAGCCTCCCAAGTAGCTGGGACCACAGGCACATGCCACCAGGCCTGGCTAATTTTTAATGTTTTTTTTTTTTTTTGTAGAGATGGGGTCTCGCCATGTTGGCCAGGCTGATCTCAAACTCCTGAGCTCAAGTAATCCTCCTGCCTTGGCCTCCCAAAGTACTGGGATTACAGGCATGAACTACCATGACCGGCCTCAGGAGTGGTTTTTAAACTGTGTCCTACAAGAGTGTTCTGGGCCCCCTTCAGGTTCTGCCAGGCCTATTGCCCACAGCTAGAGAGATTCTGTGTGGCTAGGGCTGTATCTCCCCACCCTTGCATTTCCATATCAACCAGAGCAGCAGCTGGAGGCTCTCAACTAGATTTCACAAGGTAAAAAATCAAGACTCTGCAGTTAAAAACCATCATCTAGGTTTAGGGCAAGGAACTCAGGTACTAGAAGATTAAGGGGAAACTCCACATCTGTCTCCCAGTCTCCTGTGGTCTATTATGTTGGGGGACCCCAAATACGCACACACAAATTTACAGCCCACTCATCTTACAGACATGGAATACCTTGGTTGGGGTGGGAGATGGGGAGGAATTATATCTTGTTGTTTTTAGTCTCCATGTCAATACTTCAACTTCCAGATGGGTTTGTTCATTTCTAAAGCAGTCATCTTACGTTCTCAATGGTGTTGCCAGTACTAAAGGCATTTCTGGAACACCTCTTTTTGAAACTGCCTTCAAATTGCAAAGCATAATTTTTTCAAATATTTACAACTGTAGCAAAGGTATGTCTTTTGAGTGTGAATTTTCATTTCAGAAACCATTCAGTTATGTTTGGAGTCATATGTGGTGAATAAGGTAGGGAACCCAAAGGTAAGATACTATGTGGCCCCTAAACAGGCTATCATTGAAAGCAACATGGCTGACTTCTTTGTGTATTTCTGAAAAACATCCCTAAAAAGGAACACCAGGAAGGCTTTATGATCTGGCTACAGCTTCTGAAAATAAAGGGAGCCTCTTAATCAGACCAACTTTAAAGATTAGCACTTGATACAAATGAAAAACATCTTGGCATAAGGGAAAGAGCAACTCATTTGAAGCCCAAGAAACCTGAGTTGGAATCCCATCTCCACCACTTTTCATCTGCAGGAGACCTGGAAGATTAGCTTAACATATCTGAAAACTTGGTGTCCTCACCTGTAAACTGTTTTCAATAATTGTCACCTTGCAGGATTGCTAGGAAAAAATGGATATACTGTGTGTAAAGCATCCAGCTCAGTTATTGGTCATAGCATACATTCAAAAAATGGTAAATATTACCATTACTGTTATGGCTAAGTCTCTCTAAAACTACCTGTAGTTTGCAGTTATAGGTTTTATGTTTGTGTGGGGTTTTTTTTTTGTAGTAACTAACCTTAGAGACAACAGTTATGTTTTTATTAGACTCATGTCTCCATGAAAGCAGAGGCTTTTGGCAAATATGTGAGATGTGCAAAAGCAAAGTGGATTTCTTGACAATTCCCTTCTCCCTTCCCTTTTTTATCTGCTTCTCCTTCTCCATAGCTTTGCATACCATTTAGTTTCTTAATGATTAGCATGTGCTCCATTTAGAATGAGCTTCTTTGTTTTTCAGGTGAGACTACAGCCAGAACTTAGCTGCTTTGCCCAAGACCACACACCCAAGTTTGATAATCCTAAATGCATCATCAATGTTGTCTAATTCCAAATTAAGTGATCTTGCCATTTTTTCACCCACTGCCTTTCCTACCAAGGTATTTCAGGGATCTAACATTCATTGAGTGTCTACTTTGTACACTTAACCAAAGCCATTCCATTCTCACACCCACAACCCTAAAAAGGTAGATATGATCACTATTCTTACTTTACAAAGGAAAAGGCTGACATTCAGAAAAGGCAAGCAATTTGCCCAATGACACACACTGGCCACGTTAGATGATATATTTGTCCAAACAGAAAAGCCTTCAGAGTCACAGGAATCAAAATATGAAGGTGGGATAACATCTATTCCCCCCATCCCCAACAATGACTGCCCAGCTCCAGGTGCATGGAGTATGCAGTCTTGGGTTCCTGCCAGGAAGGCCTCCCTTTCAGCCTTTTCCAGAACCAGATCTCAAGTCATAACTGGAGGGGAAAGAGCCACTGAATAATATGGGGACCCCAATGTTAGTCAGAAAGTCTAAAGCCTGAACTCTTTTAGAGAGGGTTTGTTCCCCTAAGTTACTCTGTGACATCAGGACCAGATACTCCATCCCCAGCATCCAGATGCCTGATGTCAGAGGCACCAACATTTTTAAGAACAAAATGATCAAGGATTAGGTGCACCACTCTGATTGTTTGGCCTTTGGCCTGCTCTTCATTAAAACAAGAGTTTGGACTAGAATTTCCTCCAGCTCTAACATGGAAGAAATAATGCCGCCACGTGTAGGGTGTCAGGAGATAGGGACTCTGAAATCAGACAGGTCTATTTAGGAAAGTTTACTTTGCTATCTTCTGGCCTTATGATTTAAGGGGAGCGACTTATTTTACAAGCCTCAGTTTCCTCGTCTGTATCAGAGAGATTACGTGAACCAATGCACACATAGCAATGGCTAGCACATAATAAGCACTTTAAACATGTTAACCAATGTACTTTTTCTATTAAAATTTAAGGAACACTCAAGGATACATTTACTACAAAAAGTCTCTCCTGCTGCCTCGATATAGCAGAATTTTTCTTTCCTACCTGATTTCTAGTTTCACTAGTGGACCACAGTGCTTTGGTGCTGCTTCTGAGAGGCACAGAATAAATGTCACACTTGCCTGGCAATGACTCTCCCACTCGAAACAGTTGATCCCACTGCACATCTCAATTAGATTAAGTTTCTGTAAACACTGCTCCCCTCACCCAGGCATGGTGGCTCATGTCTGTAATCCCAACATTTTGGGAGGCCGAGGCAGGGGAATCATTTGGGCCCAGGAGTTCGAGGCCAGCCTAAGCAACATAGTGAGACCCTTTCGCTACAAAAAATAGGAAAAATTAGCTGGGCATGGTGGCATGCACCTACAGTCCCAGCTACTTGGAAGACTCAGCCCTGGGGAGGTCAAGATTTCAGTGAGCTGTGATCGCACCACTACACTCCAGCAAGGCGACAGAGTGATAGCCTGTCTCAAAAACAATCAAGAGGCTGGGCGCGGTGGCTCACGCCTATAATCCCAGCACTTTGGGAGGCCGAGGCATGTGGATCATGAGGTCAGGATTTTGAGACCAGCATGACCAATGTGGTGAAACCCCGTCTCTATCAAAAATACAAAAAAAAAAAATTAGTCAGGCGTGGTGGCACGTGCCTGTAATCCCAGCTACGCAGGAGGGCTGAGGCAGGAGAATCACTTCAACCCGGGAGGCGGAGGTTTCAGTGAGCCAAGATCACACCACTGCACTCCAGCCTGGGTGACAGAGTGAGACTCCGTCTCAAAACAAACAAGAAAATAAAAAAACCCCACACTGGCCCCCTCATGGCACTCTTGCTTCAAATCTTTCAACCTTTTCTGTTTGGCTTTTGGAGCCTTCCACTGTCTGGCTTTTTCCTCTCTCTAAATCCTATCAATTGTGACATATCCAGTTCAATTTCTACCCCACTTTAAGGCCTTTTCAAGCTTTTGTTGGACTTATCTATGAATTCATATGATACTTAGCATCAATGCCATAATTGCTGCCTTGCTCTTGCTCACCTTAAACAGAATAGTAAACACCCCCATGCTAGATCTTGAAGATTTTTACAGATAGGGACAATGTCCTATAAGCCTATATACCCTTCTACCAGTCAGTACAGAACTGAGCACACAGAAAACAAGCAATATAGATTTCATTGATTGAGTAATTGGTTGTTTTTCCCTCTCTGGCCTCGGTGATTTCATATGTAAAATGACAGGACTGTGACAAGGACTGGAAGATCTTCCTCCAGCCTTGAGGCTCGATGGAGCTGTGATTAAAAGCCCCAAACTTTTATCAGAAAAAGATAATAAATTTTAGCCACTGGTGAAAATTGAAAGGATCATGTTCTGAGCTGCAACGTTGTTGATTTCATAATATTTCCCATCCCTCTGGAAACTCCAGAAAACTAAGTTACTATTCCCCCTTCCACCGAAAGTAAGAAAAATCAGAACCACTGAGATGAAACATCACACCACCCAGTTGGGAAGGTAACCTCAGGAAGTTTCTCCAGAATTCAGTACAAACATTTCAGATTTAATACTTTGCTAATGGGACATTATTGTGTTTCACACAATGAGTGGTGTAATGATGAATTACAGCTGCGGGACTGACTGCCCTCTGCTCAAACCCTTTCAGAAGGAGTACTGTGGGGCCTCCTTCTGGTCACAATGTAGGATATTGGAATTCATTCCTAGAGTTTGAGGACACCTGTTGAGACAGAGAGAAAGAGAGAGAGAGAGACAGAGAGAGGAGGAGAGAGAAAGAGAGAGAAGGAAAGAGAGAGAAACAGAGAGACAGAAGGAGAGAGAAAAACAGGAGAGAGAGAAAGAAAAAGAAAGAAAGGAAAAGAAAGAAAGAAAAGAAATGGAAAGAAAGAAGAGAAAGAGGAATGGAGGCAGACACCTTCCATCTGCAGTGCCCCAAGCGCTTATCATTGGTTTGGACACAGAGCAAGCATAAGTGTTTATTAAGACTTGGCCACTGAGGGCAGAGAGAAGTGAACTGGAGATGGGAATGGAGGGCAAGATGCAGGAGGTGCAGCAGGGCAAAGAAAATTAACTTCTCCCTTTCTTAAATTTAGCCCCAAGAGGGCTCCACTAACTTAAACCTATTTCAGTCTTATGAGAAATTTCTATTTCATTCTAATCATGACAGACCACTATACAAACTCAAATTGAGGGACTGCCTACAAAACACCTGACCACTAAAATGTCAAGGTCATGGAAAACAAGAAAAGACCGAGGAGCTGTCACAGACTGGAGACATGATGTGACTAAGATGATAAATACCATGGGGAATCCTGAATGGATCCTGGAAAAACTGATGAAATCTGAATAACTTTTATAGTTTGGTTAATAATATTGTATCAAGATTAATGCGTCACATTTGATAAATATTTTCTGGTTATATAAGATAAGGTTTCCTTCTAGACCCTCTCTTTCCTGTCAGCTTCTACATTCCTCTGAGAGCTCAACAGTGACTCTTAGAGGCCTCTAGCCGCAATAACAGCAAATCAGTTCAGCAATCTGAAAGAATGAGCCATTTGGACCTGCATTTTCCAAATTATTGAAACAAACTCTTTTGGCAGGCACTATTTTTAGAAAAGTAGTATTCATTTCTCTGCCATCTTATAAAGAGCATGGAAATCACCACTTAATTCTTCATTGTCCATACCTATTAGTATAAACATCTGCTTTTGGGCCAAGTGCAATGTCTCACACCTGCAATCCCAGCACTTTGGGAGGCTGAGGTGGAGGATCACTTAAGACCAGAAGTTCATCCTCAGATGCCCATCCAGAGAAGGGGAGCTGGTGCTATTCAATGGGCTCCAGATGGAAATGTGCCTGAGCTGCAGACTTCAGGGGAATACTTGAATAAGTTCAGTGAATTTTTGTCCTTCTCTTCATAGAAAGCTTGACTTGCTTTGTCATGTTTCCACGTGTAACCAAAGCCAGATGAAGAAATACAGACACTCTACCATACAAACTCTGTAACCTACACATCCAAATTGAGTAAAACCAAAGACTGCAGCTGGGGCCGCCAAGAAGCTGCAGGAAGAAGTAAGCAAGCAGGACCTCAGCAGGCAAATTTACTGGGGTCAGGAGCACAGGCTTGAGATAGGGCATCCCCAGCCCCCACCCCACTAAAAGACACCAGGTCCAGGAGATCTTAGGGCTATGCTTCTCAGCACCACGTGGTTGGCTCAACTCCTTTGCCCTGGCTGCAATGCCACCACATTACTGGCCCACATCCATGTGACGCTAAGGCAGAAAGATGGAATGTAAAGGGTATGGGATTTGGATACAGACAGACCTGGATTTGCGTTTTAACTCTTCCATGTATGCGCTGCTGCGCTTTATGCAAGTTACTGAACAGCTCTGTGCCTCGGTCTCCTCATTAACATGAAGATGATAGTGCTACTCTGCCACAGGGTTATTGTGAGGATTAAAGATAAGGCACACAAAGCTCTCAATAACAGTGCGTAGGACATAGTAGTCATGGCAACCAATAAATGGTAGCTGTTTTTCTCTGTTCTGTGTGAAAAAAGCTGGACACAAAAGGTCACATATTGTATGATTTCATTTATATGAAATGTCCAGAACAGATAAATCCATAGAGACAGAAAGTAGATTAGTGGTTGCCAAGGGCTGAGTGGAGGGTGACTGCTAATGGATACAGAGTTTCTTTTAGGGGTGATGAAAATGTTCTAAAATTAGACAGTGGTGATGGCTGTGCAACATAGTGGACATACAAAAATCACTGAATTGTACAAAGTATACAGTTGTAAATTTTATGGCGATGTGTATTATTTCTTAATCAAATAATAATTAAAATGATTAACAAGGTAAGTTTTATGGTATGTGAATTACGTCTTAACTAGAATTTTTAAATGACCTATACTTGTTTGTGAATATGAATAGAAATAAATATTTCTAAAATGTGGATAATAGTAGTACCTGACTCATAGGGTTTTTGTGAAAATGAGTTGATTTTTAAAAAATATTTAGACTAATGCTGACACACTATAAAAGCTCAATAAATGTCAGTTATAATTATTACTGTTATTGTCATTGTCATGGTCATCATCATTTTCATCACAGGGAGCATAGTTTAATAGTCAAGATCAATGGGGTTTGAGTTAAACAGACCTGGTTTAAAATCTGATTTCATACTTGGCAGTATATATTATAATAATTAATGATGTAGCTACTGGCTTCAGACTATCTTCATCAAAATCCTCACTCCACCATTTACCATTTGATTTTAGGCAAGTCTTCATCTTCAACCCCTCTGTGCCTCAGTTTCTTCATCTGTAAAATGGGGGTGATAATAGTTCATACCTAATGTCATGCCATGAAAATCGATTGATGTATCCATTAGAATGCTGATATGATTTGGCTCTGTGTCCCCACCCAAATCTCAAGTTGAATTGTAATTCCCAGTATTGGGGAGGGACCTGGTGGGAGGTGATTAGATCATGGGGGCGGATTTCCCCCTTGCTGTTCTCTTGATAGTGAGTTCTCATGAGATCTGATGGTTTAAAAGCGTGTAGTGCTTCCCCCTTCGCTCTCTGTTCCTCCTGCTCTGCCATGTGAAGAAGGTGCTTGCTTCTCCTTCAACTTCTGCCATGATTGTAAGCTTCCTGAGGCCTTCCCAGCCATGCTTCCTGTCCAGCCTGTGGAACTGTGAGTTCATTAAACCTCTTTTCTTCATAAATTACCCAGTCTCAGGTAGTTCTTTATAGCAGTGTGGGAACAGACTAATACAGGTGCTTTTGGCTTCAGGTTTCAGAAACCTGGCTCAATTCGTCTGAAACCAAATAGGAAAAAAAGAAGGGATAGGAAAGAGAAAATAATTAATTGAGAAAACACAATACAAATCAAGAAGGGAAGGAGAAAGAAAAAGAAAGGAGAGAGAAAGACAGAGAAGGGTTTAGAGAGGTTTATTTTCAGTAGCCATTAGTTTTGGGATGCTTCCCAGAGACTTCTCTGCCCAAATTTTCTTCCTGGGTTTCTAAGATTATTCTTCTTATGTTTTTAGTATAAACTGCTTCAAACTCTTTTGGTAATAGGCAGGCACTAAATAAAACAATACTACCTTGCCTTATAGGCTTGTTGTTATCTCTGCTCTCTAGGAGTATAAATCTCATGGAGAAGACTGTGCAAAAAAAATTTTTTTTTTTGAGACAGAGTTTCACTCTTGTTGCCCAGGCTGGAGTGCAATGGTGCAATCTTGGCTCACTGCAACCTCCACCTCCTGGGTTCAAGCGATTCTCCTGCTTCAGCCTCCCAAGTAGCTAGGACTATAGGCATGCACCACCATGCCCGGCTAATTTTTATTTTTAGTAGAGACAGGGTTTCGCCATTTTGCATAGACTGGTCTCAAACTCCTGCTTCAGCCTCCCGAGTAGCTGGGATTACAGGCGCCCGCCACCACACCCAGCTAATTTTTTTTGTATTTTTAGTAGAGACAGGGTTTCATCATGTTGGCCAGGCTGGTATCGAACTCCTGACCTCAGGTGAGCCGCCCGCCTCAGCCTCCCAAAGTGTTGGGATTACAGGCGTGAGCCACTGCGGCTGGCACAAAATATTTTAACAATGTAACATTTCTGCCCAGTCAATGGGATCATTCGGAAAGGCATTTTGCTTCTTTTTTCTTTTTTAAGCAACAGGGTCTTGCTCTGTCATCCAGGCTGGAGCACAGTGGTACGATCATAGCTCACTACAGCCTCAACCTCTTGGGCTCAAGGGATTCTCTCACCTCAGCCTCCCAAGTAGCTGGGACTACAGGCACATGCCACCAAGCCCAGCTAATTTTTCTATTTTTTGTAGAGATTGGATCTCACTATACTGTCCAGACTGGTCTCAAACTCTTGGCCTCAAGCCATCCTCCTACCTTGGCCTCCCAGAGTGCTGGAATTGCAGGTGTGAGCCACCTCGCCCAGGATAGAATGGCATTTTGAGTAGGCCAATATGTGCAGACATATGCCCTAAAAGGTTTGGTTTCATTGAAGTAATACAGCAGGAAGCCAGGAACCAAAGCCTTGAATCAGAGATGAGATTCCATCTCTGGGCCTTTCATAACCATGCATGGCTCCAAATTCCCCATCACCAAAACAGAAAATTAAAGCAGAATGTACTCTCCAGGTGGCCCTCTAAGTAGGAAATAAAATCTTATCACCCTACTTATGATTATAGAATCAAAGATTGGATGGGTCTTTAGGAAAGATGAACTTATTTTCCAGATATGCAGACAGGGACCCTGAAACTCAGCGAGGGCAGCAGACCGGCTGGGTTCCAACAGGGTTGAACCTACTTTCTAGCCTTGTATTCTACTGTGATATAATACAGACTGATGAATTTGTTTCTCTTTGTCTCTTTCTGACCATCAAAGCAACTGATTTCTACATGAGAGAAGAATATACATGCTGAGAGAAGAGGATCACCTGGAGATATGTACCAATTCTGTGTCCCAGTGAGAAATTTACAAGTATCTGTATAGCTCTTAATGTAGAGATTGGTACTTATCTAACAATGGAAGTTCAAGTTTCTAACTGCTTTCCTTTTGGCCTAATTTGATAAGGATCAGATTAGCAAATCAGAGCAAAGGTGAGATGGGGATGTAAATATTCATTGGCTTCTGACATTTCTAAGCAAGAAAGCCAAGGACTTCTACCAAGCCTGGAGATTGTTTCTCTTAAGATGCCGGGAGGGTATGCTAGTCCAGGCTCCAAGAAACACTGACCCATGTGCCATTTTGAAAAGCCCATCAGATCCACACAATCACAGTAAGAGAAGAACGTTTATTTCTATCCCCTTTGGCTACTGCCTCATTTCCATTCAACCTAGAAAGAGGTAAAAAAAAAAAAAAAAAAAAAAAAAAAATCGGCTATGCTGTGATCTCACTGCGTTGAGTATGGTAGCTTTCACAGGAGTCTTTACCTTATTAAGATGGGTCGGGTAAGGATTGAAATTATCCCAGCTTTCCTCTCTATCACACATTCAATTCAACACTGTGATGAGTTTTCATAAAGGTTTTATAATTCTCAGTGGTATGGTGAATAGCCTTTGGCCTTTAAATCAAATGACAGAAAAAAGTTTCTTCAGGCAGAAAAAATGAAGATTCTATTTCTGTTCCTAGATTTAGTTATCAGTCACCTGGTTTCACATTAAACTTTGATGATAAGTTATTCAATAGCCATGATATCAGAAGTTCTGCTGGCCAGAACAAACTGCCAGTAACTACTCGCATGACTGAGAAAGCACTGCTTCTCATTTCCCCTTTCTTTTGCCCAGGAGATTGTGGTTGTGATCTCCCAGTCCTGCTGGCTCCAATGCCTGCCTGCCTGCCGTTTTTCTTCCTTCCTTCCTAACCAAGTTCTATCTTCCTAATAAGAATACACTAGCATTCCATTAAGAGAGCCAGACAGAGAGAGAGTGAGAGGTAGAGAGAGAAAGAGAGAGGAAGGTTACCAGATTAAAGTTTTTATCAGACGATATCTCCCAAGCAACCTAAAGCTTTTAGTCTGTCAGTCCCTTCCTCACATCTCCAAAGGGCCAGGAGGGAAGGAAGCCCTTCCTACAGCATATTGTGGAACTGGCCCAGCCCAATGCACTTTTAATTCCTCAGGAATAGCATCACTGTCCCCGTTGTTTCCCTGGGAGGTCATTCTACTGCCTATAGCTTCCACTCTACTATGGAATTAATTGTTTCTCCACCAAATTCATAAGTTGAAACCCTAATCCCCAATACGACTGTATTTGGAGATAGGGTTTACAAGGAGGTAATTAAGGTTAAATGAAGTCATACAGTTATTTAACCTCAATTAAATCAGGGCAGGTCCTTAAAAGAAGAGATAACAGAGCTCTTCTTCTTGCTCTTCTTCTTTCTTTTTCCTTTTCTTATTTTTCTTTTTTCTTTCTTTTTTTGTTTTTTTCATTCTTTTTCTTCTTTGCTCACAAAGAAGAGACTATATGAGGACACAGCAAGAAAGCAGCCATCTGTGAGCCAAGATTGGAACCCTCACCAGAACCAAATCAGCCAGCACCTTGATCTTGGACTTCCAGCCTCCAGAACATGAGAGGATAAATGTCTGTTGTTTAAGCCACCTAGTCTGTGATATTTTGTTATGGAAGCCTGAGCAAACTAAGACACACTTCAATTCCTTTCTGCCCATTTCCTTCTCTGTAGTGCCTTCTTACTGCCTGCAAATTACTCTTTGGGGACTTACAGTCCTGAAGCAGAGGCACATTCCCACTTCTCCTAAACAGCAGCTTCCCTGAGCTACACATATTAAATTCTTTTAAGCTCACCTCATTTTTTCAATGATTTTTAAGGCTCTTCTCCATACTTTGTCCAATTTCAAGTAGTACATTACTTATATGGATGACAAATTTCAACTCCATAAACCATCTTGCATGAACAACTACAAGATATAAAAACTCAAACACTCACTGTATCCTCCAGTATGAGTGCATTTGTGCATATGTGCACATAACGCTGGTTTGTTATATATATTTCATGAGTGTCTTAGTCTGTTTTCTGCTGCTATAACAGAATACCACAGACTAGGTAATTTATAAAGAATAGAAGTTTATTTTGCTTATGGTTCCAGAGGCTGGGAAGTCCAAGAGGCTGGTGCTAGCATCTGGTGAAGGCCTTCATGCTTTGTTATCCCACAGCAGAAGGCAGAGGTGAAACCAGTGCTCAAGGCAGAGGGAGGCACCAGGGGCTGAACTCACTTTATAACAACCCACTGTCATAATAACTGACCTGCTTCCATGATAATGACATTAATCTAGTCATGAGAGCAGAGCCAATCACCTCTTATCAGGTCCCAACTCCCAACACTCCTGCATTGGGAATTAAGTTTCCAACACATGAATTTTGAGGGGGACACATTCAAACCATAGCAAAGGGTAAAGGTAAAACATTATGGCCATTTAGGTTTCCTTGATTCTACCCAATTATAAATACCAAGAGAAACCTGAGTTCCACTTCCCCAATCTCATCCAAATATTTCTCTTCAATGAGATTTTGAAAACCTATCCAGGGATTGGTTAAAGATGGCAAAATATAAAAGAAATCAACTTCCTGCATATTTCCAATGGTGAATTTGTTCCATTAAAAGGCGTCAAATGGGAGCATGTACAGGATGATTATTTCTCAGAGTCCTGTGGGAGAAAGCAAGCTGGGGATTCTGTTCATGTTTCCTGCATTTGGACAGAGGCCCTGCTGGTAAGTTCCTCTGCAAGAGATGAACAGAATCCAGTGTTATCTAAATGTCAGACGGGATCATTCTAGAGAGTAGCCCCTTAAACTCTCTAAGAAGAGGAGGTTAAATTCTCTGTCAAAACTTCCATACATTCCACTCCCTCTTCCTCAAAGGAAACCTCAGAGCTGAGGTACCAAAGTGACAGCAAACAAACAGAAGGCCATAAATGCTACCTGCTTCTGTAGCACTGCAGTTTGTGCATAGACAATGAGCCACAATAACACTGACAGCAGCCCAGCTCTCTCCTTGTTCATTTTGGATGCAGGCCCTCATAGGCATAAATCGCTGTTACATAGGTCCACTGTGCATTTTAGCAATTTTAGGTGTTAGATATTTCAAGTGATTTTATGCCAGTGACAAGGGGTGGGGTAAGCAACTGTCTATGGAATAGAGGTTGTGAAGAGGCGGCCACTTCAGGTTCCCCCTGGTGCACAGACACCCAGAGCCCTGTAGGCGGAGACACAGAGCTGTCCATCTGAGCAAGCAGCGCTTTGTTCTTATTTGTCTTCCCCACAAAATACGTACACTTAGCATTGCGACTTTTCCTTTCCATTTGCATCTGTGAATCCTAGGGAGAAATCATAAATATCTGCATGTATCTATCCATGCATTTAAATAAATGAAAGTTGGCAGTGGCTTTCTTTTTTCCATTTCAATTGATAGGCACAATGCATAAAAAGGGAATTAGTGTTGATCTTATTTTATCAAAGCAATTTCAAGAAATCTTTTAGTCAAAGAAGAAAATCAGCTATTTCTTAACACTGTGTTAAGTGGTAATTCATGCACCTGCGGAAATACAATGACCACACCTGCCATTGTGCTTTGGGCCAGACCTTGCTTGGAGAACATTTAAAGGGCAGTGTGTTTATTCTACCTGCATATGAGGAGGCACACAGATGCCCGCATGTAACACATCACAGTCAGAAATTCTATCACATGCAACCTGGGCATGGGATGGGACCATCTATGTACAGGTGCCAGCTCTGCCTGGAGCCAGGTAGAGAGACCAGATGGCTGCTGGGAGGGTTCCTGCCTCTCCTGATGCTCTGGACACACCAGATGGGAAAATACTAGCAAATACGCATGCCGTTTTCTCTGGACATGTTGATGCCTGAATAAATGTCCTCCTTTTAAGCAGCGTACTAGTTTCCTGTGGCTACCGTAACAAATTACCACAAACTTGATAGATTAAAACAACCAAAATTTATTTTCTCATAGCTCTGGGGGCCAGACGTCCAAAATCAAGGTGTCAGCAGGGCCATGCTCCCTCTGAAATCTCTAGGAGAGAATCCCTCCTTGCCCCATTCAGCTTATGGTGGCCCCAGACATTCCTCGGTTTCTGGTAACCTAACTCCAGTCTCTGCCTCTATCTTCACACAGCCTTCTCTACTGTGTCTCTGTGTCTCAATCTTCCCTCTCCTTTCTCTCATACAGACACCAATCATTAGATTTACGGCCCACTCTCAATCCAGAATAACCTCATCTTAACTTAGTTACCTCTGCAAAGACCCTGTGTCCACATAAAGTGACATTCATAGGTACTGGGGGCCAGAACTTGGACATATATTTTGGGGGGACACAATTCAACCCACTACAGGCAGCATATCCAAGATGTCTTGTGGCACACTGACTTGTTACAAATTGCAGCCATCCCCAAATCATTTTCCTTTTCTTTTCTTCATACCCCAGGAACTAGAACTACAAATAGAAACTTCAGTGAAAACATGGCGTGCTCACAGGTTTTGACTTAGAAGCAGGGAGGAAAGGCATTTATAAGACCCTGCAATCTGGACACTATGCTAGCCTGGAAACTCCACACTTGTTCTCTTCCAATCCTGTAAAATAAGGATTGCTGTCACCAGACTGCAGATGAGGTTACTGTGGCCCAGAGTAACCCACCCAAGGTCTCCCAGCAATCTCTGGGCAGGCCCAGGTGTGGAGACTGTGTCTATCTGACTACACAGCCTCATGCACTGTGTGTATGAGATTGTAGGGACAGAGTCAGAATATATGGCTACAACATGGCAGCATTTGGAGAGCTCTTGGGAGGGCCCAGACCATTCCCCCGACTAAGCTGCCTTACCAGCTTGTTAGTGCCTGTTTTTCCTTCACAGGGAACAGCCCCTTCCATTTTATAAATACACGTAAGGATGTAACCCAGAGAGGAGTAGTACCTTCTCTGAAATACATACCAAAAGTAGACCAGGTCCTTTTCAGAGGCAGATTTGATCAGAAGAAGAAAACATAGAAGACAGCAAGGGCTGCTAGCAGACCCCCCTGAGAAAGAGGTTGAAGGCATCTAAAGATAGAAAATTGTGCAGTCCACTATCTTAGCTCCAGCAGCAGTAACAAATTTTCAGAGACTGGGTGGCTTAAATAACAAACATTTATTTATCAGTTCTGGAAGACCAAGATCTAAGTGCCAACTTACTTGGTTACTGGTGAGGGCTCTCTTCCTGGTTTGCAGATGGTCATCTTCTTTTATCCTCATATGGTGCAGAGAGGAAGCCAGTTCTCTCGTGTCTGTTCTTTTTCTTTTTGAGAATATGCTATTTTAAAATTTTTATGGGTACATAATAGTTGTACATATTTATGGAATACATGTGTTACAAGTATATAATGTGTAATGATCAAATCAGTGTAATTGGGATATTCATCACCTTAAACATTTATCATTTATTTGTGTTGAGAACATTCCAAATCCACTTCTATAATTATTTTGAAGTATACGATAAATTACTGTTAACTATAGTTGCCCTATTGTGCTACCAGATCAGTAGATCTTATTCCTACTATCTAACTGTATTTTCGTATCAATTTTTTAAACGGGCACTTATCCCATCATGAGGGCTCCATTGTCATGACCTAATTACTTCCCAAAGGCCCCACCTCCTAATACCATCACATTGGGGATTAGGGTTTCAACATATAAATTCTGGAGAGACACAAACATTCCATCCATTGCAGTATGCCTGGAGCAGCCAGCTTCCTCTGTCTGATCAATTCTGTGTGGGTATCTGACAGCTAGGTGATTCTGGATCAATCAGGCACCTCTATTTGTCTCAGGTTCCTATCTGTAACACAGAGCGAGAATAAACATTCCCACCTATCGAGGATCTGGAATGGCTTCCCTGGAACTCCTTGATGCTGGCTTGGGCAATGTTTTACATGGAAACAAACACAAGTCACATACTTTGATCCAGGAGACAAATTGAAATTAGGCCATCAAAATAAAACCAGAAGGGAATCTTCTGAAAAAGAAATTAAATGAATAAATATTTTCTCTAAATAGAAAAGTAATGAGCACGGTGTATAGAGAAAACCATGCCAATTCTAAGAAATAAGTTAATATATTCTTTAGACAGAACCAGGAAATCAGAGAAATATAAAGTCCCAGCGCAAAAACGTGCAAGATAATTTGATAAACCATTCCCTGACAAGAAAGTAACTACACTTAGAACAGCAAGAAGAAATCTAAGGGAATGGAGCAAAAGCAAACAGGCTAAAACAAAGCAAGAGGGATTGTGGTGAGATACATGGAAGAACTTCCAGACCGTTATAGGAATGAGGACTAAGCTCTGTTTTTGTTTTTGTTTTTGTTTTAATCTTGCCCAAATTCCTTTCTAAGGGGTCTGGGGAGTCATGCCCTACAAACCATAAATTCTCTCATCAGATGGGTTTTATTTAACCATGTATATCATGGCTTACTTTTCAATCTGATTCTGACATAACAAGGGAAAAAGTCAAAATGTTTTACCCCAAAATATATTTCCTTGCCATACCTTGGAATTGCCCTGCAAAGTCTCTTGTAGGAAAAATCCGCCTTCTATAGAGAATCCCTTTCCCCCTTTGTTTTCCTTCCTTCCTTTCCAGATCCAGGAGATAATCAACTAAGAGCCAAGCACCCTTTTAAGTCCGATAAGAAACACTTTACAACTTGCTCTCTCTGAAGTCTACTATCTGAGAGCTTCCTCTGCACAATAAAACTTGGTCTCCACAATCCTTTACCTTACCCTGAACATTTCCTTTGATCCTGGGTCTTCAGATAAACTCAGCTAATTGTCAACCAGAAAATGTTTACATTTACGTATAGCCTGGAAGCCTTCCCCATTTTGAGTTGTCCTGCCTTTCTGAATGAAACCAATGTATTTCTTAAATGTATTTGATTGATGTCTCATGCCTCCCTAAAATACATAAAACCAAGCTGTACCCTGACCACCTTGGGCACATGTTCTCAAGACCTTCTGAGGGCTGTGTCACGGGCCATGGTCACTCATATTTGGCTCAGAATAAATCTCTTACAATATTTTAAAGAGTTTGACTCTTTTCGTCAACAGGTATAAACTGTTGATCCAAGGAGGTATGGAATCTATTACCCACAGATATTCAGAAAAATGATACATATTTCTATTTAGTTTCCTAACTGCACAATAGAGGGAGTTTTCTGATACTCGGAAACTTGTAAGAGAAAAAAAAATAACTTTTTAATGTACATTTGATCCCCCAAAAAATGTTTTTCATGGTTTTATATAATAATGACTACTATTTTCCTAGTGTTACAGTAATAAGTATATTATGATGATGATTATCATTCCATAGAAAGATTTACTAATATTTTTAGAACATCTCTTGGGTGCCACATACTTTTCACATGTGAACACACATAACCCACCTGTAAGGAATAAGGAACCTGAGATGCAGTGCATTCGAGTAATCTTTCTATATCATGTGGCTAATCGGTGATATGACAGGAATTCAAAGCAAGTTTGACTGATTTCAAAGCCCAAATTCTTACCACTACACTGAACTGCCTGAAATGTACATGGTTTACATTTACAGGTTATGCTCTCTCAAGCATTCTCTAAGCTCCTGAAAGGCAGAGGCTCTGTATTTGGCCTCTGTCTTTCCCACATCTGCCCCTCCTCATCTAATCAGCCAGCCGATCTTGTTTCTCCTCCTTCTAAATATGTTTTGAAGGCATTAATTTCTCTACCTCATCAACTCTATTACCTTCCAGCCAGCCACCACCGTCCTTTATAAGAAGCATGAAGACCACTAACTACCTTGCTCTGCCTCCAGGCTTGCCTTTTCATAGTCAACTTTTTGTAGCTAGAGACAGCTTTCTAAAATGCAAATCTGATCAGGTTGTGCTCTTCCCTACAACTCTTCAATGGTTTCACATTGCCTCCTGCAATGGACTGCATGCTTGCATCCCCTCAAGTTCCTATGTTGAAATCCTAAACCCGCATGTGATGGTATTAGGAGGTAAGGCCTTTGGGAGGGGATTAGGTGATGAGAATGGTGCCCTCATGGATGGGATTAATGTCCTTATAAAAGGGACCCCAGAGAGCTCTCTCATGCCCTTTCCACCATGTAAGGATGCAAAAAGAAGTCAGCAGTCTGCAATCGGAAAAAGGTCCTCAGCAAAACCATGCTGACACCCTGATTTCAGATTTCCAGTCTCCAGAGCTGTAAGAAAAAAATTATGTTGTTTAAAAGCCACCCACGCTATGATATTTTGTTATAACAGCCCAAGGTGACTAAGACACCTCCCAATGCTCTCTACACTCATAATACAGTTCCCAACTTTTGCTCTGCTGTCCTGCCAGGAAGGACATTGCCCACCAGCTTCACCAGGCTAACTCCTACCTGTTGTATGCAGTTCCCCCAGTTTCAGTTTAGATGCCACCTTCTCCTCCTCCTTGATTGCCTATGGCTGCCCTTGAGACTCCTTCTGTATACTCCTATGGCACCCTATGCAGGTCCCTTATAGTGCTCACCAAACTGTGTCACATATATGGCTGTTGATTTGTTTCCTCCATGACAGGACTAAAGCTATTCAAAAGCAGTGACTGTGACCTTTTCATAAATGACTTCCCAGCAATTCAAAAGTCAAGTTCCCAATAACTGTATGAATGAAAAAAAATGTATGGTAAGGTCTGGACTCAAAATCAGTGCTTAATAACTGCTCCCTGGCTAAATAAATGCATAGGAGAGACTGTGCAGGACCTGCTCCAGATTAACTGACCTGCAACACAAGGATTCTCTTCTCTCTAGGCACTCAAACTTGACTTCAGACAGCAGAGTGGAAGGCCTTACTAGGGCTTCCAGAAATAGAGGATGGGAAATGTTACTCCTTTGAAAGCAGGAAAAGAATGATCTGTGGTTGCTAGGTCGTTCTTCCTGTTCTTGTGTCCCAAACTGCTTTTCTTGAATAATTCAGGCTTTTTGTTAGTCACCATAAACAAATGTGACAACAGATTAATTTTGATTTGAGGTTATGAAACAAAGCAAGGGGGTATTGGTACATAATGTCCACTTTGATGTCACAGCCCAAGGATAAGGAGGATAATTTAATTTGTTTTCTCTGGACGTTCAGCTCCCCCAAGGGAAGAAATATTCAACCTTAGGGCATCTTCTCCATCAGTTGTTTTTCTCTGGCTCTTCCTGTTCCCTGAGTGGAGAGGGGAGGTGAGCATTTGTCCTTTAAAGACTGTTAGATAATGTTGTTGGGAATGTAAGAGAGTTGGCAGAGAGGGACAGAGGACAAGCAGTGCTTTTAAAGGGAAAAAAACCATATGTTCCACTTTGATTTCATAAGTGTCTCAGGATGTGTCTTTAAGAAAAGGAAAGAAATGGCAATTTATATGGTCATTTAGATACTGCAATTGCCTGTCTTTGTGTGTGTAAAGAGGTTCTGTGGAGGCAGATGACTGGGAGTTCAGCATAGCTGTCCACATGCCCCCTCTAAAGAAATTTGTATGTTCGTTGGTCTGATCCTGACCCTCAGTGGTTCCCTGTGTCGCGCTCCTTAACCTGCATTAGAAGCTCTGGGCCATTAGAAATTCGCAAGGTGAATAGAACAGCAAGAAGAGAAGATCCAGCAATAGGGGAGGGGGTAACTGCAAATACAACAGCAAAAGCATGAGGAGGAGAACAGATATCCAGGAATTAGCAATGATTTTAAAAAATTGAAATACTATATACAAAATAAACAAAATATTAGGTGACCAAACTTATTTACTAAACTGAATGACTGAGGTGTTCTGAAGGTCTTGCTAGTTCTTCAAGTAACACAAACAAACCCATTGCCTCTTAGGCTAATTATGTGGGAAAATGTTATTCTCTTAACAATGCATCCTTTTTATTAAACAGCATATAAGCAGATTTTTATTTTAAAAAAATTCCTTTCTGACAACCTTATTTTTTTCATTTTAGGCTATGTTTTCTTGTCCAGCATATTTGTGCTTGTGAATTTTTACCACAACTACAACCACAGGCTTAGAGACAGAAATTTTTTTCTAATTTTTTAATATATATTTTTAATTGACACGTAATAATTGTACATATTTGTGCAGTACAATGTGAAATTTTGATACATGTATACAATGTATAATGATCAAATCAGGGTAATAGCATATTCATCACCCAAACTTTTGTTATTTCTTCTTGTGGTAACATTCAAAATCATCTCTTTGCCGGGCGTGGTGGCTCACACCTGTAATCCCAGCACTTTGGGAGGCCGAGGTGGGTGGATCACGAGGTCAGGAGTTCGAGACCAGCCTGGCCAATATAGTGAAACCCCGTCTCTACTAAAAAATACAAAAACTAACCGGGAATGGTGGCATATGCCCATAGTCCCAGCTACTCAGGAGGCTGAGGCAGGAGAATCACTTGAACTTGGGAGGCGGAGGTTGCAGTGAGCCGAGATGGCACCACTGCACTCCAGCCTGGGCGACAGAGTGAGACTTCATCTCAAAAAAAACAAAGAACAAGCAAAAAACAAACAAACAAAAATTGTCTCTTCTAGCTATAAGGAAAAATACAGTATTTTACAGTAGGCACCCTACAAGGCTATAGAACACTAGAACTTATTTCTCCTATCTAGCTATAACTTTGTATCCATTAAACAGCCTCTCCCCAACCTCCCCTTACCCTTACCCTTCCCAGCCTCTAATACTCACAATTCTACTCTCTACTTCTACTTCTGTTCTCAATCTCTCAATTCAACTCCTATGAGCTAACTTTTTTAGCTCCCACATGTGAGTGAGAACATGTGGTATTTATCTTTCTGTGCCAGACTTATTTTACTTAACATGATGTCCTCCAGGTTAATCCATGTTGCTGCATATGACAGGATTTCATTATTTTTATGGCTGAATAGTATTCTATTGAATATGTATACCACATTTTCTTTATCCATTCATCCACTGATGGACACTTAAGTTGATTCCATATCTTAGCTATTGTGAATAGTGCTACAATGAACATGGAAGTGCAGATATCTCTTCAACATGCTTATTTCACTTCCTATGGATATATACCCAGTAGTGGGATTGCTAGATCATATGGTAGGTCTATTTTTAGCTTTTTGAGGAACCTCCAAGCTGTTCTCCATAGAGACTGTACTAATTTACATTCCCACCCACAGTGTATGAGGGTTCCCTTTTCTCCACATCCTCGCCAGTATTTTTTATTTTTATTTTTTTCTCTTTTTTGTAATAGCCATTCTAACTGTGGTAAAGTGATATTTCATTGTGATTTTAATTTGCATTTCCCTGATGAATAGTGGGGTTGAGCTTTTTTTCACATGTGTTGGCTATTTGTTCATCTTCTTTTGAGAAATGTCTATTCAGATCTTTTGTCCATTTTTTAATTGGATTATTTGGGTTTTGCTGTTATTTGAGTTCCTTGTATATTCTGGATATTGATCCCTTATCAGATAAATAGGTTGCAAATATTTTCTTCCATTTTTCAAGTTGTCTCTTAACTCTGTTCATGGTTTCCTTTGCTGTGCAGAAGCTTTTTGGTTTGATATAATCCCATTTGTCTATTTTTGCTTTTGTTGCCTGTGCTTTTGAGGTCTTAACCATAAAATCTTTGTCCAAACTAATATCCTGAAACATTTCCTCTATTTTTTCTAGTAATTTTGAGTTTCAGATCTCGTATTTAATTCTCTAATTTATTTTGTGTATGGTGAGAAATTGGGGTCTAGTTTCATTCTTTTGCACATGGATATCCACTTTTCCCAGCACCATTTATCAAAGAGACTGTTCTTTCCCCAATGTATGTTCTTGGCACCTTTGTCAAAAATGAATTCACTGTAGATGTATGGATTTTCTAGGTTCCCTACTCTGTTCCATGGGTCTGTGTGTCCATTTTTATGCCAATACCATGCTGTTTTGGTTACTATGGCTTGTAGTATATTTTGAAGTCAGGTGGTGTGATGCCTCCAGTTTTGTACTTTTTGACCAAGCTCGCTTTAGCTATCTCAGGTCTTTGTGGTTCCATATAAATTTTAGGATTGCTTTTTCTATTTCTCTGAAGAATGTCATTGGTATTTTAGTAGAGATTTCATTGAATCTGTAGATGGCGTTGAGTAGTATAGTCATTTTAACAATATTTATTCTTCCAATCTATGAACATAGAATGTCTTTCCTTTTTTGTGTGTGTCTTCTTCGGTTTATTTTATTTATTTATTTATTTATTTATTTATTTTTGTTCCTCATGTCCAGTGGTGCTGGATTCCTTTTTTTTTTTTTTTTTTTTTTTTTTTGTCAGTGTTTTACAGTTTACATTGTAGAGATCTTTCACCTCCTTGGTTAAAGTTATTCCTAGGCGGTTTTTTTTTTTTTTGTATCTATTGTAAATGGAATTGCTTTCTTGATTTCTCTTTCAGCTAGTTTGTTATTGGTGTACAGAAATGCTACTGATTTTTGTATGTTGGTTTTTTAATCCTGCAACTTTACTGAATTCATTCATCAGTTCTAAGAGTCTTTTGGTGGAATCTTTAGTTTTTCAATATATAAGATCATGCTGTCTGCTAACAGGGACAATTTTATTTCCTCCTTTACACTTTGGTTGCCTTTTTATTTCTTTCTTTTGCGTAATTGTTCTGGCTAGGGCTTCCTAAAGTGCTATGCTGAATAAGAGTGGTAAAAGTGGGCGTTCTTGTCCTGTACCAGTTCTCAGAGAGAAAACTTTCAACTTTTCCACATTCAGTATAATGTTGGCTGTGGGGTATTGTGTTTAGGTACATTCCTTCTGTACTTAATTTATTGAATGTTTAGGTACATTCCTTCTGTACCTAATTTGTTGAGAATTTTTATCTTGAATGGATGTTGAATCTTATCAGATGCTTTTCCTGCATGTATTGAGATAATATGGTTTTTGTCCTTTATTCTGTTCATGTTTATAGAGTTGCACATGTTAAACCATCCTGGCATCCCTGGAATAAATCCCACATGATCATGATATATAATCTTTTTGATGTGCTATTGGATTCAGTTTGCTAAGATTCTGTTAAGGATTTTTGCATATATGTTCATCAGGGATATTGTCCTATAGTTTTATTTTGTTGTTGTTGTGTCCTTGTCTGGTTTTGGTATCAGGGTAATGCTAGCCTCTGAATAAGTTTGGAAGAATTCCCTACTCTTCAATTTTTTGGAATAGTTTGTGAAGAATTGGTGTTAATTCTTCTTTGAAAGTTTGGTAGAATTCAGAGGTGAAGCCATCTAGTCCTGCAGCTTTCTTTGTTTGGAAACTTTTTATTACCGACTCAATTTCACTATTTGTTATTGGTCTGTTCAGATTTTCTATTTCTTCCTGGTTTAATCTTGGTAGGTTGAACGTGTCCAGGAATTTATCCATTTCCTCTACGTTTTCCAATTTGTTGGCATAGAGTTGTTCATAATAGTCTCTAATGATCCTTTGTATTTCTGTGGTAGCAGTTGTAATGTCTCCTTTTTTGTTTCTGATTTTATTTATTTGGATCCTCTTTCTTTTTCCTTTGTTAGTCTAGCTAATGGTTTGTCAATTTAGTTTATCTTTTCAAAAGACCAACTTTTCATTTGTTGATGTTTTGTATTTTTTTAGTCTCTATTTCATTTATTTCTGCTCTGATCTTTCTTTGTTTCTTTTTACAAATTTGGGTTTTGTTTGTTCTTGCTTTTCTAATTCCTTAAGGCACATAGTTAGGTTGTTTATTTGAAATTTTTCTGCTTTCTTTTCTTTTTTTATGTAATCTTGTTCCTTCTAACCTTCTACTTTTTTTGATGTTGGGGTTTATTGCTATAAATTTCCCTTAGTGCTATTTTAGCTATATCCTATAGGTTTTGGTATATTGTGTTTCTATTTTCATTTGTTTCAATACATTTTTTAAATTTTCTTTTAAATTTCTTCCATGACCCATTGGTCATTCATAAACATGTTATTTAATTTCCTTACGTTTATACAGTTTCCAAAGTTCTTCTTGTGATTGATTTATAGTTTTATTACATCGTAGTCAGAAAAAAATACTTGATATGATTTCGATTTTTTAACATGTTGAAGCTTGTTTTGTGGCCTCACATATGGTCTATCATGGAGAATGTTCCAAGTGCTGATGAGAAGAATGTGGGCTGGTTGTGGTGGCACACGCCTGTAATCCCAACATTTTGGGAGGCTGAGGCGGGTGGATCACTTGAGGTCAGGAGTTTGAGACCAGCCTGGCCAACATGGCAAAACCCTGTCTCTACTAAAAATACAAAAATTAGCCAGACGTGGTGGCATGTGCCTGTAATCCCAGCTACTCAGGAGGCTGAGGCACGAGAATTGCTTGAACCAGGAGGTGGAGGTTGCAGTTAGCCGAGATCATGCCATTGCACTCCAGCCTTGGAGACAGAACAAGACTCTGACTAAAAAAAGACAAAAAGAAAAAGAAAAAAGAAGAATGTGTATTCTGTCATTGTTTTATGAAATGTTCTATAAATGCCTGTTAATTCCATTTGATCGGTAGTGCAATTTAAATCTGATCTTTCTTTGTGATTTTCTGTCTAGATGATTCAGCCACTGCTGAGATTGAGGTGTTAAAGTCCACAACCATCACTGTATTGGGTTTTATCCCAATATTTGCCTTATATGTCTGGGTGCTCCAGCGTTGGGTGCATATATATTTACAATTGTTACATTCTCTAGCTAAATTGATCCTGTTTTTATTATTTAGTGACCTTATTTGTCTCTCTTTACAGTTTTGACTTAGTCTATTTTATCTGATATAAATATAGCTACTCTTGCTCATTGTTGGTTTCCATTTTGTGGAATATATTGATGCATTCTCGAAGGAGAAAAATAAAAGTTGCCATTTTTGTTGGTCTCTTTACCTTTAATCTAGCTAAAGTAAAACATGGCAAGAACTATGTATGAAGCACAGATAAAAGCAATGGCAATTATCTAAAAATGAAGATTGTATAGACAAGATTAAAATGATCAGATAGTGGCCAGCTCTTCCTAACTTTGGAGTGAAAAGGTCTTTTGACATAGTAGGTATTTAGGATGAAGGAAGAGCCCAGCTTATGGAATGCTTTCCACTGAAGTAAAGCCTTAAGAATCTTTACTAGCAGGTATAAACAAGGAAAAAAAATTAAAGCATTTTTACACATTTGTATTTTGCCTAATCAGTTAAATAAGTGCAGCTTACTTAATGACATAATGAGTGTCAGCCTTCAATTTGGTAGCATAATATTTTCAATGTCATCATCAGCTAGGTGGCAATGAGGAGTTAAGGGGATTATGAAAATGAAACATTCCCACATACTCTAAGGCATATTCACATTCGAAAACAGAAAGCATTGTCCTTTTCTCACTCTAGGTCAACCCTGCAGAAGAAAAATTCTGGAAGGATAAATAGGTGACCAGTCATGACAGTACAATTTGAGGCCTAACAGCCACCTACTTAAGCATATCTTTCATTTGAGGCCATTGTGTTTGAAGTTCTAAACATCAAGCGTCACAGTCTTTCCACCCATCTTTGTCAAAGAGACTATTACTGATACAGAAAATAATTCCACAGGAAGATGATCAGTAACTTTTTTCGAAAGCAAATGACTTGGGCCAGGCGTGGTGGCTCACACCTGTAATCCCAGCACTTTGGGAGGCCAAGGGGGGTGGATCGTTTGAGCGCAGGAGTTCCAGACCAGGCTGGGCAACATGGTGAAACCCTGTCTCTAATAAAAATGCAAAAATTAGCTGGGCATGGTGGCAAGTGCCTGTACTCCCAGCTACTTGTGGGGCTGAGGTCAGAGGATCACTTGAGACCAGGAGGTTGATGCTGCAGGGAGCTGAGATCGCACCACTGCACTCCAGCCTGGATGACAAAGTGAGACCCTGTCTCAAAATAAATAAATAAATAAATAAATAAATAAATAAATAAATAAATAAAGCAAGCAAATGATTTGTAGTCAACTGCTTTTCACACTTGTTGGACATAGGGGAATCCAAAAATGACCTTAACTACAAAAATCTGATTTTAGCAAGGCTTGGTTAAACATTATAAAATCCTACATCTATTCTTTTTGATCTTTCCCAGAATGAGGGTTTCCACATTGCACAGCTCTAAGGAGTGTGATTCATGTCATAGCCTATATGAATAGTGCAGTTCACAACAGGCATGGCCTTATGCAGCAGCCCCTTCCAGATCTCTCAGGTGGAAGAATAATGCTGACCAACTTGCTATAACAATTTCAAAAGAGAACTGTTTGAACCAGTGCAGATGCAGGTGCCCGCTAGATAAGGGGGCTTGTCATATAACCAATGAATATGATGGGTAGCATTAATAGGCCCTCTGTCTCCAACCTTTAGGGATTTTAACAGCATTTTTAATCTTCTTTGAGGTTTTCAAATCAATATTTCAAGAATAGTGATAACACTGCACCTAAAAAGACAAATTAAAAATTACCACTGCCCCCAACCAATATTCTCAGTCAGGAATCGTGTGGTATTTCTTCCCGTAAAAGCTATTGAATAGCAAACTGCTATTTTAATATCTCATTTGTGTATTGTGATCAAATTTCAAGTTGATTTCATATTTATTATTTAATTTGATACTCCCCAAAAGGGTAGATGTTGCTCACAGGAAGTAGATTAAATGTTGCCAGTAGTGTATGATGGGATAAAACTGGAACCAAAGAGGCTGAGAGACTTGTCTGTGGTTCTACAGTCAGGAGAGATAGAGCTCCAAGGTGACTCACATTTCTCCTTCCTACTCCAATGCATTTGCCTCTTCACAACACTACTTTTAGACCCTGTCAAATATGGCATGCCAATGAGATTTCAGTCCAATAGAAAAGTGGCATACACATGTTTTAAAATTTCAAGCCACACGCCAAACCAATCCTGTTCTCTAGAAAGGAGAGGGACTACCACTCTTCTGTTTCTTCCATCATGCAGTAAAGAATTAACTCAGAAGGTCTGAGTTGTGCAAACTCTGTAAGCTCCCGAGAAATATTTGATCCTTTGACCCAGGCTCCTGGGACTTCTAAACCCTTGGAATATCCTGCCTGTTGAGAGTGTCTTTGTTCATCTGAGAGGTCAGGTGAGATAGTTTATGCTAACAGTGTGACTTATTGCCTTGGGCCATGTGACTCATTAGCTGGGCATGGTGGTGCGTGCCTGTACTCTCAGCCACTTTGGGGGCTGAGGTCGGAGGATCGCTTGTGTATCAGTTTGAACTCTGGGGGCTGAAGATTAAGGTAAGATCAGTCACATGAATATTCCATGCCTATATGACCAACCCCCAGTAAAAACCTTGGACACCAAGGCTCAAGTGAGTTTCACCAGTTAACAATACTCCATATATATTCACACATCATTGCTGGGAGAATTAAGTGCTGTTCATAAAATTTCATTGGGAGACCACAACAGGAAACTGGTACCTGGTCTCTCCTGGGCTCTTCCCTATGCACTTTTTTCCATTGCTGATTTTAATCTGTATCCTTTCACTGTAATAAACAATAACCATGAGTACAATAGCTTTGCTTAGCTCTGTGAGTGCTTCTAGCAAATAATTGAACCTGAAGGTGGTATTGGGGACCCCCAAACAAAACCATGATTGTGGTCAAGGTCACTTATAAAGCCGGACTGTTGTTTGCATGGCAAAAATTCAGATATTCATACACTTCTGCTCCCACTATCTGTCTAAATCTGGGAATCTAGGATGTACCCTTCACCCAGGGTTCACACTGCAGAGCCTAGAGAATGTCTGTATTCTCAATGGGCCCCATTCTGTCCATGTCTCCCTCTCCCACCCACAAATCATCTGTGGCCTTCCCAGGAGGCATCTCATTCCAATCAGTTAATCACAGAACTTCCCTGTGGCAACCTGACCAGGATAAAGAAACAGTGTCACTATTAAGGAGCCAAGAAGCAAACGCCACATCACACCTATTACTTCAAATGAATGATTCTATAAAAAAGGGCAGTAGTCTCCCTGCTTGGTGACCTATGGCTAAGGCTGGCCAGTGATCTGCAGACTCATTAGCCCCTTTCTCATTAGCTGCAGCTGGGTAATCTATCTCATTAGCAGCCTGGGGCTTTCGGGGAATGTAACCCATTCCAAGGCCAGCCTTCCTCCTGGGGAGGTTAGATATTATGTCTGTCTTCTCAGCCCCAGCATGTTAATATTAATCATCTGCCCCTCTTTATTGGCACCCAAATATTATCATCGGCAAGTGTTATTCCCAATTTGTTTTCCACCAAGTCACTGAGGTGTTACACCTGAGTATCCTGGCAAAAACCTGGTGCTGATCTTTCTCCAGTTTATTTTATAGTGCCCAGCCTGTGTGCCTCCTGGGCCTGGTCTCTTTTCACCTGAAGTAGTGAGTATTATTGGCCTGCTTTCCCATAGATTATGTCCTCAGAGGGTGCTCTGTCTGGAGGACCTTAGATGCAAATTGGCACATTTTCATCTAAAACTCTAGGGTCACCTGGATCAGAGTCTCTTCTGCACTAGGCTACGTGGTTATACAGAGAATCTCACAATGGTTAGTGCACAGCAAGAAGCAATATTGTAGACTAGAAAGAAGACAGACAAGGACTAAGATACAAAAAGCATCTTGAGATTTCTGCTTCACAACAATTCCATAAAGCTGGCATTTTTATCCTAATATTTTTACAAAGGCAAGCCCCAAGACTCAGAGAGGTTAAGTAACTTGTGCCATGCAGCACACATTATAAATACTACAGCTAGGATTTGGGCCCAGTCTTCCTGTGATCAAATGCCAGGGTCTTTCTGGTGAGGTTCTCCATATAACCATGTGATCTAGTGCAGAAGAGAAGAGACTCTTGTTCAGGTGACCCCAGGATTTCAGATTTCTCTCTCCTACTGTGGCCCTTAAGAACTTTTCCAGGAAACTGCTGATCAGCTCCTCCTTTGCAGTCCCACAGCAATACTACTGTCATGAAGATGTGTTTCAGGCTCCCCTGGTACCATACTCGATTCCTCAACAGGTGAGGTCTTGCCTTATTCATCTTAGTGTCTTCAGCTCCTGGTATTATGCCTGCACATTGTGGGTGCTCAATAATGAATCTGACTAATAATGCACTAACTTGAATCACACCTAGAATGCTCCAGAAGCAGGTGGAATTGTAGTCGATGGCTCAAGGACATCAGGAATTTGCAGTTTCTGAGGTTCTCATCTCAGGTTGGCCCACTCTTTGTGGGCACCTTAATCTATTAAAGCTTTAGTCTTGTCATCTGTAAATTCTGATCTCAGAGTGGTGTTGTGAGAATTAAAAGAGGGAAGAAGTCCTGTAAAACACCCAACACAATGTTCAGCACACAAGTGCTCCTTTTCTTCTCCCTTCCTCTTGAGTGCTAGTTTAGGGCATGCCTTTGGAAGGTGGAAATGCTTTATAAACCCAGCAACTCCAGGGAGTCAGAGCTTCTCAGATCTCTGCTATTCTTTGGTTATAAGACACTGATTTACTTATCAGTCTTAACAGACTAATAGGCACACCTGAAAGGTGCTCTAGCAAAACAAGCAAAGGAATAATGCATTCTGTGAATGTGAGTTATGTCAACTGGCAATCTGGACAGCTCAGGTCCAACTCTACACTTTGTTTTCCTCCTTCATGACAGAATGGGTTTTGGATTGAATCATCGGAATAATTACCTTTGCTCCCCAAGTTCCCTCAAACACACCTTTCACATTATACAAAAAGGTATCATTTTAACCTCCTGGGGGAAAAAAAACATAGAAAATCTCAGAGAGTACCACATAGTCCATCCATATCAAAGCTGAAAAATAGCCTCCAGCTCTCCAAACTTTCCATCCTCTCAACACATTTAAAAAATGTAGTGAGTGCTGCTTAAAAACATCTATGCTTTAAATAGAAATAAAAATCTTTTCAGTTGTGCATTATTTCCCTTTTGCATAAAAAAATGATGCTGATATAATAATGAGGTTACAACATGGTAAGAGTTTTTATGGTGCCCATTCCCCAAATGTCAGCTCTGCTCGCATTTCTAAATTTTAGTGTTTGCACTCAGGTAAAGCAGAAAAACAAAAAAGGTCAGAACCTTTATTTTTCATTGCCAAGTTAGAGTGATGCTACTGGGGGCTCACAAATTAATGTATTTATTCAAGTGTTTCTCAGGCTATGTCGTGATGCTACTGGGGGCTCACAAATTCATGTATTTATTCAAGTGTTTCTCAGGCCTTTCCTTTGTGCAGAGTGTTTGCTCTCTCAGGCTCCAATCAGGGCAGACTTCCTGAAGGAGGTGGTAAAGTGAGGCTCCATGAGGGGGCTGGTACTGAAGGGGTGAAGAAGCTAGGGAGAAAAATGGAAATTTGGACACCTGACCTGCCTAAGTCACAAGTTATTTTAGTAATTCTGTGAAACAATGTGGAAGACGCTACTTTGAAAACAATGGACTATACAAATATATTATTATAATCCAATAAGGAAAGAGAAACAAGGCTGTGATCAGCATAAGGCTATAAATGATATGCACCAAATTTACAGATGAGACAGAAGTCCTCCATAAGACTACAGAGCAAAAAAGTCACTCCACACCTTGGTGGAATGACCTTGTCAGAGCTGGGGATATAGTGAGATCTTTTCACCTTTTAGGTTAATGTGTATTATTCCAGCACATCTATATTAGAAGCTATGATTTATTAAAGCATAAGTAGGGAGAGTGGAATTATCCTCCATTTTACACATAGGAAAGTCTAGGTCTAAAAAGTCAATTTGGTGACTTCCTCGAAGTCACAAAGAAAGTTGGCCCCAAAAGTGGGAATCCACACAGCTTGGCAGTGGAGCCAGAATGTCTGTCAGCAATTATAAATTGAGGATTAAAGAGAATCCCTATTTGTGCAGCTAGCCACTGATTTTGAGGAGGATACTGAAATTAAATGGAAGTCTGCAAGTCACCTGTAGAGTCCAGTCAACAATGTCTGAATGTCTCTCGCTCCATCCGAAGTGATAGAATTCCCAGCACTCCAAACTCTGTTCTAACCTGAGATGCTGATTGCTTTTGATGGGAGGGTGTTTCCTAATCCTAGAGTCCTGTTGAAGGAACTAGACACTAGGCCTAGGACCCAGTAAATCTCAGATCCATTCTTACTTTGTGATTTCTGTGATCTGTGACTCAGAACAAATCCTTGAAATTACCTCATGTGGGATCAACCCTCCCTTATGTAAAATGGGAAATAATGTCCATACCTAGTTAGCTCATCAAATCCTAGGGCTATAGTGAGAATGTCTCAGAATAATATCTTAACACAAATGATTAAAGAGCCATACAAATGCAAAGTATTTTCTTAAGGTTCTGTCTGGAGTCACTGTTTTAGGGCAGAATAACACATATGATAATCAGTCAAACAGAATTTCAAAACCAAAATCTAACAGGTGCCTAGAGATGGTAAAGAAACGTGACAGGGCTGGGCAGGGTGGCTCATACCTGTAATCTCAGCACTTTGGGAGGCCGAGGTGGGTGCATTGCTTGAAGCCAGAAGTTTGAGACCAGCTTTGCCAACATGACAAAACCTCGTCTCTACTAAAACAACAAAAATTAGCTGGGCGTAGTGGCACACACCTGTAGTCCCAGCTACACAGGAGGCTGAGGCAGGGGAATCTCTTGAACCCAGGAGGCAGAGGTTACAGTGAGCTGAGATCACGCCACTGCACTCCAGGCCGGATGATAGGGCGAGACTCTGTCTCAAAAAAAAAAAAAAAAAAAAAAAAAAAGAAACGTGACAGGATCCCTTCACTGAAGGACAGGCATCAAGCTGTAGAGAAGCGATGACTGAGCCCAGGTAAGCTCACTCACTGCAGAAACATCTCGTAATGAAGGCTGAACATTCAGTCGTCATCTGAGGAAATGCAGAATTTTAGAAGCAGGGAAAATGGTCAGCTAGGTTGACTCAGCTAGCTGAGAAGCCAAGAAGTAAAGGAAAAGCCATTTCTGTTAGGAGATGGAGTGTCAATCCACAGGAGCGGGGCTTTGTCTGGGAGCCTCCCTGCTGTGTCATGGAGCCCATGCTTCGTGGTTGCACCACAGGTATTTTCTGAGCCACTGAACAGATGAAATATGGTATGAGCAAGGGAGGGGTGAAACTGAACACACTGGGTTGTCTTCCTGACAAAAGAAGGAGATCCATGAGGCAGGCAAGTGGAGAACATGCTTGCAAAAATAGGAAGGAGCTGAAGTTGATACTAAGCCTAGGAGCCCAAGCTCCAAGTATTTTGGAGCTACAAAGGGTCCTAGACACTAGCTAATTTAAAGTTTCTTAATCTGGGGTGTATGGACTCCCAGGCAGGCAAAGAACTCTTAGATGAGCTTCTGGGAATCCATGAGCTACTCTGAACTATCACTTCCTCTAGCAACTTTGGTACATGAGAAATCATTTATTACACAGTATTGTTGCATTTGAAGGAAGCTTCATAATTTAATAATTATACATAGTCTTTCATCATAATGTGTTTTATATGTATCCATTTTTTCTCTACTTCAGATTTTAAACACTTCTGTCTCTGCTTCTCTTGTATGCCTGGCAGTCTTACCAGATTGTAGGTGGTTAAGAATGACTTTGTGAACAAGCAATACTGAATCTGTACAATAATAAATACTGCTATAAAATGCTGATTATTTCATGGCAGTGTTCTCTTCTGCTATGTGGTTGAACATCTATATTTAGTGTTCTAATATAAACTCGAGTTGCCTCTAAGAAGCCTTACTGTTCTGAATGCAGAATCGACAAACCCTGCCTCAGGCCTTCCCAAAACTATGGTGACCACTAAGATGTTCAGCCTAGGGAATACTTCTATGCCTGCCGGCTGTTTGGGTAGAAGTATAAGGCTTCAATCTGGAGGATTTCAATCAAGAACTTCAGTTACCATTTCCCCCTTACCTCCAATGAGAAGCTGTATTAGTCAGCATTCTGCAGAGAAACAGAATCAATCAGATATATATATAAATATATAGACAGAGATTTATTGTGAGAAATTGGCTCATGCAATTATGGAAGCTAAGAAGTCCCATGATCTGCCATCTTCAAGGTGGAGGCTCAAGAAAGTTGGTGGTGTAATTCAATCTAAACCCAAAGGCCTGAGAAGCAGGAGGACAGGAGAAAATGGATGTCCCAGTTCAAGCAGAGAGTAAATTCTCTCTTCCTCTACCTTTTTGTTTTATTCAGGCCATTAATAGATTGGATGATGCCTGCCCACAGTGGGGAGGGCATTTTTCTTTACTCAGTCTGCAATTCAAATGTAAATCTCTTCCAGAAACACCTTCACAGACACACCCAGTGTCTTAGTCTGTTTTTGCTGCTATAACATAATACCACAGACTGGATCATTTAGAAAGGACAGAAATTTATTGGCTCACAGTTCTGAAGTTTGAGAAATCCAAGATCAAGGTGCTGGTAGGTTTGGTTGTCTAGTGAGAGTTGCATCCTCTGGAGGGGAGGGACGCTGTGTCCTCACATGGTGGAAGGGGGGGAGGGCAAGTAGCTGAACACTGCATGAAGCTCTTTTATGAGGACCTTAACCCCATTCATGAGGGAGGAACCCTCATGACCTAGTCACCTGTTAATACCATCACATGGGTAGCACCTGAATTTTGGAGAGGACACATTTAAACCATGGCACCCAGAAATAATGTTTTACCAGCTATCTGAGAACCCCTTAGCCCAGTCTAGGTGACACATAAAAGTAATCAACACAGAAGTTATGAAAATAGTCAATACCAACATTGCAGGCAAAGAAGGAATCATTTCCATCAGAATAAGGGGAAGCAGTAGTAATGTGTGCTGGCAGCATGCTCTGGGCACAAGAGGTTGTGACCCTCACCTGTGGGGAAGAAATAAGTGAAAACATAATCACAGCACCACTGTTTAGAAAAGTCAACAAAGAAATAAAGGCCTAAAACTACCTCTGAAAATCGTTTTAACTTTATCAATTACAAAACTGCCTTGTGACAAATATTTCTTAGCAAGAGTCAATGGACAATATTAGAAATTTCTAATGAATCTTTTATTTCCCATCTAATCACCAGCAAATTTTTATTTTTTTATTTATTTTTTGTTTTTTGAGACAGGGTCTCACTCCTGTCGCCCAGCCCAAGCTGGAGTGTACTGGTACAATCACAGCTCACTGCAGCCTTGAGTTCCCAGGCTCAGGTGATTCCCCCACCTCAGCCTCCCAAGTAGCTGGGACTACAGGCATGTGCCACCACATCCAGCTAATTTTTTGTATTTTTAGTAGTGACCGGCCTTTACCATGTTACCCAAGCTGGTCTCAAACTCCTGGACTCAAGTGATCCTCCTGCCTCAGCCTCTCAAAGTGCTGGAATTACAGGCATGAGACACCATGCCCGGCCAGCAATTTTTTAAATGTAATTCATACAGTCAGAAGCATCTTTAACTGCAGAATTTACTAGGAGAGACCCCTGTGAATAGAAATGCTCACAGGCTTTTTATAACCCATATAAATGCATAATCTTTTCAGCATCCTTCCTGAGATCTGTTTGTTTCATTGCAGGGATGATAAACACTGTGGCCTCAGGATCAAGCAAATGATATCAATAACACTAATGGGAATATACCTAAAAGAAGACAGAGGGAAACCCTCTCTGACAGGGTTTGCGTGCCTTAAAAATCACAGAGCAATTGAGGTGGGGAAGAGCTGTATTTCGATGAAAGTAGCTTAGGATCTCAATAGTTTTTGTATATCATCTGGGAACATTAATATAAAAATTTAAAACACCAGAATTTGGGGAAGTAAAAATTCATAAAGTAACTGTGACTTAGTCCATTTTGTGCTGCTATAGCAAAATATCTGAGACTGGATAATTTATAAAGAACAAAATTTTATTTTCTCATAGTTCTAGAGGCTAAGAAGTCTAAGATAAAGGTGCTGGCATCTGGTGTCTGGTGAGGGCCTGGCCTCTCTGATTCTGAGATGGCATGTTTAATGCTGCATCCTCCGGGGGGGAGAATTGCTGTTTCTCACATGGCAGAAGAGCAAGAGAGAGAAAACCAGCTCCTGCAAGCTCCTGTTTTCATAGCAGCATTAATCCATTCATGAGGATGGTGCCCTCATGACCTAAACACTGCCAGTTAGGTCTCACATCTCAATACTGTTGTAGTGAGGATTAAGTTTCCAACACATGCCCGGGCACAGAAGCTCATGCCTGTTATCCCAGCACTTTGGGAGGCAGAGGTGGGCAGATCACGAGGTCAAGAGATCAAGACCATCCTAGCCAACATGGTGAAACCCCTTCTCTACTAAAAATACAAAAATCAGCTGGGTGTGGTGGCACATGCCTGTAGTCCCAGCTACTCGGGAGGCTGAGGCAGGAGAATCATTTGAACCTGGGAGGCGGAGTTTGCAGTGAGCCAAGATTGCACCACTGCACTCCAGTCTGGTGACAGAGCAAGACTCCATCTCACAAAAAAAAAAAAAAAAGTTTCCAACATATGAGTTTTGGAGGGTACAAAAGCATTCAAACTATAGCAGACTGAGACTCTTGTTGAAGCCGGAACCTATAGGCTTTGGGCTGGACCATCAGTGAGTAGCTAAAGCCTTCTAGCCTTGAAAGCTGGAGGAGAATATTCAGCTCTGTCCTATGTGAAAGGCTTTAAGGTGGCCATGGTGCTTTGTCCTCGACCAGTGACTATAGCTTATGACAGTTTTATCCATGAGCAAGCAAGGGGCTGTTGCTGTAGAGGCAAGAGTGCACATATAGGCAGTTTCAGGACAACTCCTCTTAGGTTGTTCTGGTCTTAAACTAAGGCTTTCAAGCATCCAAGGATGAAAGAGAACATGGGTCACCAATGGAACACAGACCTGCATTGGCAGGCACAGCTGAGGCATGGACACAATTGTAGAAAATGGGCTTTCTGAACATTACATTTGCTGCATTTTGTCTGTTAAGTCATTTTGATGGATCATGGTAATTATCAGCAAGAATAGTGAGACAGAATGGGACTTCTAAAACAGTGTGAGGAGCTTGGTGGACCTCTCTACAGTAAACCAGTCATTTAACTGGTGAAAAGTATTAAACACAGCCATTTAAAGTTTTTGGAGGTCAATCTAAGGTCATACAGCAAATCAAAAGGCATTTATTTAAGAAAACCTAATACATCTTGGTAAGAACAGCACAAGTCTATGGCACTTGAACTAGAACCTGCTTTCACCCCTCCCCCTCAACCCTCCCAACTCCATGTTACAGAAGCTATAACCTCAGGAGAGTGTGGCCAAGAACATGAGGGCTCCCTTCACCCACAGATCCCAGTTTTGGCACTACAGTTTCACCTGTGGAGGGAAAGGTCACAAGCATCTCTCATCCCCCTACCCCCACCACCAGCTCTGTGTTACACAAGGTCTATTCCACTACAAAGAAGATGAGGGCTCCCTTCCCCTCACCCAGCTCCCATTCACAGAGTAGAGGTTGTACCCCAGGCAAGGCAATGCTGTGGACCCAGTAGCAATACCCACTCCAGATCCCACTCATAGGAAAGAGGTTCCATATAGGGAAGGGCAATCAGACAAGACAGGAGCTACAGTCCCTTTCAGCTCCAATTTGCAGAGTAGAGGCATCATTTTGGGAGATGTAAGCCACCATCCCTGCCCCAGCTGTATCTCTAGTGCAATGCACAGAGGTTCTGCCCAAGGGGAGGGGCAAGACTGGAGGGCTCATAGCTCCACAGCTCTAGTGAGGGGCTGGTTTTATTTGGAACAGAGTATGGAGGAACCCATGCCTTAAGGTGTAGTGAAAAACAAGAACAACTTTCATGTCAGGCAATTAAGAGAAGACTAATATTTCCATGAAACCAATACCAACAGACAAAACAGCAAATCAGCCAGAATTCTCACAAAGGGAACCAGTGGAAAGGACGGCGAAAAAGTACCCTGTTAAAATCATGTTTATCCCTTAGGATCAGGGAGGCTGTGTATTTATGCCAGGCTGCACTTACTAGTAGGTGCATCCTGGCATATACACACAGCCTCCCTGATCCTAAGGGATAAGTCCTCCAGTCTATGAGCAACTGAAGCAGGCATTTGAAAGCTACTGGTCCCTACTAGAACATGCGGCAGAATTGAAAGCATCCCCAAAGCTACTCAGATCCAACAGCTAAGTCTTGAACCCTTATTGGCTCAAGGAGCATATCTTAGTCCACTTGTGCTGCTATAACAAAATGCTTGGGCCGGGCGCAGTAGCTCATACCTATAATCCCAGCACTTTGGGAGGCTGAGGCAGGTGCATCACTTGAGGCCAGGAGTTCAAGACCAGCCTGAACAACATGACGAAACCCTGTCTCTACTAAAAATACAAAAATTAGCTAAGTGTGGTGGCACATGCCTGTAATCTCAGGTACTCAGGAGGCTGAGGCTGGAGAATGGCTTGAACCTTGGAGGCAGAGGTTGCAGTGAGCCAAGATGGTGCCACTGCACTCCAGCCTGGGCAATAGAGCGAGACTCTGTCTCAAAACAAGACGAAACAAAGCTAAACAAAATGCCTGAGAATAGGTGATTCATAAAGAACAGAAATTTTATGTCTTGCAATTCTGGTGGCTGGGAAGCCCAAGGTCAAGGCACCAGCAGATTTGGTGTCTGGCAGGGACTGTTCTTTGCTTCCAAGATGGTGCCTTGTTGCTGCATCCTCCAGAAGGGGTGACTTCATGTCCCCACATGGTGGAAGGGAGGGAAGGGCAGAAGGAATGAACACTAGTTCCCTCCAGCCCTTTTATAAGGTTGCCAATCCCATTCATGAGGGCTCTGCACTCATGATTTAACCACCTCCTAAAGGCCTCACCTCTTAATACTATCACATTGGCAATTATGTTTCAACAGATGAATTTGGAAGAACGTATGCGGATCATAACACAGCATAAGCACAACCTTGGAATAATCATTGATTGAACACTAAGCCATACTGACCCAGGGGCAACTCCTAGGCAATTAGCCTTAAAAAATAAAACCAAGGAGAAAAAACAAACTGAGTAGTGTTGTCAGAGACTGCACACTGAGAGGGAAATATACTTCATAGAATTGGTCTAGGCAAGACACTAAACAAATAAGCTAACACAAATCTGTGATATCACTAAGCCTCAGAGGGAGTACAGAATAAATAAGAATCCAGAGTTGCTATATTATCTGAAATATCTAGTGTTCAACAAAAAGTTATGAGTCTTGGGAAGAAATGGGATAATGATTCTTGTATCATTCAAACAAGAAAACACAAAACAGAAATTGCTTTCAAGGGGCCCATGTGCTGACCAGGTGCAGTAGCTCATGCCTATAATCCTAGCACTTTGGAAGGCTGAGGTAGAAGGATACCTTGAGCCCAGGAGTTTGAGACCAGTCTGGACAACAAAGCAAGACCTCACCTCTACAGAAATAAAATAAAATAATTAACTGGGCATGGTGATGTGCACCTGTAGTCTCAGATACTCTGAAGGCTGAGGCAAGAGGATTGCTTGAGCCCAGGAAGTTGAGGCTGCAGTGAGCCATAATCATGCCACTGCACTGCAGCCTAGGCAACAGAGCGAGACCATGCCTTAAAAAAAAAAAGTGGGGAGCCCATGTGTACAACTTAGCAGACAAAGATTTCAAAGGAGCTATTATAAATTTGTTCAAATAATTAAAAGGAAACCATGTTTAAATAATTAAAGTTTTATGACAATGACCTATCAAATACAGAACATCAATAAATAGAAATCATAAAAAAGAACCAAATGGAAATTCGAGAGTTAAAAAGTACAATAACTGAAATAAAAAAAATAACTTGAAGGACATAAAAAAAGAAAACTACAGACCAATATCCCTGATGAACATAGATGCAAAAATCCTTAACAAAATACTAGCTAAAGAAATCCAACAACATATCAAAAAGATACTCCACAGTGATCAAGTGGGTTTCATACCAGGGTTGCAGGGATGGTTTAACACACACAAGTCAATAAATGTGATACACCACATAAATGGAATGAAAAACAAAAATCACATGATCATCTCAATAGATACAGCAAAAGCATTTGACAAAATCCAGCATCACTTTATGATTAAAACCCTCACCAAAACTGTCATACAAGGGACATACCTCAATGTAATAAAAGCCATCAATGACAAACCCACGGCCAACATTTTACCGAACAGAGAAAAGTTGAAAGTTGTTCCCTGAGAACTGGAACAAGATAAGGATGCCCACTCTCATCATTCTTCTTCAACATAGTACTGGAAGTGTTAGCCAGAGCGATCAGACAAGTGAATGAAATAAAGGGCATCCAAATCAGTAAAGAGGAAGTCAAACTGTCACTGTTTGCTGATAATGTTATGGGATCCTTGGGGGTATCGTTTTTCTGGCCAGAAAGCTCTGTAGCTGGTGGCACCTTTGCATGAGTTTTGCTTGGGCCTGCTGGGCCCACTCAGCCTGGCAGGCTGTGCTCAGCTCGTGCTACTGGCCTGGATCCCACACCTCCAAAAAGACGGAAGCAGAGCGGTGAGGGGTATGTGAGCCAGGGAGCCAATCGTGGGGTCCAGCCACTGCACACAGTGAGGCACGTCAGCTACTGCAGCGGGGCAGGCAGCTCTAGGTGCCAGCATGGGTACTGGCTCACTGTGAGGCTGCAGCTGGACTAGGCGCATTGCAAGCAGCTTCCACAGCTGGCACCGGGGAACGGAGTGGTACTCAGATGCTTGGAGACTCCAGGAACCACAGGGCCCCAAAGAAGAGTCACAGCCCTGACTCAGGGAGCTCCCAGGTCTGGGTTCCCCAGAGGGCTACAGGTCTTCTCCCCTTCGCTCCTCTCTTCTCTCCTCCTTGTCACCCGCAATGTGGTGAGCAAGGGATGTGTTTCAGCCCTGTTTGTATTACAGCTCTTTCAGCCCTGCCATTTCCTGGGTCCTGTGTTCTTGTCCTGTGTCCAGGAAGAATGAGATATGCAGACAAGTGGAGGGTGAGCAAGACGAAGAGACACTTTATTGAGCAATAGAATAGCTCAGAGAAGACCCATAGTGGGCAGTTCCTCTCCATAGTAAGCAGTTCCTCTCCATAGCTAGGGTGCCCCAACAAGTGCTCAGCTCTCAGCAGAGGGGGTAGCTCCTCTTTGCAGCTGGTCATCCTGTCATCTCCCCATCATTTCTCTGTCTTCTGTCCTCTGCTTGAGTATGGCTGAGTCCAGGGTTTTTGTGTGCTTCAGAGAGGAGGATGTGCATGCTGACTGGTCCATGGGCAGCCATGGGTGGGCCCAGGGAAAAGCACCACAAGTTCTCCCTCCAGTCGGCGGGACTGGCGGCCCAGTCCCCAGGCTTCAGGACTTCCCTGGATTGAAGGTGGGGCTTCACCAGGGGCCCAACCCCTTCCACCCAGAAGTCTGTCTGCCTCCTGCCGCTGTTCAGGCACCCAGGCTATTCATGCCAAGGGGCACCTGCAGACAAGCACTGGACTGTCCTCAGCACCCCCTCAGCCTCCCTCCCATGCTTGTCAGCACCCAAAGTTTGGAGGGGGCAGAGGCAGCAGGGGGCTGGCATGTCAGTGCTGCCCCTGGCTGTGTGCACACCCGGCTGGGCTGCAACAGCACCCAGGCTTGGCCCTGACTTTGCTCTGAATTGGAGCTGGCACTGACAGTGGGGAGAAGCCAGGCAGCAGGAGCAGGCACTTCTGAGCCTGCAGTGTGGTAGAGGGTCTTCCCAGGCTCCCAAGAGTGCATAGATGCCTGCATCCGCAGCTGTGGCAGGGCAGCTGCAGCTGCACCAGGGAGTTCCCACCCTGCCAACTCAGAAACAGCAGGGTTCCTGATTGTCCCTGCCTCCCACCAGCTCCAAGGAGCACACAGCCCCGGCCATGCCTCCTTGCAGCTGTGGTGGGGAGGGGCTCCAGGTCCTCAGTGGGCCCCGCTCTGGCCGCTCCTCCATGTCCGACCACACTGTTCTGCAGCTGGCAGGCAGCTTGGCCGAGCACCATCACAATGGCCCCTAGGGTGGTGGGTTCCAGGTACTGTCGGCCTCCCTGCCACACCCTCCCCACAGTGGTGGTGAGCAAGAGCAGTCACATGGGGCCAGGGTCCAGAGCAGAGGAGGCTCTGGGCCTGGGAGTGGGCCCCTCCTGGCTTTGTGAGGGTAAGGGCAGTGTAGTCAGCTGCCTCGGGGACATGGGGCACAGGGGACATGGGACGCAGAGGTCCCATCACCACCACTGCTGCTCCCGCAGCCACTCCCACTGCCACCACCCACACCACCCCACTGCAGCTGGAGTGACAGCAGTGGCTGCTTTGAACAGCCTGTGACTGCTGTCAATTATATGATCATATACCTAGAAAACCGTAAGACTCCTCCAAAAGGCTCTTAGAACTGATCAATGTATTCAAAGTTGAGCTCAGTTCTATATGAGGTCTCCTATTGCAATAGTCCTGAATAAAATTTGTTCTTGCCACTTTAATTACTGTCCAATTGTGGTTTGCCTTTGACAGCACCCTGTCAAATTGCTTAGTCACCATCATTCAGAGGCAGCATCCACCCCACAGAATGAGATTTGGAAATTGCAAGGGCACTAACATGACTGTAGAGGATCATCTGTGTTATTGTGAACTTTTTTAAAGGTAAAGAACACTAAGTAGTGACAATGCGTAGACAGAGACAAAATAATGAGCATTTGTGAGAAAGAGAGGAGCTTAATTAGAGTCTCTCCAGTTTAACCAGAAGAGTCATGGTGTCTTAATCCATTTTGTGTTACTATAGCAAAATACCTGAGGCTGGGTAATTTATAAAGAAAAAGGTTTTACTTAGCTCATGGTTCTGCAAGCTGTACAGGAAGTGCGGTGCCAGCATTTGCTTGACTTCTGGTGAGGGCTTTTCTGCTGCATCAAAACACGGCAGAGAAGGTCAAAGAAGAAGTGGGCACATGTGAAGAGGGGTGACCAAACCCAAGAGGTATTCTGGCTTTATAATAACCCATTCCCCGCAAAAGTCAATCCAGTCTCACAAGAATGAGAATTCACTCACTACCTCGAAAATGGCACCAAGCCACTCATAAGGGATCCACCCCCATGACCCAAATACCTCCCACTAGGCCCCACCTCCCAACACTGCCACACTAGGGATCACATTTCAATATGAGATTTTCTGGGGACAAACAAACCACATCCCAGCTGTAAAACATGGGGAAATACCATTTCTATCACTTCTTCAATTGAGCTCAGATTCTCTTCTGTATATGATCAAATGTACTAATCTAGGTATACAAATACCCAGCGAAAAGTATAATTATTATAGTTATAACACTAACTCCCATTGACTTTCATACATGTATAGTGCTTTGTAATATTCAGAGCATTTTTGTGTGATTTAGTTGAATTCATTCAACTCTAACAAGTAGACAAGACTGAGCTAAACAACTTCTGTATTAGGATCAGTTCTCATGTGGGCATTCCTAGCTCCTGGGGTCATTAGCTCTGCCCTGTGACCTACAAAAGATTGACCTATACCCCACTGGATCTCTGGTAACTGCCTGGTCTGTCCCAATCTTCTATCTGCTCCTTCTGAAATTGACCTCTTATAGATTTGATCTATGGTAACTACTCCCATAATCTATGATCTGCCAAAAAGTTTTGCAAATTTTCTCTTAATAATCCATCTAGAATCCATCTACTATTTTCAGGCCCTTATCATCTCTGTCTTATACTTTTAAGACATTAACCAAAAAGTTACTGAGACAGCTGTCTCAATCAATAGAGGTGTATTTAAACAAAGTTTGAGGGTATGCCTGGGCAATACACAGGACACAGGAGCATCTGTGACCTGTGCTTTTCCAAAGACAGTTTTGAGAAATTCAGTATTTGAAGAGGAAAGAGCAAGCAAGAGGGAGGAAAAGAGAGGGAAGTTAGGCAGCGAGGGAAACAGTTACATGCTTGTGAGGCTCTGATTAGCACTCAGTAAGTCTACATTTGGCATGCGAAAAGAGGGAGTAGAGGAAAAAGTCAATTACGCTTTTGTCTCAGGGTAGGTGGAGGGATGATTTCTGGTCTTGTCCTTGTCCTGTACTTGTGACGATAAGCTGGTAATTGACATTGTCAGGGTGAAATTCAACACAACTTAGTTTAAGGGCTAGTTTATAAGAGAGACAGGTATCCTGAAAGATTTAAGAGCTCACAAGGAAATCCCTTGTGAGCAATTTGTGAGGGAGGCCATTTGGGAGGATATGTGGCCTTCTGTCACTGTGGGAACCTGCCTTAGAGATGAGGCTATTAAAATCACCTTTGCAAAATTATGACCGAGACACCGAAAGAGATCTAACCTAACTGACTCCATCTTGCTTCTAACCCTTAAGCTGTCCTTGTTCCTTCCTGGGCATACGCTGAACTAACTTTGGAAGGAACTTAGTTTATAGTTTATAATTTAAAACAAAGCCTTTTCCCAAAAGAAACCTCCTTCTTGCCTGGGGACTAGACTGCCTTTGCAGGACTAACAAATTAGCGACAAGATTGGAAGTTATGGTTTAGGAGTCATGCAGCTGGAGGCTACAAGATTCTGACCTTCCCTAAACTGCTCCTAAGATCAGTGCTGGAGACCCAGCACTTGATGGATCAGCTGGCATCACCCAGATTGATAAAGAGACTCATCTGATCTTGTGGCCCCCAACTGGGAACTGACTCTGTGCAAGAAGACAGGTTTGATTCCATATGATTTCATCCCTGACCAATCAGTACTCCTAGCTCACTGGCTTCCCCCCACCCACCAAGTTTTCCTTAAAAACTGCTCCCCAGGCCGGGCACAGTGACTCACTCCTGTAATTCCAGCCCTTTGGGAGGCTGAGGTGGGTGGATTACTTGAGGTCGGGAGTTCAAGACCAGCCTGGCCAACATGGTGAAACCCCATCTCTACTAAAAATACAAAAATTAGCCGGGCATGGTGGCAGGCACCTATAATCCCAGCTACTTGGGAGGCTGAGGCAAGAGAATTACTTGAACCCAGGAGGCAGAGGTTGAAGTGAGCCGAGATCATGCCACTGCACTCCAGCCTGGGTGATAGAGCAAGACCCCGTCTCAAAAAAAAAAAAAAAACAAACAAACACCTCTGCTCCCCAAATGTCTGGGGAAACTGATTCAAGTAATAATAAAACTCCAATCTCTCGTACAGCCAGCTCTGTGTGAATTACTCTTTCTTTATTGCAATTCCCCTCTCTCGATAAATCGGTTCTGTCGAGGCAGCAGGCAAGGTGAACCCACTGGGCAGTTACACTATGACACAGGATTGTAAAATTACAGCTATCTGTTTGGGAACAAAAGGAAGGCAGTATTGGCCAGGCGCGGTGGCTCACGCCTGTAATCTCAACACTGCGGGAGGCTGAAGTGGGAAGATCACCTGAGGTCAGGGGTTCAAGACCATCCTGGCCAACATAGTGAAACCCTGTCTCTAATAAGAACACAAAAAAATTAGCCAAGCATGGTGGCACACACCTGTAGTCCCAGCTGTAGTCCCAGCTACTCGGGAGGCTGAGGCAGGAGAATCACTTGAACCTGGGAGGCAGAGGTTTCAGTGAGCCAAGATTGCACCACTGCACTCCAGCCTGGGTGACGGAGCGAGAGGAAGGCAGTATTGCATGACTCAGTTCCCAAGCTTAACTTTCACTTTGGCATAGTGAGTTTGGGTTAGAAAGATTCTGTCTTCTTTAACAATAACTCACTCCCAACTAGTTTCTCTGCCTCCGTTTTGGTCCCTTGATTTAGTCAGCTTCATGACAATAAAAAAAGATGGTTAATGTGTTCAAATTTAAAGAGCTGAATTAATGAGCCATTCCCAAAGGTTTTGGCAGAGTTAAAGAAACCGATGATAAGACACTTGGGGAATAGCAACATGAAGAAGCCATTACCATCCCTAGATGTGAGGGGCAAGGGGAGGAAGTTGTATTAGTAGAACCCAGGGACTACAACTGGAACAGTAGAAGAGGGGTCACCAGATAGGAGCCGTAGGCTATAAGGAACTACAGCCACTGATGGAACCACAGCCAGGCAGGGAAGGAGGGAGGGATGGATAAATATCCACAAAATTTCTTGCTAACCACACTCTGATTTGCTGGGGCCCACTTCCTCCCACCCCACCCTTCCCCTCACCACACACACACATGGTCCAAATTCAACCTGAAGTTAGAGGAATAGTGGTTTTAAAACATGCCTTCAAATTCTTTTACATTGCTTTCATCAAGGGGTGCAGTCTAATTCTCCTCCACTTAAATATAGGCCAGACTTAAGGACTCATCTCTAACAAATAGAATGTAGTGGAAGTAATGCTACATGAATTTTAAGGCTAATCCATAAAAGACAATACAGCTTCTGCCTGGCTCTCACTTTCGGGATGCTTGCCTTTGGAACACAGCCATGAGGAAGCCTAAGCCACTTGGAGAGGACATGTGTAAGTAAGTATTCTGGCCAAAAGCCCCTGCAGAGGTCTGTAGGGGAGAAAAATAATCCTTTCCTCTATGTATCTTAGGTTCTCCAGATGGGGCCCTGTAAATCACGTTCGCCAATAATAGACTGACAAGAGAAAAACAAATAGAAGTTTTTATTAACATATGCATTGCACATGTACACATGGGACTACCCAGCAATGAGTAACCCAAAGTGGTGGTTAGAGCCTGGATTTATATACCATCTTAGGCTAAAACAAAGGAAAAGGGGTTTGGGGCTTCTGGGCAAGGGAGGCAAGTTATGGAAAGATGACCAGGAAAAGTAGAGTAAACAAGGGTTGTTCAGTAAGGTTAGTAATGCAGATTTAAGTCTACATTCTCCGTTGATAAGAGTTAAGAATCCTCCTCTTCCTGGTATGGGAGAGGGAGGCACCTTTCACAAATAGAAACTTCTCTTATAAATGTAAATTGCCTTTACAAAAGAAAAACTTGTGCCATTTCTAGAGATTTTCTTGCATCTGTTAGTTCTCAATGGCCTTTAGCTCAAAATAATTCATGTGCCAAAGAGGCATATTTTGGGGTGGCATATTCTAGTATCCTTCAGGTGATTGCTGACAGCCAGCATCAAACACCAGACAAGTGAGTGAGAATACCTTCAGGATGATGCCAGCCCCAGCTGCTGTCTGACTGTAACCTCATGAGAGACTCTCAACTGAGAACTGCCTAGCTAAGCCCAGTCAACCCCCAGATCTGTGAGAGATCATAATAATAAATGGTTATGTAACTGCCCAAGGGGTTCACCTAGCCCACTGCCTAGACAGAGCTGATTCACCAAGACAGGGGAATTGCAATAGAGAAAGAGTAATTCATGCAGAGCCAGCTGTGCAGCAGACCATAGTTTTATTATTACCCAAATCAGTCTCTCCAAGCATTCAGGGAGCAGAGTTTTTAAGGACAACTTGGTGGGTGGGGGGAAGCCAGTGAGCCAGGAGTGCTGATTGATCAGAGATGAAATCATAGGGAATTGAAGCTGTCTTCTTGTGCTCAGTCAGTTCCTGGATGTGGGCCACAAGATCAGATGAGCCAGTTTATTGATCTGGGTGGCGCCAGCTGATCCACCAAGTGCAGGGTCTACAAAATATCTCCAGCACTGATCTTAGGAGCAGTTTAGGGAGGGTCAGAATCTTGTAGCCTCCAGCTGCATGACTCCTAAACCATAATTTATAATCTTGTAGCTAATGTTAGTCCTACAGAGGCAGTCTAGTCCCCAGGCAAGAAGGAGGTCTGCTTTGAGAAAGGGCTGTTACTGTCTTTGTTTAAGCTATAAACTATAAACAAGTTCCTCCCAAAGTTAGTTCTGCCTACACCTAGGAATGAACAAGGGCAGCTTGGAGGTTAGAAGCTAGATGGAGTCAGTTAAGTTAAATCTCTTTCATTGTCTCAGTCGTAACTTTGCAAAGGCAGTTTCAGTTATGTTGCTTTATGTCATTAAGTTTGAGGTGGTTTGTTATACAACTGTAGACAACCAGAAATCTGAAAGCCCACATGATGCAGCCTGTTAGGGGGTTAGCCTTTTGGGCAGGGAGCAAGGCAAAGAAAGAGCAGAAAATTGGTTTGGGGGAGTACAGAAAGGATAACCAACACATTTCCTTTAAATTCCTCCTGCACAGTGAGGACTAAGCTCTGATTTTTTTATCTTGCCCAAATTCCTATCTAAGGACCCTGGGGAATCATGCCCTACAAACCATAAATTCTCATCAGATGGGTTTTATTTAACCCTACATATTGTGACTTACTTTCCAACCTGACTCTGGTATAACATTATGAGACAAGGAAGAAAATACAAAATTTTACCACAAAACGTTTCTTTTCCATATCTTGAAATGGCCCTGCAAAGCTGTCCTTTGTGGCGGAAAATTTGCATCTGTAAAGAATCTCTATTAACATAGCTAGCTCTTTTTCTTCCAGGCCCTTCCAATCCTGAAGAGATTAACTACAAGTTTAGCACCTTTTAAAGATCTGAATAGGAAAATTTTGTCATCTATTGTCTCTAAGGGCAGAGTTTGACTCTTTTTGTCCACAACAGTATAGCCAGAATAACTCATCCACCATGCTAACCTGGAATCTGGTCACTCCTGTGATGAGAACTCTTCATTGCCTACAAGTGAAAGCCTAAGCCTGGCACACAAGAACTGCCAGGGCTTTGCATTCCCTGCTTCTCAGTACCGTCTCCAGAAACTTCCTGCTGTGTGATTTATTTTAACGATTATCCTGGAATTTTTATATTTCTCCCCACACACTCTGCTGTTTCTTTCCTCCAAGTCTTTTTATGACTTGCCCTTTAGAATATGCTTTCCATTCTTTTTTTACTTTTCCACTTATCAATCTTAAGCATCACCTCCTTTATGAGTTGGGTCTAAAAATTATATATATCTATGTATCTATATCTATATATATATCTGTTTCTTATATATTTCTTTAATATGTTATCCTAATATAATAAAACCATCTGTCAGTCTGGGTCTGCCTCCTGTTAAACAAAAAATTATTCATGACACTTGTTAAAGATGGTAAGACAGACTTTATCCAGGGGGACCACTACAATGGAGTTTTGCAGTAGGGGAGAAGGGTTGGATGTAACTCTGAATACAACAAGGAAAAGTCAGAATTTATACCCAACGGGTGGCGTGGGGGGCCAGTAAATGAAAAATTACTAAAAGGAGATATCAAGGGTAAGGGAAGATTCTGGTTAAACTGACCTAACAGGATTCTTGCTGAAGACAAGCCAGGGGGATCAGACATCACCTGGGGGATGGTGGAGAATGAGGAACCCGATCAGATAGCAAGGATGATTGGATATCAAGAATGGGGAATTCTGGCTAAATTTACTTACCATGATCCTGGACAAAATTAGACTATGCAGAGACAAACACAGAAGCCTAACAGTAAGGGCCTCAATGAGAAGAAAGTTCAAAGGAGCCTGAGTAGAGTTTGGACAAGGAGAGAGACTCTTTATCACCTCCCTCCAGGGGAAGCTCCTAAAAGGCTAGGAAAAGCTTTCATTCATGTTTGTATCTCAATACACAGCACCTGCCCATAGAGATGGCCTGAATGGAAGCCCAGGCTTTTATTTGTCTGGAGTCTAGACTTTATAGTCTATAAGGACTATGAAGGACAGGGACCATTTTAGTCTCATTCACAACTCTAACCCCAATGCCTCATAAAAGGACTGGCAAGCAGGTGCTCAAAAACAGCCCTTGAGGAGGGGAGGTAGGGCAAGATGGCTGAGTAGAAGCTTCCAATTATTGTCCATCCTGCAGGAACACCAAATTGAACAACTATCCACACACAACAAAGGACCTTCATAAGAACCAAAAATAAGATGAGTGATCACAGTGCCTGGTTTTAACATCATATCATGGAAAGAGGCACTGAAGAGGGTAGGAAAGACGGTCTTTTTGTTTCAGTTGAAAATTGATATGGTTTGGATCTGTGTCCCTGCCCAAATCTCATGTGGAATTGTAATCCCCAATGTTGGAGGAGGGGACTGGTGGGAGGGGATTGGATCATGGGGGCAGATTTTCCCCTTGTTGTTCTTATGATAGTGAGTGAGTTCTCATGAGAGGTGGTTGTTTAAAAGTGTGTAGCACCTCCCCCTTCTCTGTCTCGTCCTCCTGCTCTGGTCATGTAAGATGTGCCTGCTTCTCTTTTGCCTTCTGCCATGATTATAAGTTTCCTGAGACTCCCCAGAAGCTATCACGCTTTCTTTACAGCCTGTGGAAACATAAGCCAGTTAAACCTCTTTTCTTTATAAATTACCCAGTCTCAGGTATTTCTTTATAACAATGCAAGAACTGACCAATACAGAAATGCTCTGTTGGGGTTTTTTAAAAAAGTTTTTGGGGTACAGGTGGTTTTTGGTTACATGGAAAAGTTCTTTAGTGGTGAGTTCTGAGATTTTGATGCACCTGTCACACAAGCAGTGTACACTGTGCCCAACATGTAGTCTTTTATCCCTCGTGCCCTCCCCACCCAGTCCCCAATGTCCCCAATGTCCATTATATCATTCTTATGCCTTTGTGTCCTTATAGCTTAGTTCCTACTTATAAGTAAGAACATATGATATTTGATTTTCCATTCCTGAGTTTCTTCACTTAGAATAATGGCCTCCATTCAAGTTGCTGCCAAAGACACTATTTCATTCTTTTTTATGTCTGAGTATGATTCCATATGCCACATTTTCTTTATCTACTTGTTGGTTGATGGGCACTTAAGTTGGTTGCATATTTTTGCAACTGTGAATTGTGCTTCTATAAACATGCATGTGTGTGTCTTTTTCATATAATGACTTCTTTTCCTTTGGGTAGATACCCAGTAGTGGGATTACTGGATTAAATGTTAGTTCTATTTTTAGTTCTTTAAGGAATCTTCATACTGTTTTCCCATTGGTTGTACTAGTTTACATTCCCACCAGCAGTGTAAAAGTGTTCTCTTCTCCACATCCACACCAGCACCTATTATTTTTTGACTTTTTAATTATGGCCATTCTTGTAGCAATAAGGTGGTATCTCATTGTGGTTTTAATTTGCATTTCCCTGATAATTAGTGATGTCGAGCATTTTTTTTTCATATGTTTGTTGGCTGTTTGTATATCCTCTTTTGAGAATTTTCTATTCATTTCCTTTGCCCACTTTTTTATGGGATAATTATTATTATTATTATTTTGCCAATCTGTTTGAGTCCCATAAAGATTCTGGGTATTAATTCTTTGTTGGATGCATAGTTTGTGAATATTTTCTCCCACTCTGTGGGTTGTCTGTTTACTCTGCTAATTATTTCTTTTGCTATGCAGAAGCTTTTGTTTAATTAAGTCCCATTTATTTTTGTCTGGCAGCTTGGATGCCAGCTCAGCCACAGTAGAATAGAGCACTAAGTATATTCTTAAGTTTCCAAACTCCAGTCCTTGGCTCCCAGATGGCATCTTCTGGCCCACCCAAGGCTAGAGGGAACTCACCACCCTGAAGGAAAGGACACAAGCTTGGCTGGATTCACCACCTGCTGATTGTAGAGCCCTTGGGCCTAGGGTGAACATAGGTGGTAACCAGGAAGTGGTCACCATGGGCCTTGCACAAGACCCAGTGCTGTGCTGGCTTTGGGTCTGACCCAATGCTGTCCCAGTGGTGGTAGTCACAGTGTTACGGGGGCGGGGGGGGAGGGGGGGTCCTTGTTCTTAGAGCTCCCAAGATGGTGACAGGCTGCTTCCAAGATGGCGGCAAGCCTCTTGTTCTTTGACCTGGGGTTCTTGGCCTCACAGATTCCAAGGAATGGAATCTTGGGCCATGCGGTGAGTGTTATAGCTCCATTCAGCTCAGTTAGGACGAACCCTGAGCACTTAGCCCATGCAGGACCAATGGCGAGCCTCCAGCCTGATCGGGAGCGGCAATGGGAGCTGCCTCACTGGATCAGAAGTGCAGTGGACACCCTGCTGGATCTGGAGGGGTGGAAGTCAGTGGTGGGTCTGCAACGGTGGCAAACACAGTGGTGGACCGCGAGTGAAAGCTCAGCTCGAGCCATAACAAACACAGACCAGAAGAGTGTGCAGTTGCAAGATTTAATAGAGTGAAAACAGAGCTCCCATAAAATGGGAGGGGATCCAAAGGGGGTTGCCGTTGCCAGCTTGAATCTCTGAGTTTATATCCCGATCATTGTCCCTCCTCCTGTGCTCTCAGGCGATAGATGATTGGCTATTTCTTTACCTCCTGTTTTTGCCTAATTCACATTTTAGTGAGCTCTCTTTACTACATGATTGGTTGGGTGTGAGCTAAGTTGCAAGCCCCATGTTTAAAGGTGGATGCGGTCAACTTCCCAGCTAGGCTTAGGGATTCTTAGTCAGCCTAGGAAATCCAGCTATTCCTGTCTCTCAACAGAGATGCTTGTGTTACCCCTCTCCCAGCTCCAGACAGCTCAGCACAGAGAGTGAGACTCCATTTATTTCAGAGAAAGGAAGGGAAGAGAACAAAAGTCTCTTCCATGTAATGCAAAGAATTCTACCAAATCTTACTCAAGAACACCAAGATGGTACCTCTGTGAGTCTTCAAAAGCCACAGCATTACTGGGCTTAGGGGACCACAAATGCAGCTATGGTTGCAGTGACCAGAGACTTAGACCACAATATTCAAGTCCCTTCAAATACTTGAAAAACCTTCCCAAGAAGGACAGGTATAAACAAGCCCAGACTGCAAAGACTACAATAAATACCTAATTCTTCAACTCCCAGATACTGACGAACATCAACAAGTATCAAGGCTGTCCAAGAAAACGTGACCCCACCAAGTGAACTAAATAAGGCATCAGGGACCAATCCTGGAGAAACAGATATCTGACCTTTCAAACAGAGAATTCAAAATAGCTGTGTTGAGGAAACTCAAAGAAATTCAAGATAACAGAAGGACTTCAGAATTTTATCTGATAAATTTCACAAAGACATTGAAATAATTTAAAGGAATCAAGAAGAAATTCTGGAGCTGAAAAACACAATCAACATACTGAAGAATGCTTCAGTCTCTTAACAGCAGACTTGATCAAGCAGCAGAAAGAATTACTGAGCTTGAAGACAGGCTAATTGAAAATACATAGGCTTGGCGTGGTGCCTCATGCCTATAATCCCAGCACTTTCGGAAGCCGAGGCAGGCAGATCACTCGAGGTCAGGGGCTCACGACCAGCCTGGCCAATATGGTGAAATCCCAACTCTACTAAATATACAAAAAAAATTTAGCTGGATGTGGTGGCAGGGCGCCTGTAATTCCAGCTACTCCGGAGGCTGAGGGAGGAGAATCACATGAACCCAGGAGGTGGAGGTTGCGGTGAACCAAGATTGTGCCACTGCACTCGAGCCTGGGCAACAGAATGAAGACTCCATCTAAAAAAGGAAAGGAAATAAAAGAAAAACACAGAGAAGACAAAAGAAAAAAGAATAAAAGAGAATGAAGCACACCTAGAAGATCTAGAAAATAGCCTCAAAAGGGCTAATCTGAATTATTGGCCTAAAAAGGAGGTAGAGAGAGAGAGATTTGGGTAGAAAGTTTATTCAAAGGGATAATTAATAACAGATCATTTACCAAACCTAGAGAAAGATATCAATATTCAAGTACAAGAAGGTTACAAAACACCAAGCCAATTTAACCCAAAGAAGACTATTTCAAGGCATTTAATAATCAAACTCCCAAAGGTCAAGAATAAAGAAAGGATCCTAAAAGCAGCAAGACAAAAGAAGCAAATAACACAAAAAGGAGCTAAAACTGGAAATCAATAACAAGAAGAATTTTGTAAACTATATAAGCACATGGAAGTTAAACAATATGCTCCCAAAAAAACCAGCAGGTCAGTGAAGAAATTAAGAAGAAAATTGAAAAAATTTCTTGAAACAAATGAAAACAGAAACACAATATACCAAAACCTATGGGATACAGTGAAAGCAGTACTAAGAGGAAAGTTTTAACAATAAGAACCTACGTCAAAAAAGTAGAAAATCTTCAAACAAACAACCTAATGATATAAAAGAACTAGAAAAGCAATAGCAAACCAAACCCAAAATTAGTAGAAGAAATGAAAAAGATCAAGCAGAAATAAATGAACTTAAAATGAAAAGAACAATATGAAAGATCAACAAAACTAAAAGCTGGTTTTCTGAAAAGATAAACGAAATCAACAAAACTTTATTCAGACCAACTAAGAAAAAGAAGACCCAAATAAATAAAATCAGAGATGAAAAGGGAGCCATTACAAATGATACCACAGAAATTCTAATCATTAGAAGCTACTACGAGCAACTATATGCCAATAAATTGGAAAACCTAGAAAAAATTGATAAAAAATACACACAACCTACTCAACTTGAACCATGAAGAAATGCAAAACCTGAACAGACCAATAGCAAGTAATGAGATCAAAGCTGTAATAAAAAGTCTCCCAGCAAAGAAAAGGCCAGGATCCAATGGCTTCATTGCTGAATTTTACCAACCATTTAAAAAAGAACTGGCCAGGCATGGTGGCTCACGCCTGTAATCCCAGCACTTTGGGATGCCAAGGCGGGCAGATCACAAGGTGAGGAGATCGAGACCAACCTGGCTAACATGGTGAAACCCCGTTTTACTAAAGATAGTCCTTGCTAGGTTTTATGCCTTGCTTCAGGCGAGAAGAGCAGGAGTGTGGGGGAGGTCAGAGTGAACTTCCTGGTTCCGTGGACTTCTGAAATTCCTCCATCTTAAAATATTTAATATGCTAATGTGCCATATTTTGGGGTAGCATGTCCTGAACCACATTGTATGAAAATAGGCTTTTTTAATAAAAGGATTTTTTTAATGAAAAGGAAGATGCTGAAGCAATAGGTAACTTATAGACTGTTAACATCCTTTCTGTTAAAGAAAAAATTATTCTGACATTTTTCTAAATGGTAAGGAAGACTTTATTCAGGACTGTTGTGATAGAGTCAGCACTATCTTAATAGGGGATAGAGATTGGGCTGAACTATAAATACTGCAAAGATAGCTGGGGAGTTATAGCCACTCAGCAGAGTGAAGGGGTCAGTGGGTAGAAAATTACTAAGAGGAGATCTCAAAGGTAGGGAGAATTCTTGATAAACCAATTGAACAAGAATCTTGCCAAAGGCAGGCCAGGTTGATCAGTACCAAGGGTGGGAGAATTCTCACTAAACTGACTTAGTAGCATTCTTGCTACAACTGAATGAAGTGGATCAGTATATGCCACCTCAAAACATTCCACTTTGGCACACAAATTATTTTGAGCTGAAGATATTTGAGTTTCTGAAATCCCTTGTATGCCTAAAAGCAGAGTCTCCAAAAAAAAGAAAAAAAAGAAAAAAAACTCAACAAAATTCAATTGTCATAAATCCCCTGCCCAAGAGCAACTTCAATCTTCTCAGAAGTAAGAAGTCAGCACCACACTCAAACACACACCATCACAAGACTATCATATCTCCCATCTATTCTCCTAAGGGTCCATTTATATTTCCAAAAAGTTATTTGCTTTTCTATAAGCACCCTTTCTCCCTCCTCCCTTTCTCCTACTAAGTTGGGTATATATGGTCCCTAACTTCTAGCCACCCCTTTGAGTTACTCATCACTGAGTGCTCCCCTGTGTATATAAGATGTACATGTTAACAAATTTCTGCTTGTTTTTCTCTTGTTAATCTGTTTTTTGATGGTCAAAGTTATGGGGCCCTAGACAATGAATCTAAGATGTGTAGAGGAAAAAGTTTAGTTTTCCTCCCCTACATAGCCTAGGCAGGCGGTAGACAGGACCCAAGTCCTAGTAGGCAAAAAGGACTCAAAGGAGCCTGTCTAAAGTTTGGCCAAGGAGTGAGTCTTTGTCAGGTCTGAGCTCAAACTGTAGCTGACCACACTATTTATAGGGCGTCATCTAAACTCCAAGAGCACTCTGTGACTATGGTCTAAATGGAGCCAAAGACACGCATGTGGCATTTGAGCCTTCTGGCTTTGTATCTTAGTTTCATGTTGCTTCTACTACACTATTCACAAAAAATGAAAGGACAAATGTCACCTAACTAAAAATGACCCAGTGGTTTTTCATAAATCTCCCCCCAAATCCTATAAAACTGAAGGTTCTCCTGGGAATTCTACCATAGAAGAAAATATTTAAATTATTTTTTAATTACAAAGTTATTTTTTAATAAAAGGGGTAGCAAAGATTCTTGGCTGCATTCAGGAAGCTTTTGAGCAAAATTAATATGGGCACATTCTAGCAGAAGCTTATATACCCTTTTTCATAGAGGGAGAAAGCAGATAAGGAATGTAGAGAATTCTTTTGAGGGGCAGCATATAATTATTAGAGAGAATGAATAAATAGAAATTAACTTGTAAATTATTCTATTTGAAACTTAAATGAGCCCAAGAGGCAGGCATTATTTTGTGGAAAAGTCCATCCAGATGTGGTTGCATGATAGATAATGAGATTTCAGGGAGGGGAAGAAGGCAATTGTGTTTCTTTTGCAAAGAAGCCTTTCTTGGTTAAGTAAAAAAAAAATTCTAGAGAGAGTTACTTCCTGTGCTTGAGGATGAGGGTACAAGACAAGGTTGGAGGGACCTCGATTCTAAGGCGCTTCTAAGGCCTCTCAGCATGTCAAAGCACTAGTCTTTAGGATATCTCCTTCTGAGCCTTAACATTCCCCTGTCTGAAACTACCCTAGAAGTTTCATACATTAAAAGCTGAGTTGGTGGCTGTGGAGAGGAAAATCGAGTCAATAGCTGAGTGGTAAAGGATCCCATTAAACCAGTATCTCATTTGTGCCTCTCCTTCCCTCCCTTCTCTCTTTTTTTTTTTTTTTTTTTTTTGAGACAGCGTCTGACTCTTGTCGCCCAGGCTGGAGTGCAATGATGCAATCTCCTTATTAAATGGAAGAGAGAGGGTTTCACCACCTTGGTCAGGGTGCTCTTTAACTCCTGACCTCGTGATCCACCCACCTCAGCCTCCCAAAGTGCTGGGATTACAGGCGTGAGCCACCGTGCCCAGCCCTATTCCTTTACTTTCTTAATAAACTTGCTTTCACTTTATGAATTTGCTTCAAATTATTTCATGTGCAAGATCCAAGAACCCTCTCTTGGGATCTGAATCGGGACTCCTTTCTGGCAACAGGGAGACAAGAGAAGGTTAGAGGAACCTTGAATGTGAAGCAGCCCCTAAGGCCTCTTGGCATGTCAAAGTGCCAGTCTGTAAGGCTCTGGTTCTCTTTGACAGGAGTAAAATAAATTATTTAACATGAGTTCATTTTTCTATCTTTATGAGAGTCATGATTTTACCTTTTTCTGAAAATTATCTTTTTACAGCCTTCTCTGACTCTCACCGAAGCATATCTCTCACTTTTTCAAAGAAAAATTGATTTAATACATATCTCTTCCAGAAAATCTTCATGATGTATTCCTTTAGTGCTTAACCACTTTATGTGTGATAAATCTGTGATGTTGTTGCTTTGTTCTTATGAGGATTTACTATCTAAAATTAGATCAAGTTCCCAAGAATTAAGTCATGTGTTTCTTTGTTATATCCAAACAAGGATCTTGCATAAGACTCTGTGTGGAATTTATGTTTGCAGTAACATCCTTCTAAGGTGTCAGCCTGACCGCCACCTCCACAAAGGCAGAGGCAGAAGGCAGGAATCATGCAAAAAAGGCAGAGGAGCACAGAAAACAGCCATTAACAAAGCCAGTGCTCTAAAGCTGACCTATTTCATTGCCCTGAGCCCTCATTCAGACTTTGGAATTCCTCCCCTTACACAACACTCACTAACAAGCTTGTTGTCTAGTCTCCTCCTATAGCAAATTAGAAGCAATTACATGAAGTAGGCTCTTAGAAATAGGCATGTTGACAGAAGAGTGAGGAATAGCTGTTGAGTAGCTGAGGGAAAGGATTTTTTTAAGTAAACCAAATAAAATTAGTGATTATATTGCTGGCTACTTTAAAAGCAATGAATGTCTATAGAAAAGGGCTTGGAACTGTGAATAATACCTTCTGCTAATGTAGAGCAAAATATAATGTATTGTTGGAAGATGTACTTCACATAAGTGAAGGATTCATATATATGACATGCCTCCATTCACAAGTATATTATATTTGGTATACTGAAAGACAGAGAATACATCCTAATTATTGTTTGGTTAATATTATGATATCAGTACCTGCTAAGGCACTTACATTAGAGTTTAATGATCAGAATACTGGAAGAAAACACTGATAATCATTTAAAAAACAGCTGCTGAAGACACATCTTATAGTCAGGTACTACAGAATATACCTCTTTAGCATAATGATTATTTTGAGCTGATTATTTTGAGAAATTGCAGACACAGGAAAAGCTCTGAAAACAGAGTAGAAGTTACTGCTTTATAAGGGAAATTTACATGTATAAATGAAATCTCAATTTGCAAGGGTGTCTCTCTCTCTCTCAGTACCAGGAAGAAAATGATTACCGTAAATCACTAGAGATTCTTATCAATGGGGAAGGCATAGACTTAAATCTGTATAACAACCCTTGCCCTTGTTTTCCTTGCTTTTCCTAGTCATCTCATAACTGGCCTCCCCAACACCATTCTTTCTTTGTTTTAATTGAAGATGGCATTTAAGACTAAACTCTAAGCCACCTCTTGGAGATTATTCATTTCTCTGGGTATCTCTCATATATACATGAGGTTTACATGTGAATAAACTTCTGTTTGTTTTTCTCTTGTTCATCTGTCTTTTGTTACAGGGGTCCATCCCAATTGAGAATTATGAAGGTGAAGACTAAGCTCTGATTTTTTTTTTTTTTAATCTTGCCCAAATTCCTATCTAAGGGGCCTGGGGAATCATGCCCTACAAACCATAAATTCTCATCAGATGGGTTTTATTTAACCCTATATATCATGGCTTACTTTCCAACCTGACCCTGGCATAACGTTACGAGACAAGGAGGAAAATCAAAATATTTTACCCCAAAATATGTTTCTCTGCCATATCTTGAAATGGCCTTGCAAAGCCGTCCTTTGTAGGGGAAAATCTGTATCTGTAAAGAATCTCTATTAACATAGCTAGATCTTTTTCTTCCAGGCCTTCCCAATCCTAAAGAGATTAACTAAAGTCTACCACCTTTTAAAGATCTGAATAGGAATTATTTTTCATCTATTGTCTCTAAGGGCAGCCACTATAAAACTGTTTCCTTTCTATTGATCCCAGGTTCCCAGGTCTTTAGACAAACTCAACCAACTGTCAATCAGAAAATGTTTAAATTTATCTATAGCCTGGAATCCCCACCCACCCCCTTACCCCCTGTCCCCCTCCCCCTCCCCTCCCCCTCCCCCACCCCCATGCTTTGAGTTGTCCCGCCTTTCTGAATCAAACCAATGTATTTCTTAAATGTATTTGATTGATGTCTCATGTCTTCTTAAAATATATAAAACCAAACTGTACCACTATCACCTTGGGCACATGTTCTTGGACCTCCTGAGGGCTGTGTCACAGGTCACGGTCACTCATATTTGGCTCAGAATAAATCTCTTCAAATATTTTACACAGTTTGACTCTTTTTGTCAACAAAGGGTAGAGAGAAAATTAGTTTTCCTCCCCTACAAATCCAGTATTCTAGAGAACCTGCTTTGGGATTCAGATCACAGCAGGGCTTTTCGTCCCTTAAGCAAGCCTTGCAACAAACCCAATTTTGAGCATTCCCAACTCTGCTAAGCTCTTCCTACGAAAGGCAAGACTTCGTTTTGATGAGCTTACTCAAAAATCAGGAGCTTATCATAAGATCATCACTTATGTCTCTGGCCGTGTGGCCGAGGCTTGTTCCCCCCTGTTTATATGCCATGGGGCAGCAGCTAGATTGGTGGAAGCTCCAGCAGATATCTTCTTTGCCTCTCCCTCACCCTAGAGATTCCTGAGGAGTAGAAATCTTATTACTTCAGAATAACACTCAATGGTTGTCAGCCAGTCTCATTGCCTTCTATGAAGTTCTGTTATGTTCTGCTTCACCCAAAACTGTTAAATATTGTTCTAATCCAAGTGCTGATATCCTACTTCCTCTTTTGAATGACTGAATGTCATGAATGTCTAGCAGCTATTTAAACTCTCAGTATTCTTCAGCCTGACACTTGATGCTCTTCTACAGCAATGCCTCTCAAAGTATAGTCCCCAGACCAGCAGCCTCAGCATCATCTGGCACTTTTTCTGGGATCCGCATTGTTGGGCCCCACTCCAGATCTTCTGAATTCAAAACTCTGGAAGTGGAAACCAGCATTGTGTAGTTCAACAAGCCCTCCAGGTGATTCTGACGCATGCTAAAGGTTGAAAACCTTGAGAACCACTGGCTAGAAAACTCTGATATGATGTTTGTTGATGGCTCATATCTTGAGAATAAGCGAAGCATATTTTGTGCTGGCTATGCCATAAGTTCTGACTATTCTGCTATTATAGCTGTTCTTTATCAATAGCTCACTCCACTCAAATAGCTGAATGACAGTTACATCACCAGCATGTCACCTTGCTAAACACTTGAGTACACATCTATACAAATAGATGTATCTTTGGAGTTGCTCATGATTTTTTTAGTACATTATGAAAACAAAGAGGTTTTCTAATCTCACCAGGCACCCCAACTAAAATGGAAAAAAAAGTAATTTATAAGAGGCAATATAACATCCAAATGAAGTATAGATTAGAAATGGAGAAACTCATTCTAAAGGTAGTACTTTTAAAGCAAAAGGGAATTTCTGACTATTATGTAAAATAAGCAGTCCTTTCTGTTCTTGCTACAGTAGGTATTCTAAAGACACTTACTCAATCTGATTTAATGAATCCTGAATGACTTATTCAAATATGATAACCTGCCACTTCAGAAGAAAAGAAATAGTGGCCTTCTCCAAACTGTCACATGTGCAATAATGGGCTTTGGCATTGCCAGGATGAGTGCTTAATGTCACCAGAGGCCATCTCCAGACCTTTAGTGCTTTCTCTGTGAAATTATTCACAATGACAAATTGCTCAAATTTTTCAAAAATCTCGCTGAGAAAAATCTTCCTTGAGACAGGTGGCCAAATCTTGCCTTCTCTGTTGTTATCATGACCCAGGAAAAGCTGCAGAAAAAGGCAAAGTTCAGAACCTTTGCCTCAAAAACCATTTGAACATTTCCAAATGGATTTCATTCAGTTATAATGGTGCGTTAGGTTTATACTTGGATTAAAGTTTTCCCTTGCTAAAAGGTGAAAAGATAGATAGATAGATAGATAGATAGATAGATAGATAGATAGATAGATAGATAGAGATAGATAGATAGATAATAGATTGATAGATATTGTTTTTTCCCACCTGCATTACTCTCTAGTGATAGAGTACATATATTACTCTCTAGTGATAGAAAATTTCACTTTACAGGTGGAAATACTTAAGAAACTGTGTAAAGTACTCCCATTAAAACAAAAACTTCCTTGCTCACATTGATCCACTCACTAAGTTTTTGCAAAATAGAATGGGCCAATGATCTCTCATAATACTCAGAAGAGTTTAATCTCTCCTGACCTAAACTCTAACCATCAGCTGTAACGATAGGCAATAGTCATCTCATCTCAAAATCTTAACAGGCTCTCCCCTTGAAACAATTCCAGGAAGACCCATGAGACTGTGATGACTCCTCCTCTATCGGATTCCACCTTGTAAACACTTCAAGCTTGTCAAATATTGTCAAAAATGACATCATATGCCCAACAGGTGCAAGCTGCATTTTCAAAGAGAATATTACCAGCTATACCCTTACATGATTTGTAGTCAGGAGACTGGAGATGCTGGAAGAGAAACTGATGAAAGTTGGTTGTACTAGATGGGCAGGCCAAGGTGGGAGGATCACTTGAGGCTGAGAGTTCAAGATCAGCCTGGACAACATAGCAAAAAACTTTAAAAATTAGCTGGGCATGATGGTGTGTACTGTAGTCTCAGCTACTCAGGAGGCTGAGGCAGAGGATTGCTAGAGCCCAGGAGTTCAAGACTGCAGTGAGCTATGATCACACCACTGCACTCCACCCTGTGCAACAGAATGAAACCCTGTCTCTGAAAAAGAAGAAGAAGAAGAAGAAGAAGAAGAAGAAGAACAAGAAGAAGAAGAAGAAGAAGAAGAGGCACACTAGAAAAGACCATTTCAGGTCCTTTTAACTACAAGTACTACATTTTAACTCCAGACTGTGTAGCCATGGGTACATGCAAGCCAGTGTCAGTGTGTTAAGTATCCTACCACTGAGACATCTCTCCAGTCCCACTAGAGACTTAACTCTGAGAGTCATCAAAAAGGACTGCATAAGCAAAGACTTCCTGAAGTGGAGAGCCCTCTCCCAAGACCTTCTAGTTAAGATCCAGAATCAGGGCAACAGACCCTCATTTTATTATTTGACTCCTCTTTTTCCCTTTATTGTTTTTATTTTGTGGTATCTCAAGATACTAGATTGTTAAAATGGTCACCCTACTCTTTTTTTTCCATTTTTTTAACACTTTCATTTTCCAGAAACTCTGTGAATTTGCCTTTCTCAAACAACTGCAACAACAGCCAATCTTTTCAGCTGCTGGATTTCTCATCCAGCCCCAGATGTTCTAGTAAGACCCTTATACCCATGCCTATAGGACTAAATGGTATCAGATTTCACCCTAAGACTGACCATGTCATTCCCTTCTATCTTCAATACAGAAATATTAACCTTGAGACATCTATATGCCTTAACTTGACACTAGGTCATTAACAATTAACTGTTGTTTCTGATATTTCCAAGAACTTTCAAAGAAACTGGGGAAATATCAAGAATAGGATAGGCATGAGACTAATGATGCAAACTATAGTCCAATTATTTTACCACAAATCTAAACAAAAACTATATAAATGATTTATTTAACTCTAGAGTGTTTTCGTCAACAATCAGATCTATTAAATTCAGACAATAAGTGGTACCTACCATAAACAACACATATATGCCTTCTCAATGTGCACTTCTGGGACTTTCTTTGGGTGTAATAAAATGGATTTTCTATGCTTGCTGCATTAAAATATGCTGTACACTTTCAGTATATTCATTCAGCCTTTCCAAACATTCAAAACAGAACCTCCCAGTGATCTTATTTTATTAATATTTTGACATGTTACCTTACCAGGAGGTATCCATGATACTGTATTTTACTGATTTGTGCAAGGATTTATACTCTGAGCAGGAGTTCCTGAAATAGATCATGTTATCCACAATTTATATCAGACTTTGGCTCAAATAGCAAATGAAATAGCTCAAGCATTAGAAGCAGAACATTTAAGCGTAAATCTATCAGATAGAATTTTTATTTGCTCACCAGCCAAGCTGGAGTCTTAGAATTTTTATTTGCTCACAAGCCAAGGTGAAGTCGGGGCAATGGGTGACACATTTTATTATGTCTGGATAAATACTTCAGGAGAAATGGGGCAATAAATCAATGAATGAATGAAAAAGCCACTTGCTTATCTAATATTGGCCAAACTAATCCTTTGGCAAGTTTGACGAAGCCCAAATTGCTCTCCTGGTTGGGCTTTGGGAAACTAAAACATTGGACATGAAGTGAGTTTCGATATTTATTATTATGATTGAACTTAGGCTTTTTGCCCTCCTCCACCGTCTAACTCCAACTGCCTAAATGTGCCTGCACAGCCAGGATCTCAAAACAACAGTTAACCCATGATCAGAGTCAAAAGGAACCTGAAACCTTCATAGTCAGCCCGGCTTGGTTGCTGAGTGACTGAGGCAGTAGTTGAGAAATTCTGGAAGGGAGCTGGTGCCCAAATGACATAGCTGAGATGAAGGTGTTAACTAAAGACAGTGACAGCCAAAACACAGAGACAGCCTGTCACACATTGCTCATAGCTAAACTTCCGAGGCCTTATGGGGAACCCATAAACAACCGAATTTGTTTTCTTTGAGGACCTAGTCTGCTGTCCAAGGGCAGAACAGCCCACTTGGCCCCTTGCTGGTCACCAGTTCGCCCAGCAAGAGGAAAGCAGGGTTCACCATTTTCAAATATGCCTGTGGTTTTCCTTCTTACCTCTCTCTTCTTCTTCCTTGTAGATAAATCCTTTGTTAGATGAAATCAATCTGTTATTAGTATTTTGTATTCAAGTAAGTTAGCTTGATAATAACTAACAATATGCCTTTGAGTTATTCTTTGAAACATGCCACCTAACCTCAATGAACCTCAGTTTACTCATCTTGTGAAATGGGAATGCACAGTACACATCTAGAGAGAATTAAGTGAAATCATGAAAGTGACAGTGCCTAGCACTGGATCTGGCACATATGCAGAAAAGTTGCCTGTCCAGATGGAGTTAATGAGGAAGGTGTTCAATCAAGCAGTCAACAAGCATTACAGGTAGGTAAGTGCCTAAGTGGAATGCTTAGTGAAATCCTAATCAATCAATTAACCATCATATGTGTTTTCAGTTCCTCGCCCTGGGGAAGATATGAAAGGACAGACAAGATCCCTTCCTTTAAGGAAACAGAAGATGAGTCAGAGAGATAAAATACACGCATGGCACAATACGTCAAGAACATGGCTATGGTGGGACTTCACAATTTGAATAAACTGCAGAAGGACAAAGGAGGGCGAGGACAGTTAATGTAAGAGTGCATGAAGGTAAGGAGGAGCAGAGTCAGGCCCACCAGGTAATCAGAACCCTCCATCTCAGCTCCCTTCTGATGCCCCAACAGAGTTCTTCAGCACATGTTATAGGCAATACCGTACAGCAAGCTTGTTCAACCTATGGCCCTCATGCCACATGCGGCCCAGGATGGCTTTGAATTTGGCCCAACACAAATTTGTAAACTTTCTTAAAACATTATGAGTTTTTTTTCAATTTTTTTCTAGCTCATCAGCTATCGTTAGTGTTAGTGTATTTTAGGTGTGGCCCAAGACAATTCTTCTTCTTCCAATGTGGCAAAAGATTGGACACCCTCACCCCTGCCCCAGATTGAAATCTTGAGTTATATAAATTATCTGTTCCTCAGTTTCCTCATCTATAAAATAGAAATAACAATACCTACTTGCAAGAGTTGTGTGCTTTAAATGAGATAATGGGTGAAAAGCACTTAGCACAGTGCCAATACAAAGCAGGCAAAATATAATAGTTATTATTATTTCAGTTATTTGTTATTGGCATTGTCTTTCTAGTCTCTGTTCTCTCACATCCTCTCTTCCAACCATGTTAGAAAATACCACTTTGCTCCCAGTTTCACAGATTCCTTGCTCTTTCTGGCTTCTACCTTTGTTTATGCTGAATGTACTACAGCCCGTTCCCTCCACCTTTACCCTCCAAACCTACACAGAACACATCAACCTGCCACTGCCGTTTCCAGTTTTCAAGGTCTAGATTAAATCTGCAAAGACTTCCCAGATTAATTTGCTCACCACTCGATTGCAAGGTTTTTACCTTTTATAGCACTCTTCACAGACAGCATTGCATTATAATTGCTTTTGTAGGCAAAAGCCTCTAATTGGCTTCTGAGGCAAGCATACTGCTTTATTAACCTTTGCTTTCCCCATGGCCAGCCTAAAAAAAGGTACATAGTAGGCTAGTTAGAACCAAAAGCCAGAAATTCTTCATTTGGCTTCTCTAGGATAAAGGACAATTAGCAACCCCTGCTTCTAGAGCCCACCAGGATTATGCATTGTATGCATGGGTAGGCCATAAGAGGAACTGATCCAGGAATCAGAACCAACAATCTGAAAATATGTGTGAATTGTGCATCCTTACGGCATTCTGAACAACAAACACTTTTGGTGGCTGAAATCCCTAATGATGATAATTCATAATTACTGGATTGTATGTTTGCTGGTGTGCGTCCACGCGTGCGCACATGTGTGCAAGTCCAAATGCCAAATCTTTGTATTGTGTGGCTTCCTGCATGTTTTTCAGGGTTGCAAAACCCACTAACCAGAGCATATTCAGCTTTAGCCTTGGCTTATATGAGAGCTTTCACTGTGTTGAAATCTAAGGCAAGTATTTTTTAACAAAAGTCAAGTGTGCCCTTTGGGTGAATTGAATTCGATCTCACAGTGAAAGATTGCATTTGTCAGTTTTGATGTACTGTTTCTTTAAATATCACATCTTCTTTTGCATGTTTATTAGCTTCATTAAAGATATTCTGTCTATCTTTTTCATGACATGTCTATCTTTTCCACATCCTTAAAGGCAGAGAAGGACTCAGGAGCCTTCAGAGCTCCCTGTAGAGTCCCCCTTCCTCTCTGCTCAGTCCTGCCAGCTACTGCCCCGCCATTGGCTGCATCTTCTAAAAGATCAAAAAACAAATCAACAACCCTTCACCAGCTTTTGCTACGGAGTTTACGAAAGCATATATTAAATCTAATAACTTTGGTTATGGTGTTCAAGCAGCAGTGGTGGTGAATGGCTTATCCTGCTGACAAATGCACTCCATTAGACTCTACCCTTATCTTGGGCACTGGGAAAGATAAACAGAATAATCCAAAAGATGCCCATGCAGTCGCAGGAACCTGGAGCCATCTGGTCAGGACAGAAATAAATCAGGAATGAAGCTTGAATGAATCTCCAGGGGACTCTGGGACTGAATTAACATTACTCAGATTGAAGAGCAGAGGAAACTGGCAGCAGAGACCACTGAAATGACTTTAATTAACACACAGGGAGCAAAGGGCTTTTAAAACGAAATGTCTTGTATTGGAGCTAAAGCCGAGACAATAATGTGAAAGTCCCCCAGCTTGATAAAGGTACATCACAGCATGTATTGGTTGGCAGATAAGCTCTGGCCTGGTACAGAAACACAACACAACAAAACAGAAATGTCATTTAATTGTCACTTAAACCTCAGAGCTCAACTGATCAGAACTATCCAGCTGCCTTTTGTTAAGAAAGCAGTATACCTCTCAGAATTCTGTATGAGCTTGCATTTTTATATATGCATAGAGTTCCAGGTATAGCAAATCACAATTGTGCAATATTTGAAACATACAGTCATGCATCTTATAAGGACATTTCAGTCAACAATGCACCACATATGTGACAGCAGTCCCATAAGATGATAATAGAGCTAAAAATTCCTATAACCTAGTGACATCATTATGGAAATTCCTATCACCCAGTGATGTCATAGCCATAATGACATCATAGTACAACTCATTACCTTGCCTATGTTTGGATATGTTTAGATACACAAATACTTAGCATTGTGGGACAAATGCCTACAGTATTGAGTACAGTAACATACTGTACAGGTTTGTAGCCTAGGAGCAATAGGCTATACCATATAGCCTATAGGTGTGTAGTAGGCTATACCATCTAGGTTTGTATAAGTACACTCCATGATGTTCACACAATGATGAAGTCCATTCTCACTGTAAACCCAGCTACTCAGGAGGCTGAGGCAGGAGAATCACTTGAACCTGGGAGGCGGAGGTTGCAGTGAGCCGAGATTGCACCACTGCACTCCAGCCTGGGCAACAGAGCAAAACTCCGTCTCAAAAAAAAAAAAAAAAAAAGGTTTAATTGACTCAGTTCTGCAGGCTATACAGGAAGCATGAGTGGGAGGCCTCAGGAAACTTACAATCATGGCAGAAGGTGAAGGGGAAGCAAGCACCTCCTTCATGTGGTGGCAGGAGAGAGACAGAGAGCAAAGCGGGAAGTGCAACACACTTTTAAACCATCAGATCTCGTGAGAACTCACTCACTGTTACAGGAACAGCAAGGGGGAAATCCGCTCCCATGATTCAATCGCCTCCCACCAGGCCCCTCCTCCAACACATGGGGATTACAATTCCACATGAGATTTGGGCGGGGGCACAGAGCCAAACTATATCAATATCCCTGTTGTTAAGTGATGCACGACTATAGTTATGTTAAAGAATTTTTTTTTATTATACTATAAAGAATTTTTTGCTGTTTATCTAAAATTCTAATTTAACTGGGTCTCCTATCCTTTATCTGGCAACCTTACTGTGGAAATAAATGAAGACCACCCAAATGAGAACAAACAGAGGCTATTTATTCAGAGCTTGCTACAGAAAGAAAGTCAGCCACCATCATTTGTGGTTGGCAGAGATTCAAAGGCAGGCAGGGGAGTGGGAAAGAGCTTCAGGTATGCCCTGGTTGGAGGCTATTGGTGGGCTAACTAGGAGTTAGACATGTTATGTGATTGGTCTGGGGAGCAGATTTGGCTTTCTCCAGTCAGATGTAAGTTGGAAGCTGGGGCAAAAATATAGGGCAGTTGTTGATGAAGATCTGACTGTTCTGGGCCAGCTGCTGCGGAGATTGTGGTTTGAATTCCCAAGATAGCTGTTGCAGAGGTGGTAGTTTAACCTGCTATAAAGGTTGCAGCAGAGGTGATGGTTGGGCAAAGGACCTGAATAGACATTTCTCCATAGAAGATATACAAATGGTCAGCAAGCACAGGAAAAGATGCTTGACATTTTCGTTATTGGGTAAATGCAAATCAAAATCACAATGTGATACTACTTCAAACCCACTAGGATGGCTATAATCAAAAAGATGGAAAATAACAAGTGTTGCTGAGGAGGCAGAGAAAGAAGAACCTTTATACATTGCTCATGGGAATGTAAAACGGGGAAGCTACTGTAGAAAATAGTTTGGCACTTTAAGTTAAACATAGAATTACTCTATGATCCAACAATTCCACTCCTAGCTGTATACTCAAGAGAAATGAAAACATATGTCCATAGAAAAAATTGCACACAAATACACACAGCAACATTATATACGGTGACCAAAAAAGTAGAAAGACCCTAAATGTCCATCAGCTGATGAATTGGTAAACAAAATGTGGTACATCAATATAATAGAATATTATTCAGCAATAATAAAAAATGAAATACTAATACATGGTACAATGTGGTTGAACCTTGAAAACATTACACAAAGTGAAAGAAGCCAGACACAAAAGGCTACATATTGTATAATTCCATTTACATGAAATGTCCAGAATAGGAAAATCCATAAAGACAGAAAATAGAGTTTCTTTTAGGGGTGATGAAAATGTTCTGGAATTAGTACTGATGGTTGCACAACTTTTGTGAATATACTAAAAATACTGAATGGTATACTTTAAAAAAATACTGATTTTCCTTAGGGGCACATTTTCTAGTTACCACTTTTAATAAGTAAGGTATGTCTTCTAACTTTTGCAGTCCTCCTAAATGTACACCCCCAGGCAGCTGTACAAAATGGACCTGCTTTTGGTCTCTTGTCATTGTCTTATGTTCTTCTACAGGCACAGCTTCTGTGTCTTCTATCTCAGTCCATTAGTTATGACTGGCAAATGCTGATAGAGACCCACATAGAGGACTTTAAAGGTTATCCAGGCCGCTTTATAAAATAGACTAGTTCAGGTGATAGAGTAAGGACTACAAAATATGCTAAGGGTTTAGGAAAGGTTTAAAAAATAGTTATGGTTTTTTTCTCCCTTTCCTTCTGCTTTTATTCTCTCTATAGTCTTAGAAAAGATGATTGTTATGGCCTCTGGTTAGTTTTAATCATCTGGGGGAACCCTGAAAGGCCCTAAATTGCAGCTCTAATGTCCCTTTAGCTGTCTCTGCTTCAACATCTACTACTACTTTGCTTATATTTGATTTATCTCAAGCAGGGTCTTCCAAAAGTGTCTGATCAAGCCATCTCCAATAAGCTGGTTGACTTTAAGATGGTAAAAGCTTTACATCTTACCTTTCTCACTGCTCTGAACACTTCGTCAAAGGCCTATTGGTAATATATGTTCTAAACTAGCCATCCTCAACACCAGATACGCATTTAAATAACCTGAGAAATACTTTTTAAATGCTCATGAATAAATGACTAAGCCCCAGACCCAGCTTAATTGTCCTGGGGTGGAGGCTGATAATCGATATCTTTGTGGTTTTTTTGTTTGTTTGTTTGTTTTTGAGACGGAGTCTCACTCTGTCACCAAGGGTGGAGTGCAATGGCACGATCTCGGCTCACTGCAACCTCTGCCTCCCAGGTTCAAGCAATTCTCCTGCCTCAACCTCCCGAGTAGCTGGGACTACAGGCATCTGCCATCATGTCCAGCTAATTTTTGTTTTGTTTTGTTTTTTTGAGATGGAGTCTTGCTCTGTCGCCCAGGCTGGAGTGCACTGGCGCAATCTCGGCTCACTGCAAGGTCCACCTCCCGGGTTCATGCCATTCTCCTGCCTCAGCCTCCCAAGTAGCTGGGACTACAGGCGCCTGCCACCACGTCTGGCTAATTTTTTGTATTTTTAGCAGAGATGGAGTTTCACCGTGTTAGCCAGGATCATCTCGATCTCCTAACCTGGTGATCTGCCCGCCTCAGCCTCCCAAAGTTCTGGGATTACAAGCATGAGCCACCACGCCCAGCCTAATTTTTGTCTTTTTGTAGAGATGGGGTTTCACCATGTTGGCCAGGATGGTCTTGAACTCCTAACCTCAGGTGATCTACCTACCTCGGCCACCCAAAGTGCAGGGATAACAAGTGTGAACCACTGTGCCCAGCCGAAAATCAACATTTTTAAAATGTTCTACCAGGCAATTCCAATGGGCAGCCAGGGTTGATGAAAACTGCACCAAAAACACAGCTATTAGAATGATCAAAATCCAGATCACTGACAACAACAAATTCTGGGGAGGACGTGGAGCAACAGGAACTCTCATTCGTTGTTGGTGGGAATGTAAAATGGTAAAGCCAATTTGAAAGGCAGTTTGGCAGTATTTCTTACAAAACTAAACAAACTCTTACTATTCAGTCCAGTAGTTGTACTTCTTGGTATCTACCCAAAGGAGTTGAAAACTTGTGTCTGGACATGGATGTTTATAGCTTTTTTAAACTAGCATCTTTAAAGGCTTTCCCAGATAATCTCAACATCTCTGTCTTTGCATTGGTGTCAGTTGTCTGTCTTTCTCCATTTGAAATTCCATAACTTCCTTTTTTTTTTTTGAAATGGAGCCTCACTCTGTCACCCAGGCTGGAGTGCAGTGGCACGATCTTGGCTCACTGCAAACTCTGCCTCCCGGGTTCAAGGAATTCTCTGCCTCAGCCTCCCGAGTAGCTGGGATTACAGGTGCCCGCCACCATACCCAGCTAATTTTTGTATTTTTGGTAGACATGGGGTTTCACCATCTTGGCCAGGCTGGTCTTGAACTCCTGACCTCGTGATCTACCTGCCTCAGCCTCCCAAAATGCTGGGATTACAGGTATGAGCCACTGCACCTGGCCAAGATGCCTAACTTTCATGCTTCTTCGTATTCTGAGTAATTTTGAATTATATGCTGGACATTTTGAATATCAGGTTATGAGACACTTCAACAATTTCTTTTTGTTTTGTTTTAGACACAGGGTCTCACTCTGTTGCCCAGGCTGGACTGCAGTGTGTGATCATAGCTCACTGCAGCCTTGAACTCCTGGGCCCAAGGGATCCTCTTGCCTCAGCCTTCACAGTAGCTAGGACTACAGGCATGTGTCATCACACTCAGCTATTTTTAATTGTTTTTTTGTAGAGACAAGGTCTCACTATGTTGCCCAGGTTGGAAACTCCTAGCCTCAAGCCATCTATCTTCTTACTTCAGCACGCAAAAGTGCTAGGATTATTGGTGTAAGTCACTGCTCTTGGCCACACAGAACAATTTCTATTTCTCTATCTTTGAGTTCACAAACTCTTTTCTTGTCTCCATTCTGCTATTGAATCCATTTGGGGAGAATTATTTTCCTTCGTTATCATATTTTCCACTTCTAAAATTTCCATTTGCTTCTTCTTTAAATATTCTTTTTTTGTGTGTGTGCCAGGACTTTGTTTTTACTTGTTTCAACAGTGTTCATGATTGCTTGTTTAAGCATTTTTTTTTTAGACGGAGTCTCACTGTTGTCCAGGCCAGAGTGCAGTCGCGTGATCTCGGTTCACTGCAACCTCTGCCTCCTGGGTTCAAGCAATTCTCCTGTTTCAGACTCCCGAGTAGCTAAGACTACAGGTGCGCGCCACCATGCCCAGCTAATTTTTTGCATTTTTAGTAAAGACGAGGTTTCACCATGTTGGTCAGGCTGGTCTCGAACTCCTGACCTCAAGAGATCCACCCGCCTCGGCCTCCCAAAGTGCTGGGATTACAGGCATGAGCAACCGCGCCCAGCCTAAGCGTTTATAAAATAGCATCTTTAAAGGCTTTCCCACATAATCCCAACATCTCTATCTTAGCAGTGATGTCTGCTGATTGTCTTTCCCTATTTCAGTGGCCCTATGTTCCTGGTTCTTCATATTCTGAGTAATTTTGAATTATATGCTAGACATTTTTAATATTTAGTTATGAGACTCTTAGTCTTGTATAATGCTATGAGGTATGTTGCTATTTCTGTTTTAGCAGGTCGTCTACCTCACTTCACAGGCAGCCACCATGGTCCTTGTCCCTATGGCAGGGCCAGAGCAAGAGAGGGCCCTGGAGGGGAGGGGGGCTCAGTTGAAGATGGAATGAGTTTTGAGGGGAGCACTATTTGAGGTATTTGAGTACCCGAGGCATATGAAACAGCAGAGGGAGGTCGGATTCCATTATCTTCACGGGGATGAAAATCGGGAGTGTGGGGTGTGGGGCTGGGAACTGCAGCCCTCCCCACCTTTGGGTGCTAGCCTCAGTGCGCATGTTCACTGGGTGCCTTCCCGTCGGCCCCTTCGCCCACGTGGAGAACGCCAGGGAGCTGTGAGAGTGTGCAGTCGCGTTCCTGCTGTCCGGACACTTTTTTCCTCTACTGAGACTCATCTGGTAGATCCGCAGGCCAGTCCTCCCAGGGGCTGAAGTGTGAGTGAGGGTGAGGAGGAGCCAGTGGGCTTCAGGCGGAGCCAGTGGGCTTCGGGCAGGTTCGGTGGGCCCCTCGGTCTGGTGGTGTGTGGCTTTTGAGGGAGAAGGGCCTCAGTGGCCTCCAAAAGAGAAGGGCCTCGAGCTCGTCCTCCTTCTCCTCACAGGCTGCGACGCCGCCATCGGCTTTGTGGTCGTGAAGGGGCCAGGACAGGGAGGAAAGTGGGCCATGAAGGGGAAGCGGTCAGGGGCTCAGGTGAAAATGAGGCGAGTGCTGCGGGTGCTGTTGGAGGGGTCAAAGTCCCGAGGTGGTAGGAACCCATGACACAGGGCACATTCCTGAGTCCTGAATGGGGCCCCGAGGCGGGAGGTGGGTGGTGAAGATGGCGGTAAAGAAGGGGCCTGGAACCTGGGAAGGCTGTGGGCTGGTGAGCGCCCCCCAGCGGTGTGGAGTGGGGAGTGCCCGAGTGAGAAACACCCGAGTGAGAAGCGTGGCAAGGTCTCACCTCTGCCATAGAAGGTCCGGAAACAATGGGAAGGACTGGGAGAGGCTGTGTGGCCCAACCAAACTTGATTTGAGGGGGGTGAATGGCTCTAGTAAGTGGGAGTGTGCCAAAAGCAGCAGTCACGGGAATTGTGATTCACTAGTGTTTTCATGTGGAGTCCGCTTGTGAAACTAAACCTCATCAGAAACGTCCTCTGTCAGAGGGGCGCAGTGGTGCGCGCCTGTAGTCCCAGCTACTCCGGACGAGGCAGGAGGATCGCGTGAGCGGGAGGTCGAGGCTGCAGTGAAGTGTGATCACGCCACTGCATTCCAGCGTGAGCAACAGAGCGAGATTCTGTGTCTAAAAGAAATTTTAAAATAATGTCCTCTGCCTTTTGCCACATGCCTTAAGATGACTACTCTGCCAGCTTGGGGAGCATAAGTGGCTTTGCAAGCACTCAGAAAACGTACACACTTGCACTTAACTCTGGGACTTATTTTGAGAGTATTTTCAAAATTAAAATGACAAGTTAACATTTAGCCATGGAAGTGATCGAATATAGCTGTCCTCTCAAGTGCATGTTCCCAATCACAATTTTCTCTTTTCAGTGTGAAATATGGGTTTTCTAAGAAGATTAATCTATCGGCGTAGACCAATGATCTATGTAGAATCTTCTGAGGTAATTGGGCCTATGCTGTTGAGTGCTTTAACGTTAATTCGATGTTTTCTATTAGCAGAAATTAATTTTTGTGATAGTGTTGTTGCATTAGTATAGATACACTAATAAAGGTAGTTCATGCTGATTAAAAAAATAAGATTCTGGTATCTCATGAAGGAAATATTGATTCAGGAGGATTTTTTTTTTCTCTTGTGTTCTCCAACTTTTGGCCATGACTTCTTTCTCATGCTTTGCTTGTGAATGACACATAGATTATACACATCTATTCCAACATAGAGTGCAATAGCTTCCAAAGTCCTTGTGGGTAACTTTTCTCGCAGTAACCTTTCTGTGGGTAGAGTAGCCTTATTAACCATATAGAATAAAGTTGGAGAAATATTTTTAGGTTTAGTTATGATCAGAAACATCTATGCATTCTCTGTGTGTATACGTATATATTTTTTGACATGTATTAATAACAAAACTTTTTGTCTTTGCACACTCACACACATATTCCCTACCACAAGGAGTCCAGTGATGAGCAACCTGACGAAGTGGAATCACCAACTCAAAGTCAGGATTCTACACCTGCTGAAGAGAGAGAGGATGAGGGAGCATCTGCAGCTCAAGGTGAAGGGAAAGGGAAGAAGAATGCCTGTTGGGGTGTGTGTGTGTGTGTGTGTGTGTGTGTGTGTGTGTGTGTGTGTCTCATGCATTGTCACATACCAGGAACAGGAGGAATGAAAGCCATGCAAACGATGCCTAGAAATTGACTGGAAAAGTGAAGAGGGTATAGTTTGCAGCTTACCTTAGGGAAATAAATCCCTCACTATGATAAAATTTCTCCACTTTATGAATGAGAGAATGGAGGCCCGGGGATTGTGTTTTGTCCAAGAACACTTGACTGGTGAATACAAAATTTGTGTTTTGTTCCAAAGTTTGTGTCTTCCTACCATCTATGTTGCTGTAACAATAGTAAATGATTTTGCTGAAAGTGCTTAAAACTCAAATGCTTTACTGTAATGTAGCTTAGTACTGGCCCAGGAATAGACCCAGTTCAGAGGAGCAGGAGCAACTCCAAAAACTGAGTTCCTGATTGCTGGCCACCATTTCCTTTGATATTTTTATGTGGTAAGTTTGTTGAAAGCTGGAGAATTCAGGATACTGCCATACAGGTAGCTGGTGTAGTATGATTTTTTAAGTGGCTTTTAGGAGGTGATTAAATCCTTTTATGGTTAGAAAAACCAAAAAAAAGGAATTATCCTGAGATTAACATGAGATGGAAATAATTTCTCCGAGATAAAATATTTTGAAGCAAAACAATTATCTAACTCAGGTCATGGATTATTCTAAGGATTCACTGTTAAAGGTATCTAGAATAAGACTGACAACAATGCCCATTAATTGCTGTCCACTCATTCCTTTGTTCTCAGCGTGAGACAGTATATTTGCTGTAATTCACAAATAGTGTTATTTTTGGTGCTTTGTTCTACATGGGGTTCATTTATGGAATATTACATTTAGGACCTTTGGACCTAAATATAACTTTATTTGAACAAAGTTAAGTTTCTGTTTACCCCAGTAGACAATGGGTGTCGTGACTGTAAGATTTTCCATAGTCCTCAAATCCATCCAGCTGCTCAATCCTTCAGAAACTGACACTGTAATTGTAACTGAAATCCTATCCATGATGTAGACTTCAGATTTCTCAGCTGATGCACACTGCTGTTGGTACTCTATGGCCGAATATAAGTATTATACATGTCCTGTGGTTTATCCTTAGATTGTCATTTAGTAGAAAGGTCTCAAACTGGGCTTAGTGCTGTGAAATCATAGTCCCAGCTACTTGGGAGGCTGAGGTGAGAGGATCGCTTGAGCCTAGGGTTCAAGACCAGCCTGGGAAACATAGGGAGACCTCATCGCAAATAAATAAATAAATAAATAATAAATGTTTCGTTATATAGGAAAACAAACATGTAAAGTTTGTTCTTAGCTGCTGGTAATGTTGCAACCATAACTCCTTACTGAACTATAACACTTAAAATTAGTTACCATGGTAAATTTTATGTTATGTGTATTTTTTAACACAATTAAAAAAAAACTTCTGTCTTCCTAAAGTTCAGTGTAGTTGTCATATATTCTTACAAGTTTTTACTTTATATATTTTCAAGACATAACATTTGTAGAAAATTTGCAAGAATAGTACAATGAACTCATATACTTTTCACCTAGATTCACCAATTGTTAATAGCTTCTGCTCCATTGTTTTCATGTCTCTTCCCTCCCTCTCTTACCCTGCTGCCCACACACTCACACACACACTTACGGATATTATGTTTACTCTTATTAATGCTGCATTGTTCAGATAAGGTTTCAGCTATTATGGCCCTTTACCCTAAGTACTTGAAAGTGTTTATATATCCTCAGAACAAAGAAAAAGTCATTCCTTGGATAATCACTGCACAATGATCAAACTCAGGACATTTAACAATGAGAACCTGCAGTCATTTAATACACAGAGTATACTCAGATTTTGCCAGTTATCCAGATAATTTTCTTTTTTCTTTCTTATTTTTTTTTTTCAGACGGAGTCTCACTCTGTTGCCCAGGTTGGAGTGCAGTGGCAAGATCTCGGCTCTCTCTAAACTCTGCCTCCCAGGCTCAAGAGATTCTCATGCCTCAGCCTCCTGAGTAGTTGGGACTACAGGCAATGGCCACCGCACCTGCCTAATTTATTTTTTCTTTTGTATTTTTAGCAGAGCCTGGGTTTCACCATGTTGGCCAGGCTGGTCTCTAACTCCTGACCTCAGATGATCCGCCCACCTCGGTCTCCCAAAGTGCTGGGATTCCAGGTGTGAGCCACCACGCCCGGCTGGCTGATACTGACATTTTTCAAGAGGATAGACCAGTTGGTTTGCGGAACGTTTAGCACTTTGGGCTTTTTTGTGTAGTTTCTAAAGACTGTTTTTTCACTCACCATTTATTGGTGCCTACTCATGCCATATAACTTGCTAGGTGCTAGGAGTCTAAATGCTAATGAGAGACAGGATGTCAGCCTTGAGTCATTTAATATAATAAGGACAATCAGAAATACAATAACAGATAAGTGCAAAGGAGGCAACAAAGTTGTCTGAGGGCAGTCTTCAGAAAGGAAGAGGGTAATATTTGGAAAACCCTGTTTTCCTGTCTTCTGCCAACAGACTCCTGAAATAATGTTCTTGGGATTCTTATCAACACATTTATTATTACAGTACCTAAAGCTTTTATTTAATAAGACCAAGAGCATGAATATTATTTTCTTATTCATATTTCATGTGTTGCTGCTTAAAATGATAATTTTGTTTTATCTTTAAGGGCAGGAGCCTGAAGCTGATAGCCAGGAACTGGTTCAGCCAAAGACTGGGTGTGAGCTTGGAGATGGTCCTGATACCAAGAGGGTGTGCCTGCGAAATGAAGAGCAGATGAAACTGCCCGCAGAAGGTAGGTAGTCCATTAAGCATGCAAATTGTAGGGTGTCTGTTTCCACAGTATTATAATTTTCTTTTTTTTCTGAGATGGAGTCTCACTCTGTCACCCAGGCTGGAGTGCAGTGGCTCAATCTTGGCTCACTGCAACATCCACCTGCTGGGTTTAAGTGATTCTCCTGCCTCAGCCTCCCGAGCAGCTAGGATTACAGGCGTATGCCACCACAGGCACCTAATTTTTGTAATTTTAGTAGAGACGGGGTTTTGTCATGTTGCACAGGCAGGTGTCGAACTCCTGACCTCAGATGATCCACCCAGCTTAGCCTCCCAAAGTCCTGAGGTTACAGCCCTGCCACAGTGCCTGACAAATAAATGTTTCTTTTTTTTTTTTTTTTGTATTTTAGTAGAGACGGGATTTCACCACATTAGCCAGGCTGGTCTTGAACTCCCGACCTCAAGTGATCTGCCCACCTTGGCATCCCAAAATGTTGGCATTAAAGGTGTGAGCCACCATGCCTGGCCCAGATAATTTCCTTTATAGAATTTCTTTTTCTGATCCAGAGTCCAGTTCAAGATCACGTCTTACATGTGCTTGTCATGTGTTTCTAGTTTCCTTTAATCTGGAATGTTTCCTTAATTTTTCTTTGTCATTCAGGATACGGACATTTTTGAAGAGGATAGACAAGTTGGTGTGCAGAATGTTCAGGATTTGGGGATTTTTCATGTATTTTTTAAAGAACTTTTTTCACTCAGCGTTTATTGGTGGCTACTCATGCCATGTAGGAGTCTAAGTGCCAGGAGTGTAAGTGCTGTGAGAGACAGGGTTTCAGTCTTGAGTCATTTAATATGATAAGGACAATCAGAAGTAGAATAATAAAGAAGTGCAAAGGCAGCAACAAAGTTGTCTGAGGGCAGTCTTCGGAAAGGAAGAGGGTAATATTTGGAAAACCCTGTTTTCCTGTTTTCTGCCAACAGACTCCTGAAATCATGTTCTTGGGATTCTTATCAACACATTTATTATTACACTAGTGAAAGCTTTTATTTAATAACACTGAGAGCATGAATATTATTTTCTTGTTCATATTTCATGTTTTACTGCTTAAATTGATTATATATATACACATATATATGTGTATATATACACATATATATGTGTATATATACACATATATACACATATATACACATATATATGTGTGTATATACACATATATACACATATATACACATATATATGTGTGTATATACACACATATATATACACATATATATGTGTGTATATACACACATATATATACACATATATATGTGTGTATATACACACATATATATACACCCTATATATGTGTGTATATACACATATATATACACCTATATATGTGTGTATATACACATATATACACACCTATATATGTGTGTATATACACACATATATACACATATATGTGTGTATATACACATATATATACATATATATGTGTGTATATATACACACATATATATGTATATATACACATATACATATATGTGTGTATATATACATATATACATATATACACATATATATGTGTATATATATACACACATATATGTATATGTATATATATATATACACACACATATATATGTATATGTATATATATATGTATATGTATATATATATATATATATATATATATATATATATATTTTTTTTTTTTTTTTTTTTTTTTTTTTTTAAGGGCCAGAGCCTGAAGCGGATAGCCAGGAACAGGTTCACCCGAAGACTGGGTGTGAGCGCGGAGATGGTCCTGATGTCCAGGAGTTGGGCCTGCCAAATCCAGAGGAGGTGAAAACACCTGAGGAAGGTAGGCAATCCATTAGGCATGCAAATTGTAGGGTGTCTGTTTCCACAGTATCATATTATAATAATTATTATTTTTTTGAGACAGAGTCTCGCTCTGTCAACCAGGCTGGAGTGCAGTGGTGCCATCTCGGCTCACTGGAGCTTCTGCCTCCCAAGTTCAAGTGATTCTCCTCCCTCAGCCTCCCAAGTAGCTGGGATTACAGGCGTGCTCCACCACGCCCAGCTAATTTTTGTATTTTTAGTAGAGACGAGGTTTTGCCATTTTGCATAAGCTGGTCTCAAACTCCTGATCTCAGGTGATCCACCCACCTCAGCCTACTAAAGTGCCAGGATTACAGGCATGAGCCACTGCACCTGACCCAGTATTATGTTTTTAATAACACAGGGGTAACAATACTGCCTCCTTAATAATAGAATTCTTATATAAAGGTTATTTGAAATGTAGTTCAGGTCCCAGCAGCCAACTTATAGACTGTCAGATACAGAAACAAACTGAGACAAAGCCATATTGAATTATAACTTTTGAGTATAAATCCTTAAACCAATAGCTCATGATTTTCAGATGCTTTTGTAAAGGTCTGCTTTTAATAAATACATAACACATTTGTAACACCCATCAGTTGGTGTGAAATATGCTGAAGCACGGATGCAGGTTCTAATACCAGCTCTTACAGCATTGGTGAGATTCTGAGCAAATCCCTTACCTTCTAAACCTATCTTTGGTCTTATAAAAATAGTGAGTTTAAGTCAGATATTTTAAAATCCTTTTCCATTCTGGTTCTTTCATACTCTGATCCTGTTGCATAGAATGCATAGGATACAGAGATCATCTGTTTTACATGATTTATTTATCATAAATCATGAAACCCTGGCCTGAGTCATCTGAAAACCTCTGAATTGAGATTTCATTGCTACTAAGAAAGGGAGCGGGCACTCTGCTTCATGTTAGTTTTTCTGTGTGGAGACCTGAATGCCTATTCTTAGGTACTGTCAATTTTTGAATTGTCGCTCTGACAGAGTGACAAGTCTCACTCTGTCACCCAGACTGGGGTGCTGTGGTGCGATTTCAGCTCACTGCAACCTCAGCCTCCCAGGCTCAAGTGATCCTCCCAACTTAGCCTCCTGAGCAGCTGGAACTACAGGCACAAGCTGCCATGCCTGACTGATGTTGTTTTGTTAAAAAATTTTTTTTATACAGATGAGGTCTCACTGTGTTGCCCAGGCTGGGATTCTCTGGCCCTTAATGAATAAGTGCTTTTTAAATCTTTCTCCAAGGAAACCTTGAGTGAGTGAATAATCAAATGGTGAGAGACCATTTAGTTTCTATTTTCTGTGGGATGTAGGTCAGTGATGCTCAGCATGGGTGTGAGTAAGATGCCTGTGCTACGCACACTCCCTGCCCCACTGTCAGTCTTCATGAGCCACTATTTCTAATAAGACTGTAGACACATACATGATCTCTAACCATATCAAATGTTGCATGTAGGTTTCAGATTTTGAGGCATCAGTTGGTAAGATTTGAAGTTCAAAGACCATGACTCCAGTACTTTCTGAGTAATCCACCGAAGTATGTTTTACACATGTGTTTTCCAAGTTGCTGACTGTTAATTATAAGTGCTTCTGGATTTAAAGGAAGCACCTGATGTTTACGGAATTAATTACCTTTAAATTCTACAGGTCTACCCTCAAAATTTATACAGAGGTTTACTTGGCTATAAGACACAGGATCGCCCTTAGAGTTCTATTTTTAGTCCATTTTATAAAACCCAAATTGTAGTGTCCTTTGTGTGCCTTTTGGGTCATCTAAATAATCTGCTGCTAAATCATCTTCCTAACAGTTATGTTTCTGTTACAGATGAAGGGCAATCACAGCCTTAAAAGAAGACACGCTGAAATGGTTCAGGCTGCTCCTGTGTTGGAAATTTGACCATTAAAATTCTCCCAATAAAGCTTTACAGCCTTCTGCAAAGAAGTCTTGTGCATCTTTTGTTAATTTTACTTCCAGGTGTTTGATGCTCTGAAATGTGTATCATTCTTTGACATTTTATATGCTAGCTGTTTGAGCTGGTATGTAGAGGCATAATTCCTACATATTGAGTTTCTATCCAGCAACCTTGTTAAATATGCTTATTAATTCTAAAAGTTTACTTCTAGATCCTTTTCAGTTTTCAACATACAGAATCATATCGTCTTTGAATAAGAACAATTTTGTTTCTGCCACTTTTTTTTCTGTTTTCTTTTGTATTTTTTGTAGACACGTGGTTTTGCCATGTTGCCCAATTTGTTCTTGAACTCCTGAGCTCAAGTGATCCACCCACCTCGGCCTCCCAAAGTGCTGGGATTGCAGGCATGAGCCACTGCGCCCGGCCTGTTGCTGCCATTTTAAACACTTTTATTTCCTTTTCTGATTTTAGGGGCATTGGGCAGACCCACTGGTATAATGGCGATAGTGGACATCCCTGTCTTATCCCTGATCAGAAATGGAAAAATTTCAACATTTCAACATAATATTTACCGTACTTTTTTTGTAGATTGACTTCAACAGTCAGTCATTCCACTCTGCTCCAGTTTGCTGAGAGTATTCATTTTGGATATATGTTGAGTTTCATCAAACACTGCATCTATTGTGATTATCACCGCATTTTTTCATTAATCTGTTAAAGTAGTGAATTAGATTGATAAATTTGTACTTTTTTGTTTTATATTTTTAAAAATTGAGACAGAGTGTCACTCTGTCACCCAGGCTGGAGTGCTGTGGTGTTATCACAGCTCACTTCAGCCTTGACCTCCTGGGCACAAGGGATCCTCCCACCTCAGCCTCCTGAATAGGACTATAGGCACATGCCACCATGTCCAGCTAGTTTTTCTATTGTTTCGTACAGATAAGATTTTGTCATGTTGCCCAGGCTGCTCTGGAACTTCTGAGCTCAGGTGATCTGCTCACCTCAGCCTCCCAAAGTGCTAGGATTACAGGTGTGAGCCTTGGCCTGGCCACATTTTTCTTACATAGGGGTCTTGTCTGTGTAAAGACTCAACTTACCTGTACGTTTGTGTGGGTGGGCTAACAGCATGATGAAATTTATCGTTCTATTGATTTAAAGAAAACTATCCTTGACTTTCTAATGTGTAAGTACATCAAAGCATAACTATAATTATTTTGAACGCATATATTGTTATGGGTGTTGGGATCCCTGCACTTTCCGCTGCTGTGGGAGTATGTCCTTGTAGGTATCTTTATTCTGTTTTCTCAACTGCAAACATCCTAGGACCATGGGTTGTGACTGGCAAGGAATGTGCCTTGTTAATTTCAAGATGGAGTTGATTTTCAAGTGGTTTCACTCTGGCTGTCCTAGACTCCTGTTTCCCTAATATTTTCACTTCTTCTGTGATTCTGATGCTACAAATGATAGATGTTTTAGTATTTTCTTACAGGTCCACGAGGTTGTATTCCTTTTTCTTTCAGTTTCTTTCTCTGACTTGTTCATACTGAACAATTTCTTTTTGTTTTGTTTTAGACACAGGGTCTCACTCTATTGCCCAAGCTGGAGAGCAGTGGTGAGATCATAGCTCACTGCAGCCTTGAACTCCTGGGCTCAAGGGATCCTCCTCCCTCAGCCTTCACAGTAGCTGACTACAGGCACATGCCATCACACTCAAGCTATTTTTAATTGTTTTTTATAAAGATGAGGTCTCACTATGTTGCCCAGGCTGGTCTCAAACTGCTAGCATCCAGCCATCTGTTGTCTTACTTCAGCCTGCAAAAGCGCTAGGACTACTGGTGTAAGTCACAGCTCTTGGCCAGATAGAACAATTTCTTTTTATCTATCTTTGTGTTCACTAACTCTTTGCTTGTCTCCATTCTGCTATTGAACCCATTCAGTGGGAATTTTTTCCTTGGTTATCATATCTTCCACTTCTAAAATTTCCATTTGTTTCTTCTTTAAATATTCTTTTTTTGTGGCGGGACTTTCTGTTTTTTCTTGTTGCAGAAGTGTGCATGATTGCTTGTTTAAGCACCTTTATTCATAATTGCCAAAACTTGGCAGCAAGCAAAGTGTCCTTCAGTAAGTGAATGGACTAATAAACTGTCTACAGATAGCCAGTGGAATATTATTCAGCCGTAAAGTGAAATGGACTATCAAGCCATGAAAAGACATGGAAGAAACTTTAATTTCTATTACTAAGTGAAGGTAGCCAGTCTAAAAAGGCTTACTTGGCTATGATTACATGCTGTATGATTCCAACTATATGATATTATGGGTAGGGCAAAACTATGGAGAAAATAAAAAGATCAGTGGTTGCCAGGGTTATAGAGCAGGAAGGGATGAATAGGTGGAGCATGGAGGATTTTTAGAGCAGTGAATCTACTCTGTATGATACTATAATGGTGGGTACATGTCATTATACCTTTGTCCAAACTTATTAAATGTACAACACCAAGAGTGAATCCTAATGTAAACTATGGACTGTGGGTGATAATGATGTGTCATTGCAGGCTCAATTGTAACAAATGTACCACTCCTTTGGGGGATGTTGATAATGGGGAGAATTGTGCATGTGTTGGGCCCAGGAGTATATAGGATATCTCTATACCTTCCTCTCAATTTTGATGTGGTCCTAAAACTTCTCTTTAAAAAAAGTCTGTTAATTTTTAAAAAAAATTAATAAGTACTGAAAAAATTTAAATATTCATTCCTGGGCCAATTAAAAGAGAGATTAACAGAGTGGATAAAAAATAATCAAACCATATGCCATATACAAGAAACTCATTTCACATATGACCACATAGGTAGATAGAAACTAAAAGAATGGAAAAACATGTTCAATGCAAACATTAATTTTTAAAAAACTAGGAGTGGGCCAGGCGTGGTGGCTCACGCCTGTAATCCCAGCACTTTTGGAGGCCAAAGTGGGCGGATCACGAGGTCAGGAGTTTGAGACCAGCCTGGCCAATATGGTGAAACCCTGTCTCTACTAAAAATACAAAAATTAGCCAGCCATGGTGGCATGCACCTGTACTCCCAGCTACTCAGGAGGCTGAGGCAGAAGAATTGCTTGAACCCGGGAGGCAGAGGTTGCAGTGAGCCAAGATCATGCCACTGCACTCCAGCCTGGGTGACAGAGCGAGACTCCATCTCAAAAAAAAAAAAAAACCAACTGGGAGTGACTGCATTAATATTAGGTAAAGTAGACTTCAGAGCAAAGCGAATTACTAGAAATGAAGAGGGACATCACATAATAAAAAGATCAATCCACCAAGAAGAAATAATGATATCAATTGAGGCAGAAAAAGCATCTGCAAAATCCCACACCCACTCATGATTTAAAAAAAAACACTCTCAGCAAACCATGAATAGAGTGGAATTTCTTCAATTTGATACAGTTCATCTACAAAAAACTAAAAATCATATTTAATTGAGAAAGACTGAATGTTTTCCCCCAACGCAGGAAAAAGGCAAAGATGTATGTATCTCACCACTGTTATTCAACATACTACTGGAAGTTCTAGCGGAGGAATAAGACAAAAAAAAGAAAAAAGAAGAGAAAGAAAATAAGGGATACAGATGGAAATGGAAGAAATTAAACTATCCCTGTTTGCAGATGGCTATATAGAAAATCCCGAAGAATATACCAAAAAAATCCCCTCTATAACTAACATGTGAGTTCAGCAAGGATGCAGGATACAAGATGATAAATACACAAAAATCAATTGCACTTCTATATATTAACAACAAACTTGTGGAAGCTGGAAATTAAAAACATAATACCGTTTACAATTGCATTAAAGAAAATGAAATACTTAGGTATAAATCTAAAAGCATGTACAAGATCTGTGTGCTGAAATTTGCAAGAGACTGATAAAAGAAATTAAAGACCTAAGTAAATGGAGTGACATACTGTGTCTGTGGATTGGAAGACTCAAAATAGTGGAGTTGTCAAATCTCCCCAAATAGATCTTTAAGTTTAATGCAATTCCCATCAAGTTTTTTGTAGACATAGACAAGCTTATTCTAAAATTCATATGGAAAGGCACAAACCCTAGAATAGCTAAAACAATTTTGAAAAGAAGAATATATTGGGAGGAATTGCTCTACCTGATGACTTGCCATCTAGCTATAGTAACCAAAGAAATTATCACATTGTCCAAGAGATAGACATACATCAATGGAACAGAATTGAAAACCCATAAATAGACCCACACAACTGATTCTTTTTTTGATGGGGTCTTGCTATGTTACCCACACTGGACTTGAACTCCTTGGCTCAAGTGATCCTCCCACCTTAGCCTTCCATGTAACTAGGATTACAGGCATGCACCACCACATCTAGCTTTTCAACTGATTCTTGACAAAGATGGAAATGCAATCCAATTTAAAAAGGAGAGCCTTTTCAACAAATTGTGCTGGAACAATTGGACATCCATAAGCAAAAAAAATTAAACCTTGACCTAAACCTCATACCTTATACAAAAATTAGTGCAAAATGAATCATGGACTTAATGCAAAATGTAAAACTCTAAGACCTTTAGAAACAAATCATAAGAGAAAAATCTTTGGGTCCTAGGACTAGATGAAGAGTTCTTAGATTTGACACCAAAAGCCCAATCCTTAAAAGGAAAAATTGATGAATTGGACTTTATCAAAATCAAAGACATTTGTTCTGTGAAAGACCCCTGTTAAGAAGATGAAAAGGCAAGCCATATCACAGACTGGAATAAAATAATTGCCAACCACATATCTGACAAGGGCCCTATAGCTAGAATATATAAAGAACTCTCAGAACTCAACAATAAAAAAGCAAACAATCCAATTAGAAACTGGGCAAAAGACATGAACATATATTTCACCAAAGAGAAGATGTGAATGGCAAATGAGCACATGAAAGGATGTTCAACATCAGTAGCCATTAGATAAATGTAAAATAAGAGTACGAGGAGATATCATTATGCACCTATTAGAACAGTTAAAAAGTGGTAATACCAAATGTTGGTGAGGATGCACAGAAGGATGCATTGCTGATAGGAATGAAAAATGGTGTGGCGACTCTAGAAAAGAGTGGGGGAATGAATAAAAAGAGATAACATGAAGGGATTCTTGTGTGGTGATGAGCCAGCTCTATATCTTGATTGTGATAGTGGCACAGAACTACACACACACACACACCCACACACAAATGTAGTTTTCTTAAAATGGTAGAAATAGAACAGAATAGAGAACCCAGAAATAAATCCACACATCTTTGGTGAACTCATTTTCAACAAAGGTAGCAAGAATATACATTGGGGAATAGACAGTCTCTTCAATAAATGGTGCTGGGAAAACTGGATATCCATATGCAAAGAATGAAACTAGGCCCCTACCTCTTGCCATTACAAAAATCAACTCAAGATGGATTAAAGACTTAAATCTAAGACCTCAAACTATGAAACTACTACTAGAAAACATTGGGAAAACTCTCCAGAGCATTGGTGTGGACAAAGATTGCTTCAGTAATACTTCAAACGCACAAGCATCCAAATCAAAAAATGGATAAGTAGGATCACATCAAGTTCAAAATCTTCTGCACAGCAAAGGAAACAATCAACAAAGTGAAGAGACAACCCACAGAATGGGAGAAAACATTTGCAAACTACCCATCCGACAAGTTGTTAATAACCAGAATATATAAGTAGCTCAAACAACTCAACAGGAAAAAGTCTAATAATCTGACCTTAAAATGGGCAAAAGATCTCAATAGACATTTCTGAAAAGAAGACCTACAAATGACACACAGGTATATGAAAAGGTGCTCAACATCATTGATCATCAGAGAAATGCAAATCAAAACTAAAATGAGATATCATCTCTCCCCAGTTAAAATGGCTTTTATCCAAAAGACAGGCAATAATGAATGCTGGCGGGGATGTACACAAAAGGCAACCCTCGTACACTGTTGATGGCAATGTGAATAAGTACAACCACTATGGAGAAAGGTTTGGGAGTTCCTCAAAAAATTAACAATAGAGCTACCATATGATCCAGCAATCCCACTGCTAGATATATACCCAAAAGAAAGGAAATCAGTATATCAAAGAGATATCTGCATTCTTATGTTTATTGCAGCACTATTCACAATAGCCAGGATTTGAAATCAACCTAAGTGTCCATCAACAGATGAATGGATAAAGAAAATGTGGTAAATATACATAATGGAATATTATTCAATCATAAAAAAAAGAATGAAATCTTGTCATTTGCAATAACATGGATAGAACTAGAGGTCATTATGTTAAGCACCATAAGCCAGGCACTGAAAGACAAATGTCACATGTTCTCACTCATATGTGGGAGCTAAAAGCTAAAACAATTGAACTCAAGGAGATAGTAGAATGATTGTTGCCAGAGGCTGGGAAGGGTAGCAGGGATAGGGGAGCAAGTGGAGGGAGGATAATGTGGGGATGAGGGTAAAAGAATATAGTTAGAATGAATAAGATCTAGCATTTAATAGCACAACAGGGTGACTATAGTCAACAATAATTTATTTTATATTTTAAAATCGCTAAAAGAGTTGGATTAGAATGTTCCTAACACAAAGAGATGATAAATGCTTGAAGTGATGGATACCCCAATTACCTTGATGTGATTATTATACATAGTATGCCTTTATCAAAACATCACATGTACCCCATAAGTATATACACCTATTGTGTGTGCATAAAAATTAAAAATTAGAAAAAAAATGTTTTAAAGACTCATAAGGGTCCCTGCCCCATTCTTTCCTGTACTCAAGAAGCACATGTTAATGAAGGCTTCTGTACATGCCTGAATGGTGGCAATGTGAATCTCCCCACCCTGGGTCTCAGGCATATGACTGATGAAAGCAGACAGTGTTGACCCAGGCCCACTACCCTCTGACTTTTCAGAGCTGCCTTATGTAAGTGGAATTTGATGTCAAAGTACAGAGACTCAGGTATCTTGGCTGCTCCAAAGAGGCAAATCATGGTGGGACCCACTAGATTTTGTGCCCTGCTTATGAGGTAGCAGACCAGCAGGAGTTGTTCTCTGGTCAAAACCCTGCTGACCAAAACAGTATCTGGTCCAGATGGGATAAAGTGAAGAAACGAGCAGGAACCAGCAGAAGGCAAAAGTGATCTTTAGTTGCTCTCATTGCTCATTGGCATAAGACACTCCAACTAGCACCATGGCAGTTTACAAATGCCACAGCAATGACCCAGAAGTCACCACCTCTTTCCGTAACAATGGCTTGGAAGTTACCACCCTTTTCTTAGAAAGGTCTAAATAACCTGCCCCTCAATTTGCATTGACTGACCCCTTAATTTGCATGTGATTGAAAGTGGATTTACGTGAGTATTAATGCAGTTGCCAAGAACCCCTAAGTTGCTGACTCTGGACCACACTGCCTGTGAGTTAGCCCTGCTAGGCAAGGAGCAGTACCATTCAATAGAAGATTGCCATATAACACCACCACTTGGCCCTTGAATTCCTTCCTGGGCAAAGCCAAGAGCCCTCAGGGGCTAAGCCCCAATTTTGGCAGGGGGCTTCCCTGTCCTGCTACACTTAATACAGGCACAAGGATGAAAAGAAAAATCATCACTATTAAATGAAATAAAGTCTGTGTCTACAACCCTTAACAGCATCTAGCTCCTTAGAGGAAAATAGCCTCACAGTTGAGGCTATATTTTATTTAGATTATTTTTGCTATTAGAGATGGATAACAGAGTAAAAATAACCATTAGAGGATGCCAAGCTTATGGGGCAAGAAGGATAAGACCATAAGAAAAAGGAAGCTTACAACATTGAAATGTGGTATTGGCTAGATTAATGTGGGAAATCCACCAACACTTTGCCTCCTTCCTCTATCCCATACTGGCCTCTCTCACTTACAAAAAAAAAAAAAAAAAAAAAAAAACAACGAAGCCCAAACAATCAAAGCATCAGACCCAAATAGATAAAACTCTGGCATCAGATAAACCAACCAGATACCTAACCCAACATTATTTTCTCCTACATCTACTCAAGGCTCTTGGTAATCACATGTTCTTTCTCTGTATAATCAGCAGGAAATTTGTACAGCTCTGAGATATGGTTTCTATGATGTTTCAGCTTGTGTTCAAGATTTGCACAGCTTTCAGAAACCACATAATGGAGATGTATGGGTTTCACTTTTTCCTGTCCTTGATAAATGACAATATATAGTGCAGCCTTTAAAATTGTGTTTTTATCCAATTTTGTAATGAGAGATAAATACAAAACACCAAAGCAACAGAAATTAACTTCTCTCCCTCCCGTGTAACAAAACTGAATAATCTCTCCTTAGCTTTACTGTTGCTTGGGCTTCTTTTAAAAACAACAATAACAAACCTATAGTCAATATTTATAAAGTTGAGTTCAACTATTTTTCAGTTAGCATTACAGAAGTCCTCGAAAAATGTCATTTGTTTCAACATTATTTTATTATTACCTTGATCAGGGAAAAAATCCATTCCCAGCAGGTCTATTGTCTGTGTGGAGTTTGCAGGTTCTACCCATGTCTGTATGGGTTTTCTCCAGTTACTCCAGTTTTCTCCCATATCCCAAAGCTGTGCACATTAGGTGAACGGGTGTGTCTACATGGTACCGGTCTAAGTGAGTGTGAGTGTCTGTGTAAGTGTGCCCTGCGATGGGATGGCATCTTGGCCAGGGTGGGTTCCTACCTTGCCCTTTGAGCTGCCAGGATAGGCTCTGGCCACCTGCCACCCTGAACTGCAATAAGCAGGTTGGAAAGCGAATGAATTCAAATTATTGTAAAATAAAAAAATTTTAAGTAGACTATAAGCCTACAGATGCATGACAATAAATGATGTAGTGCAAAAGCACTCAGCGAGCCCACAAAAAAAAAAAGACACATTCTGACACATTTGGTTTTCATAACGTTAAAAAGCATAGCATTAAAAGGTATCCAAATTGCAAGCTGGGATGATTGGAGCAGTTTGGGATTTCTGAGAGATGTAGGGACTGAGATTTTGACAGAAAAGCAACTGAACTGGAGATGGATGTCTCTAAATTCTTCAGCACTCAACAGGCTCCTTCTGCCAGTCTGGACTTTTGCTCCAAAGGCACATAGCTTTAGGAGTCACCGAGAAACAGGTCCTGTGCCAAACAGACAGAAGCACACAGCAAACATCACTCCATTTTTCTTGGGGGGTACATCTGAAATGCCCAACATCAAGGCAGGAGAAACCCCATTTGGAGACAGAGACTACTGTTACAACTGAATGCCAGGGGTCAGGGATGTCAGTCTAATTGCTGACACACCCAGTTACCTCATCTACTGGGGTCAAAAACCAAGCCACACAGAATTTGGGGAGGGGACAAGAGTTTGTCTATGAAGATCAACGATGAGGGGCTGATGAAAGGGAAACAGGAGTATCATCATGAGTAGGAAGGACGTTCTGGTGAGCAATGTTTCTTACACTCAAATTGCTCTTGAGTTTTATAGAACCTGGTCATGAGGAGATCCTATGCAAGAAACAAGACAAGAGTGCTTGTGAAATAAAGCAAAAAGCTCTGAAACAAAAGATATTAATGGTAGCCTGGACGGACGTACTTGCTTACAAGTGGATGGATGCTTAGGAGTGCTGGCCCCTTCCTTCAACACTAATAGCAAAGTCGTTGGTCTTAAGAAAAGGACACAAGAGAGGTAATTATGGCAAACATAATTTTCAAGGAGTAGAAAGGATACCATCATTGTAAGACCCTGAAGTAACCATAGCCATAGTTCAATGGAGCTAAGGACAGGTTGGCTCTTAGAAACTAGTGGAGATGAGGCTGCTGGTGGGAAAAGAAGAGAGCATTCAGTTTCTGGTTATGCAAGACTTATCTCCCAGAAACAGCTCAAATTTCCTACCATGATTGAATTTAAGCCACAATACACAAACGTTTTAGTGATAGTCTTTTCTAATGATACTATTGACTTGTAATTGTGTTGGTTTAGGGTTTAATTTCTGCCCTTAGATTGGCACATGGACGGTGCTTTTAGATAAAATGGCATCTCTCGTCAAAATGTAATCGTGAATTCTGTCTGAATGTGTATGTGTCACTGTCCTTGGAGTGTGTCTGTAGGGCGAAGGAGAGAAAGCCATCTTATCTGAAGAGAGAGAAGACTTCTGAAGAAGGAGCTGTGAACAGCTCCTGGGGTGAAAAGGTGCTCAGGGGAAAGGAAGGGAAGGGGAGGCGAAGGGAGAGGAGGGGAGAGGAGGGGAGGGGAGAGATGGGAAAGGAACCTCATCTTGAGCTCCAAGCTGCTCAAGATGAATGCCAGAACTTAAGATCCATTTACATGCAGATATGCAAATCCTCAGGCTGGCTCTTGGCCCAGGACCATGCTATAGGATAGGCCAGGGATATCCACTGGTTCTTGGTACCCCGCTTTGTGCCCTCCTTTGTGCTTTTTTTTAGGACCCTCCCATTTTAGGCTTCCAGACTTGTTCTCCAAAGTGTTCTATGGCCTGGGTCAGTGGGAATAGAACATTTTGAACAAACCCTTTCACACTGAGTTAAGACTCAGCATGATTCCTTAGCCCCACTCCCACCTTTATATTTTAACAAGGGATAATGAAGTGAGCAATGGATAACCCAAAGTGAGGTCTAGGCAAATATGCAGTACAGCCCCTTTATCCCCCTGACCCTTAAAATAGACATCTGACTGTTTCCATCTCAGCATCTATTTGCCCTTCTCTGGTAAGGGAACCCCTTTACCCTGCAGATAACCCAATATTCTCGTAGTTTCTTTAGAGTGAAACTATTTTCCCCTCCTGACCATTGGGCTGGGCCTCCTGTGATTTAGGCTAGCCAAGCAGCATCGACCATCCTCTTAAGCAGAGTGTTTGGATGAAAGGAGGGCACATTACACAAATCAACCAATCAGAGTCCTCCCTGGGACCTTTTTTGCATACCAGAGAAGGCACCATGAGGGAGCACTGATGAAGCTATTTGAGCCCCTGGATCCAGCTGTACCCCCAAAGCATGGATCCCTGCAGTTCCCATTTGTGTAAGCCAATAAATTCTTTTAAATTCATATTATACACCTTGGTGTATAATAGGGAGGATCCAAAAGAAGTAATCATAATTACTAACTATATTTTCTTCCTCGTTGCTGTGTCCTTCTCTCCAAGTTACTCTGAGTCTTTGAAAACAAGTAGAAATTGAGGCCCACCCATTGGAGAGATTGGATGGAAATAATGATGACACACATCATCATGTGGGAGACATATTTGGGAGCAGATACTTTCTGTGAATCCCTGGAATTACACCATAAAGGAATCTATCCACCCAGTGCAGATATATGGTCCCTCTATCAATGAAATTCATTTCTGCCTAGGACAAATGCAACAGGCATTTAATACAAGAAGGCAGGTGGAAGACCATAGTAGGTAGTTAGGTCAACTATCCTACATGCCAAGGAAGAAAATTTTGGACAAATGCAACCCCCAAGTTGAATAAAGGATGTCTAACTGGAGAAAAATATCTATATGGAAGGTTATCTTGTGGCAACAAGGCAGCCTCAGTTGCCTGGGTGACTCCCACAAGAAAATGTTAGCCGTGAAGCTTTCCTTATAACCTAGCAGGGTAGATCATTAGCTCCAGAGTCTGATATCAGGTGCTCCAGATAAATGCTTGCTTGCCATCTTCCAGGCCATGGCAAGGTCAGTTCAATTAAGATAAAGCCAGGGCTTAGAAGTAGACCCACTAAGCCCTTATCACAGGAGAGCTGACTCAACTTCAGATGCAGAGGCATTCCCTTTCAAGAGGACAAATGTAATGCCCAGGGGCTCTGGGAACAAATGGCAGAGGGCAGTCTAGGTCAGTAGTTAGGTTTGGCTGAGGGGACAGGGGAAGTTCCAATTTGAAGTGCCAGGAATTCTGGCTGGTTCTCAGGGTAGGAAGACAGGGTATCAGTGGCAGGCTACACATTGGCTGCTGATTCTTGGAAGTCTAAGCAAGTTGGGAGTCAGCAGCAGGGTCATCTTACAACAGGGAGAAAGGTGATGGGTACTGGGCTAGATATCAAAGGTAAAAGTTGACTCCATGCAGAGTCAGATGGGAGAAAGGTGTTAAGATATACTAGAAAGAGATAAGCACAGAACTGTTATCTGAGAGTGTCCAGGGGAGTGGACATGTTGTCGCGGCATATACCCAGGCTGGAGAAACCAAACAGAAGCCTAGTTCTATGAAATGAGCTATAAATACCCAGAACCAGTTTTGAAGCAAGCAGAGCCCAACATTGAGCTCCAGAATGTTAAAACAGGGCTCCAGAAATTTCTGCTGAGAACAGACAGCATCTATTGCAGAGAATGAGGCAAGGCTTAGCCTCTAGGTGGGAATTGAGAAGCCCCTTTAGGATAAGAGGGACTAATAGTGGCTGAGATCCCAACTGGAAATATCACTGCTGCCATCCTGAAGCCTCCCCTAGTTCTATGTATGCCACTATTAGAAATGGGTTTTGATTTTAGCAAAGGGCTATTCCATTACTTATAAGAAAAATTCCTCTTAGTATATGGATCACAATTTAAATGGTTATCAGCCATTTATACCTTAGTATGAATTTGCTTACATATTTTCTCTCTGAGAGTAGGTTTTGACAGGGGTTGGAAGAAATTATTTATTATCAGAGTCTTACTGACAGGCCATGAATCAGGCACTGTGTTATGTACTAGGGATAGAAAAATAAGACAAAGCATGTGTGCTTCATCCCCCAAGCCGTTTTATAAACTTCTAGATTAAAGGTGGAGAGGAAGCCACTAAAAGGAAAAAGATATGCAAGAGGGAAGCTGGATAGATTATAGACAAAGATTTTCTTACTTTCTGATGTTTCCAAATATGACTCATTTCCCCATGGAAATCTCACAAATGTTCCTTGTCATCTTCCCACAGCCCTTAGCCCAACTCGTCCCTAACTCTTCAAAAAGCAGCAGGGCTTCCTGGTCCATGCTTGATTCAGGAATAGAGATGCTGGAAAGATCATTTTGTCCAGTCTCCTTTGATTTATTGTCATGGAAAATCAGGCCCTGAGAGGTAAAGTAACCAGAAGAAATAATGAAGGGAGTTCCCTCTGGTTAAAACCTTTTTACCGAATCATCTCCTAACAGTGGGCCAGGGTGCGGAACTACAATATCAGAGAAACTCCAGGTTGGATTGCATCAGTCATTCCTTCAAACACTTCACTTGTTTTCCATTGTCCACTACATAAACTTCAACCCCTTGGGCAGGCTTTCAAAGCCTTCCATTCTCATTGGTCTATGTAACCATACTACTTTGTCTCATTACTCACCTGCTTTAATTATTTGACTCATAATTGCCAGAATATCATCTGTGTTTTCCTATTTCCGTGACCTTGCTTATGCCACCCTCTCCACCAGATGCCCTAATACCACCTCTATGTAAAGAATTCCTGCCAGTTCTTCAGTGCTGTCCCATTTACGAAGTCATCCCCAATCTCACATGAAGACGTCTCTAGCTATTTTTGTGCTTGTACCGTTCAAACGGCTGTTAGCATATACCATCTTCTAAGGTGGGCATTCTGTAACTGTCTTATCTGTCTGAATGAAAGACAGGAACTCCTCCCTGTATATCTGGAACTCCTGCAGTTCCGAGCATAGTAAATCTTGGTTATCGTAAATATCTGATGAATGAATGAAGAAACTAAGTGAATCTGAATTTATGTTGACAGAAAGGAAGAGAACAAATCATAGCAATGCAGTTCTGAAGTTTAGCATGGCTGGGGCAGGCTGCATAGGCCAGAGAAAAAGAGATAAGAAGGAGACTGCTGGGGAACCCAAGATAAACTGCACAGTTATCATGGAGTGAGGAGATAAAAGTAAGATCCGTGCTGGGCATGGTGGCTCACGCCTATGATCCCAGCACTTCGGGAGGCTGAGGCGGGCGGACCACCTGAGGTCGGGAGTTCAAGACCAGCCTGACCAACATGGAGAAACCCCGTCTCTACTAAAAATACAAAATTAGCCCGTCGTGGTGGCGCATGCCTGTAATCCCAGCTACTCGGGAGGCTGAGGCAGGAGAATCACTTGAACCCGGGAGGCGGAGGTTGTAGTGAGCTGAGATCGCACCATTGCATTCCAGCCTGGGCAACAAAAGTGAAACTCGGTCTCAAAAAAAAAAAAAAAAAAAAAAAAAAAAGAAGAAGAAGATCTGGCCAGGCGCGGTGGCTCACGCCTGTAGTCCCAGAACTTTGGGAGGCTGAGGTGGGTGGATCACGAGGTCAGGAGATTGAGACCATCCTGGCTAACATGGTGAAACCCTGTCTCTACTAAAAATACAAAAATTAGCTGGACATGATGGCACACGCCTGTAGTCCCAGCTACTTGGGAGGCTGAGGCAGGAGAATCGCTTGAACCCGGGAGGTGGAGGTTGCAGTGAGCCGAGATAGCACCACTGCACTCCAGCCTGTGCAACAGAGTGAGACTTGGGAAAAAAAAAAAAAAAAAAGTAAGATCCAGACACTACTGTCCAGGAAGGGAAAGAGAAAACTGAAAAGGCATGTCAAGCCAAGATGTGAGACCTGAAGGAAATGAAGGATGAGATTTCAATGTTCGAGATTTAATACGGAGGTGTCCTAGACACAAAGAAGCAGACAGCAATTGCCAAACTGTTTTGTGTTTGTATCCTTTTTGATTAAAGTTCTGAGCTTGGTTGATAATCGTTCATTAAAAAGAAAAAATATTGTTTGGGCAGGACAAGGTGGCTCACACCTGTAATACCAGCACTTTGGGAGGCTGAGGCAGACTGAGTGCTTGAGCCCAGGAGTTTGAGACCAGCCTGGGCAACATGGCAAAACCATCTCTACAAAAAAGTACAAAAATTAGCCGGGAATGGTGGCATGCACCTGTAGTCCCTGCTACTTGGGAGGCTGAGGTGGGAGGATCACTTGAGCCTGGGAGGCGGAGGTTGCAGTGATCCAAGATCATGCCTCTGCACTCCAGCCTGGGTGACAGAGCCAGATCCTGTCTCAAAAAAATTTTTTTTGTTGGAAGGTGTTCTGTGGAGACATCTCAAGGCCACCAGGGCTGTCAAATGGCAGCCCAGGCAGGGCTCTGGAGCTCCAGCTAACCTCACTTCAAACACTCCACTGTGATATATCTTGTATTTGGAGGTTTGCCATAAGACGTATCTTGAAAAGAAGAACTTCCTGTTTAAAAAGTGTTTTATATGCCCCAGAAACACCATTCCTTTCATTCAAGAGAAATGAAAATATGTCTGCACAAAAACTTGTATTTGAATATTCATAGCAGTGTTACTCGTAATAGCCAAAAGATGGATACAACCCACGTGTTCACCAACTGATGAATGGATAGACAAAATGTGGTTTTTCCATGCAGTGGAATATTATTCAGTCATAAAAAGGAATAAAGTACTCATACGTGCTAAAAGTGAGTGAACCTTGAAAGCATTATGCTATGTGAGAGAAGCCAGTCACAAAAGACAGCATATTGTATTATTTCATTTATATGAAATATCCAGAATAGACAAATCCATAGAGATAGAAGATAAATTAGTGGTTGCAGGGGTTGGGGGGATGGGGAGGGACTGTTAACGGGCACAGGGTTTGTTTTAGGGAGGGCAAAAATGTCCTAAAATTAGACTGTGGCAGTGGTTGCTCAACCATGTAAATACATTATAAACCACTGAATTGCACACTTTAAAAGGGTGAATTGTATGGCATGTAAATTATATCTCAAGAAAGCTGGGGTTTTTTTTGTAATAAATGTATATTAGAATATTTTACTCTAAGGCAATGGTTCTCAAAGGGGAGCAGGGAAGAAATTTTGTCCCCCAGGGGAATTCAGCAATGTCTAGAGACATTTTTTTTTTTTTTTATAGAGACGAAGTCTCACTATGTTGCCCAGGGTGGCCTCCAACTCCTGGGCTCAGGCAATCCTCCCTGGGCTCTAGCAATCCAAAGTGCTAGGTTTACAGCTGTGAGCCACTGCACCCAGCCATCTAGGGACTTTTTTTTTTTTTTTTTTTTTTGAGGCAGAGTTTTGCTCTTGTTGCTCAGGCTAGAGTGCAATGGCACGATCTCAGCTCATTGCAACCTCCACCTCCTGGATTCAAGCGATTCTCCTGCCTCAGCCTCCCAAGTAGCTGGGATTACAGGGGTATGCCACCACGCCTGGCTAATTTTTGTATTTTTACTAGAGTCGGGGTTTCTCCATGTTGGTCAGGCTGGTCTCGAACCCCTTGACCTCAAGGGATCCGCCCACCTCAGCCTCCCAAAGTGCCGGGATTGCAGGTGTGAGCCACCACGCCCAGCGTAGAGACATTTTTGGTTGTTACAACTGGGGAAAGGATTACTGGCCTGTGGTAGGCAAAGGTCAGGGATGCTGCTAAAACATCCTACAATACACAGGCAGGCCCCACAACAAAGGATCATCTGGCCCAAATGTCAATAGAGCTGAGGTTGAGAAACCCTGTTCCAGGGTATAACGCTTTAAAATAATGATGATTGTTCCCAATTTTTTCTTTTTACTTTATTTATTCATTTTTAAGACAGGGTCTTTCTGTCATCCAGGCTGCAGTTCAGTGGCATGATCACAGTTTGCTGCATATTCAACCACCCAGGCTCAATCAATCCTTCCACGTTAACCTCCCAAGTAGCTGGGACCACAGGCACACACCACCATACCTTACACATTTGTTCTATTTTTTGTAGAGAAAGAGTCTCGCTTTACCCAGGCTGGTCTCAAACTCCTGGGCTCAAGCGATCCTTCTGCCTTGGCCTCCCAAAGTGCTGGGATAACAGGCTTGAGCCACTGCACCCAGCCTGTTCCTAATATTTTTATCAGGGTGGTTGTTGTTGCTCTTTTATGGCATTTGCTACCCACCCTCATCCCCTATACACCTGCAGAACTCTGGAGTTGTTTCACATCTTTCATAATCAGCTTCTCAAGGCTAAAGTGGCCACTAAGACGTGTGAATTCAGGTGTCCATGTGTTTGTAGCAGCAGTCAGCTCCTCCTCTCCCGCAGTCATTAGAAATCATTTCAGGATTACAGTCAGAGCTCTTAAAAATATGCAACAAACAATTAATTTTTCAAGATACTTAATGGTTCTACATAACAGGCAGGGGCTATCTTAACATTCTAAATAAAGTGTCTTATTTTAGAAAGTAGAGAAACATTTATCTTTTATATTCTATAATATTTAAATCTATGCTTTAAAAAGAGACCTTACATGCAATGCATACACAAACCAGCAAGTCAACATATATTTACATAAAAGGTACATCATAAAGTTAGGGGATCCTTGAGTCCAGGCAAGTATTTACAGCCCAGATCCAAAGGAAGCTGAATGTTTATGAAGAGATTTTCGCGACAGGCAAGTTGAAGTTCACGGAGAAAAGCCCTGTAGAGGGCCAGCTCTCTACAGCATTGGAAGTTCTGAAACATTTGTTTTCAGGAGTTAGAACCTCCCTTGGCTGCTTTATTGGTTTCTCTCAAGGACACCTGTCAGATGCTAAAAGCATTATTCTTTCCAACTTAGCCCTACCAGACTTCTAACAAAACCTATTCTCAGAAAAACAATTCTGACAAGATCTTCACCTGAAAGTGTACATGTCTGATCATGTCTACATTTTACCTTTCTCAAGAGGGCATGTATTATAAAAGCTATCAGAGACTTTAGCCAAAAGAATGAGAGTATAAAATTGGAAACTTCAGACTTACTAGATGGGGCTATAAAGTTAGCACATTAAAGAAACCTTGAAACTAGCCCAAGTTTCCCATAAAACTGAAGCTTTAGAAACTTACATTTGTCTTGTCTGAGTTCCTTTCTTAGGAGACTGGCCAATAGGCCCCTAGATGGTGTCAGTGGGGCTGGGGCTTTAGAGATCAACACATCCAGACAGTATGATACACCTGCTGCCTATTGACCAACTCCTCTTCCCTAACCCTCTCTAATTCCTGTTTTCCTTTCCTGCTATATAAACCCCTAACTTTAATCAGTTGAAGGGACAGATTTCAGACTTGTCTCCCATCTCTTGGTTGACATCACCTGCAATAAAGCCTTTTTTCCTGGACAACACTTGTCTCAGTAATTGGCTTTCTGTGTGATGAGCAACTGGACCTAGGCCAAACCTCTGGTGTTTGGCAACAACATCATGAATGAATCTCAAAATAATTACACTGCATGAATGAAGCCAGATGAAAGAGTATATACTATATGGTTCCATTTTTATAAAATTCTAGGCCATACAAACAGAAAGCAGTCAGTGGTTTCACGGGGATGGGAAGGTAGGAGGAAGGGATGGGATGGAGGGATGACAAAGGGACACGAGGAGACTTTTGGAGGTGATGCATATGTTCACTATCTTGATTCTTGTGATGGTTTCGTGGGTGCATGCATATGCCAAAACTCATCATATTGTCTACACTTTAAATATGTGTAGTCTACTGAATAACAATTATAACTTAATAAAGTCATAGAAAAAAATTAAGCTGACAAGATTAAATTAAAAGTACTATGCAGGCCAGGCACAGTGGCTCACGCCTATAATCCCAGCACTTTGGAAGGCCAAGGTGGGTGGATCACTTGAGGTCAGGAGTTCAAGACCAGCCTGGCCAGCATGGTGAAGCCTCCTCTCTACTAAAAATGCAAAAATTAGCAGGGCATGGTGGTAGGCGCCTGTAGTCCCAACTACTGGGGAGGCCAAGGCATGAGATTCGCTTGAACCTGTGGAGACAGGGAAAAGGGTCAATCAAGTCTTCCCACTAAGAGCAAGGACACCCACATCTGTGGCCAGTGCTGTGCCAAGTTCTTTGAATTATCACATCTTCTGCTCCACAAGAAGAACTGTACTAAAAATCAATTAGTTTTATTTGTAAATGAAAATCCAGCCTCCCCATCCAAAACCTTCTCCCCCAGGCTCCCTCCCAATAATCCTGATGAACAAATGAATGAAACAGTTAACAAAACAGATCAAGTGGACTGCAGCGACCTTTCAGAACACAACAGACTTGACAGGGAAGAGTCCATGGAGGTGGAGGCCCCAGTAGCTAACAAAAGTGGCAGCAGCACTTCCAGCCACAGCCACAGCAGTATTGCCCCAAGTGGCAGCAGCAGCAGCAGCTCCCCCACAGATACCTCAGTGATCACAACCTCTCTACCTCAACTCGGGGACCTGACAACACTGGGCAACTTCTCCGTGATCAACAGCAACGTCATCATCGAGAACCTCCAGAGCACCAAGGTGGTGGTGTCCCAGTTCTCCCAGGAAGTGAGGTGCCGTGGGGCTTCCTGGGGCAAGTTGGCCATCCCAGCCCTCATGGAACAGCTCCTAGGTATGCAGCAGCAGCAGGTCCACTAGCTGCAACTGATCGAATAGATTTGTCACCAAATATTGCTGTTGGCTTCTCAGAATGCAGACTTGCCAACATCTTCTCATCCTTCTCAAGGTACTTTACAAACATCTGCCAACCCCTTGTCCATGCTAAATTCCCATTTATCTCAGCAGCTGGCAGCAGCAGCTTGATTGTCACAGAGCCTCGCCAGCCAATCTGCTAGCATTAGTGGTGTGAAACAGCTACCCCAATCCAGCTACTTCAGAGTAGTTCTGGCAACACCATCATTCCATCCAACAGTGGCTTTTCTCCCAATATGAACATATTGGTGGTGTCAGTTACCACCCCGTCCTCAGAAAAGGTGGCTTCAAGAGCTGCGGCCTCCCATGTCAGCAACCCAGCTGTCTCATCATCATCCTCACCAGCTTTTGCAATAAGCAGTTTATTAAGTCCTGCATCTGATCCACTTCTACATCAGTTGGCCCCCGCTAACTCAGTTTTCCCCAGCCCTTTGCCCAACATTGGAACAACTGCAGGGGATTTAGACTCCTTGTCTGCCTTGGCCCAGCAAAGAAAAAGCAAGCCACCAAATGTCACTGCCTTTGAAGTGAAAAATACTTCCAATGAGGCATTCTTCAAACGCAAGTGCAGGTTCTGCACAAAGGTCTTTGAGAGCGACAGTGCCTTGCAGATCCACTTGCATTCCCATACTGGAAAGAGGGCGTTCAAGTACAACATCTGTGGGAACGGGTTCTCCACCAAGAAGAATCTGAAAGTCCACTTTCAGTGCCACAAAGAGAAATACACCCATACCCAGATGAACCCTTATCCTGTGCCTGAGCATTTGGACAATATCCCCATGAGTACTGGCATCCCATATGGCATGTCCATCACTCCAGAGAAGCCGGTCACCAGCTGGTTAGACACCAAACCAGTCCTGGCTACTCTGACCACTTCAGTCTGCCTGCCATTGCTCCCAACCCTCCCAAGCCTCATACTCTTCATCAAGACGGAAGAGCCAGCCCCCTTCCCCATTAGCCATTCTGCCACCAGTCCCACAGGTTTAGTCAAAAGTGACTCCAGGGCCGCCGAGCTGGCCACAAGAAACCTAGGTGGGCTCCCAGAGGAAGCTGAAGGGTCCACTCTGCCACCCTCCAGTGGCAAAAGCAAAGAGAGTGGTGTGGTCACCAACTCGGTCCTGACAGCGAACAGTAGTGCCCTGAGCTCCCCAGCAGCAGACTGGGGCCCCCTGGGGAAGCACTACCACCTTCACCAACCCTTTGTTGCCTCTCATGTCCAAGCAGTTCAAGGCCAAGTTTCCTTCTGGGGGGCTCTTGGACTCAGCCCAGGCATCAGAGACATCCAAGCTTCAGCAACTGGTAGAAAACATTGACAAAAGGCCACTGGCCCCAGTGAGTGCATCATCTGCTACCCAGTTCTCAGCTGTCAGAGTGCCTTGTAAATGCACTATTGGACACACATTAGGGAGAGGCCTTTTAAGTGTAAGATCTGTGGCCAGGTTTTCATCACAGAAAGGAATCTTAAAACCCACTACAGTGTCCATCATGCTGTGCCCCTGCTCAGAGCCCAGCATTCCTGCCCCATCTGCTGGAAGTTGACAGACGATGCTGTCATCCCGCAGCAGCACACTCGAATGCATATGGGAGGCCAGGTCTCCAACACTCCAGTCCCCAGCAGTTACTCTGAGTCCATGGAGTCTGACATAGGCTCCTTCTATGGGAAAAATTTTGATGACCTAGACAACTTCTCCAGTGAAAAAATGGAAGACTGTCCTGAGGGCAGATTCCCTGATATGCCCAAGTCTGCAGACGACTCCCAAGACAGTTTATCTTCTTCGCCTTTGCCCCTAGAGATGTCGAGCATCACTGCTTTGGAAAATCAGATGAAGATGATGAATGTTGGCCTAGTGGAGCAGCTGCGGGCCAGCCTGAAGTCAGTGGAGAATGGGTCCTTCGAGGATGATGTCCTGATCAATGATTCATCCTCAGTGGGTGATGACATGGAGAGCTAAAGTGCTGGCAGCCCAGCCATCTCAGAGTCTACGTCTTCCATGCAGGCTCTGTCCCCATCCAACAGCACCCAGGAGTTCCATAAGTCACCCAGAGAATAGGAGAAACCACAGAGAGTGGTCCCAAGCGAGTTTGCCAACGGTTTGTCTTTCATTCCAGTGAATGGCGGGGCTTTGGATCTGACATCCAGTCACATACAGAAAATCATCAGAGAAGATTCTCTGGGGACCCTCTTCCCTTTCAGAGTCCAGCGTAAATTTAAAAACACCGCTTGCAACATTTGTGGCAAAACATTTGCTTGTCAGAGTGCCTTGGACATTCACTATAGAAACCATACCAAAGAGAGACCATTTATTTGCAGTTTGCAATTGTGACTTTTCCACAAAGGGTAATTTGAAGCAGCACATGTTGATACATCAGATGCAAGATCTACCATCACAGCTCTTTCAGCCCAGTTCCAATCTTGGCCCCAATCAGAACTCTGTGGTGATTCCCGCCAACTCGTTGTCATCTCTCAGCAAAACGGAGATCAACGGCTTTGTGCATATTTCTCCTCAGGACAGTAAGGACACCCCACCAGTCACATCCCTTCTGGGCCTCTGTCTTTCTCTGCCACATCTCCAGTTCTGCTCTTGGCTCTGCCCAGAACTCCCAAGCAGCACTACTGCAACACATGTGGCAAAACCTCCCCCTCGTTGAGTGCCTGGCAGAACTCACATTGGAGAGAAACTGTTTGCTTGTACTATTTGTGGAAGAGCTTTCACGACAAAAGGTACACACGGGCACTCACATGTGGAATAGCACCCCTGTGTGACAGGGTAGGCAGCTCTCTGGGGATGGGCCCATGACATTTCTAGGAGGCAATCCCATCAAGTTCCCAGAAATGTTCCATAAGGATTTGGTGGCAAGATCAGGAAGTGGGGATCCTTCCAGCTTCTGGAATCAGAATGCAGCACGGCATTCCAACGGGTTGGCGATGAAGGGCAACGGGACCTCCGTCATTCAGAATGGTGGCATCCATCCAATTCCTGGAAGCCTCGACACTGGGAACAGCTCACCTGTTAGTGGGCTGACAGGAAATCTGGAGAAGCTCCAGAAATCAGAGCCCACTGCTTCTCTGGCCGGCCTGGGGAAAATGGCAAGCAATTAGAAGAGAACCAATTCCGCTTCACCCGCTTCATGGAGGACAGCAAAGAGATCGTCACAAGTTAAAGCAGCTTGGGCTGGAAACATAGCATTCATTCCTGTTCAGAATACGACCTGTGGTGGCCTCCTACCCCTTGCCCCCATACCCCTTCCTTCTGGTTTCCCAGATCTATGAATTACAACATCATGAAGATATTCTTTTGTACCCTGTTCAACTTTGGAGTTCTAAGGAAGCTTATTTATTAGCGATATAACCTCGCTTTGCAAACGGAATGAAAGTATTAACTTTGGTCTTATGTATTTTGGACTAAATACTAATTAGCTAGAGTGCTGTAAACTTGCTGTGATATGTATGGCAATTGCAAGTTGCCCTGCTAGGCAGTTGTAATCTGGCATTAACTTATTTTTTATATCCAGTTTAATATGAATCTGGTGTTGATGCAATGCCTCAGTGATGCATTAGATCTCTAATAAAGTCTGTACATAAATGTACACTTTGATTCTGCTGGAAATTTTTATCATCAAACACATTGTCTAATCTTTCAAAACAGATTTAAGGAAAGGACTGAAAGTACAGACTGAACAGTGTGGTTGTTTGACAGGTTTGTTTTTTTATTTTTATTCAAAAAGTCAAACTTTTTTTGTTTTGTAGATTTAACCATTTCCTTTTTGAATTGCTATTTGTATTGTGCTTTTTACATGAGTCATCTTCAATATTAATGCATTTCTGTGCAGTAATAAGCATGCAGAATTCTTTAGAGAAAACAAACAAGTGTTGTTTTGGTAGTTGAACTAAGACGTAACATTTTGCTGTGTAGGTATATACATGATAGAAAATGTGTGCTGGAATTTCACAAGGCTGCTAAGTATAGCATCTTGAACAATATTCAGTAGAGAAAATGTAAATGCTCTTGTATATAAATAAGAAATATCACTTTCATTCAAATGTCCATATGTTCCTTGCAAGAGCAAATGCTTCTTCTTGATCAAGAGAGCAGGAATAGTGTTTATTTTGTATTAGATATGGAAGAAAAAAATGGACTGTTACATGCACTTTCACGGAAATTTGAAAGGAAAGGGGAGGGGCTCAATTTCATTTAATACTTATTAACAACAGAGATACTGTAATTTTACTCAAGTAATAAAATACATTTTTTTGCAACAGAAAAAAAAAGCCCTGTGCAGTTTCCAAAGGGAAGTTAAACTTGCAGGTTATAGAGATGTCAAAGCAAACCACAAAAATAATAAAATAAAATAAAAATAGGCCGGGCACTGTGGCTCATGCCTGTAATCCCAGCACTTTGGGAGGCTGAGGCAGGTGGATCACCTAAGGTCAGGAGTTCGAGACCAGCCTGGCCAATATGGTGAAACCCCATCTCTATTAAAAATACAAAAATTAGCTGAGCATGGTGGTGCGAGCCTGTAATCCCAGCTACTCGGGAGGCTGAGGCAGGAGAATCACTTCAACCCGGGAGGCGGAGGTTGCAGTGAGCTGAGATTTCACCACTGCACTCCAGCATGGGCAACAGAGCGAGACTCCATCTCAAAATAAATAAATAAAAATAAAAATAAAAAATAGGGATGTCAAAGCAAAATTACATTCTAAAAATACACTGTTCTAAACTTCATCATAACTGGAAAAAAATGTAATCAGTATTTACACAGCAAGAGTGAAATGTAGTTCCGCATCTAGTAGGCATTGGTTCAATAAAACTGAAGTAAACTTCTGGTGGAGGCTTGGGCCTGTTCCTTCCTTTGTTGGTTCACTGGGCTAACATTGGTCTCTTCTGAACCCGAAATCAGTGCTTTCCTTAAGTCTCTTCATTGATTCTCTGCTCTCTCCAAGATTCTTTATGCTCAGGCTGTGATTAGCCCAAGGACAGGACTACGTTTCTCTCCCAAGCTCCCACCCTATATCACTACCTGGATGTTCCCATTCAGATGTCCTGAAATGACATTAAATGCAATGTGTCCCCAAATCAGTTTCTTCTACAAAATTCTCCAGTTCCCAAGTTCTGCACACTCCAGTCTACTCTGTCCCCTGTTCCCAGGGGGGTCATGATGAACTGGATGAAGATGGGGAGCTGTACAGGACAATGCCTATCATTGAGCAACTACAGTGTCCACAGCACACTTGGAAGGCCATCTGTCACTTATGCCACCTAGATGACAGCCCTGGTGTCTTAAAATCTACCTTCATGATTATCCTATAGATTTCATTCAGGAGGGTGGGAAACAGCAGGAAGAGAACACTGGATTCAGATGGTGACAGTCTTGAGGCCACTGATGTTCTGGTCAATATACAGTTCTCAGCCCTGCTACAAACAGTTTCAAATGAAAGTAGGGAGTTTGGGGGCCTATTCTCATTTGTGATCTGTATATTTGTGTGGTGCTTACCCAGGGCTCAGGGTGGGAGTACTGGGGCCTAAGTCACAGGGTCTGTCAGGCACCCCACTAACACGGGATCAGAAGGGACGACTGCTTTCCCTTGGCATCTGGACATGTACCCCTGTAAATCGCATGTTGGTGTGGGGTCCCTCAGTCTGGGGACAGAATTCTCCACACACAAACTTTTCATCAAGTGAAACAGGACCTTCAATGTCTGCAAAGCACCAGCAGGGCTGTACCATTTCATCACACAGGCTCCTAGAGACATTTCTAACATTTTTTTTTTCCCAAGAGCTAGGGCGCTCCTGGCCTTACCAACAAGGAGCCTGGCCTCCGCAGGGCAGTGGCCCAGAACAGAGTCTACCGCAGCCTGCAGTCCTGCAAGCACAGCCTTGGGGCTTCCAGGAGCTCTGTGAGTGTTAGGCTAATCCCTGAAGGGAGGGAAGAACAGAGGGAGGCCTCTCAGCCCACTGGTGAGGAGATTGGCCAGGGCAGCTGGCTTCATGGTGCATTTGGGTATACCCCAGCTGGGCCCACAGAAGGCACATTAGTTTATTGATGTATATGATGTAAGCCCTATATTACCAAAGTAATTTATAGGTTGTAAAGCATACCATTTCATATATCGCTTCATCTTCACAAACACTAGTGAAGTTGGAATCATTACTGTGATTTTTCAAATGAGGAAACAGGCTCAGAGAAGTTCAATGGCTTGTCCCTATCACACAGTTTGATGGAGAGAAGTCACAAAAATATCTCTACCTTCTCACTGGCCGATATGCTGATGCTACATTTGGTTCCCATTTGCGAGTTAATTAAATAAGGATAGCATTTATAATTGCACTATCACAGGCAATGAAGAGAAACTTTGGGGGGAAAGTTGCCTTTCTAAATCTCTCTTTCTTTCTTTCTCTTTCTCTCTTTGCCCCTCCCTCCTCTACTTCCCAATGAACTACATAGCACAATTTGTTTCCTGCCCCAAAGTGCAGGAAACGAATTGTGCTATGAAGTGTTCTTAAATGCAAAGCAGATCTGAAGAAAAGGTTTGTTGGGTAGGGAAAAGGTTTGGTATGCACACAATGACACAGCTTCATGTCTATAACCACAATGCCTAAATTTCACCATCGGAAATTAAGGTCTTGGGATAAGAATTTTACACTGGCCCAATGATGTTATCTCCAGATTCAAAAATTGATCTTAAAGGCCACATGTTTTCAGATATTATCAATCCCACAAAGGTATGAAAGGGCTTATTTGTTTGTCAGCCTGAAAGTTAGTTGCAGAGAGAACTGGAAGGCCATGAGAAAAGGCTATAGCTGCTGGGAGGAAAGGAGAGTTCTAGACCTTGAATCCCAGCCCCAGGAGACCAGGCAGAACCACAGCGGTGGCAGGAGGCCATTGGATGCTGGGAGGCTCAGAGAGGAGAGACAGAGGAGGGATATAGGAAGACAGGCCTGTGTGGGGGCCACAGGCCAAGTGTCGTAGAGAACAGAGCCCACAACAGATCACCCTGAATTCAGGCTGAGGCTCAGTCACTTCTGCCTATGACACAGTCCTCCATCTCCACATCTGTTTCCATAAAGCTAAAATGAGGATAGTCAGTTAGATACTTATGAGGGTTATGGTGTGGGTGAAATAAGATGCTATGTGTGGAAGTCATTTGAAAATTGTCAGATGGTCTGGGCACAGTGGCTCACGCCTGTAATCCCAGCACTATGGGAGGCCGAGGCAGGCAGATCACCTGAGGTCAGGAGTTTGAGACCAGCCTGACCAACATGGTAAAAGCCCATCTGTACCAGAAATACAAAAATTAGCCAGGTGTGGTGGCAGGCGCCTGTAATCCCAGCTACTCAGGAGGCTGAGGCAGGAGAATCACTTGAACCCGGGAGGTGGAGGTTGCACTGAGCCAAGATGGCACCATTCTACTCCAACCTGGGCGACAAGAGCAAGACTCTGTCTCAAAAAAAAAAAGAAAGAAAAAAAGAAAATTTTCAGATGCTCTACAAACACACATAGAAATAGTTGAATGACAGGGGCTTGCCAGAAGCCCCTGATCCCTGGTTGTGCGTGCGTTCGTGTGTGTGTGTGTGTGTGTGTGTGTCTGTGTGTTGGAGAGAGTGAGAGAGACAGAGAAAGAAAGAGAGAGACAGAAACTTCCACAGGGACCTGCATGCCATTCATTCCACAAGGATATACAGAAGCTGACCCCTGGCCTGCTGGCCCAAGATGTCTGATGCTAGACAGTTCAGAGTGTAACTTTGCCTTCTGGTGTGAGACCACACAAACAGCACTGGGCCTTGCAGAAAATACCAACAGGCCCTTGGAGTCACAGTCTCAATAGTTCCAAACACTCGTGCAGTGTGTCCTATGTACTCCAGTTTTAAAAATAGAGCCTTAACCTCTAAATTGGCTATACTAGACCCAGATTAAAGTGAGTGTTGTTTAGAATAAATACTTCAATCCTATCAGGATTGATAATATCTAACAATAGCCGAGGTGCTGTAGTCGCAGCACTCTGGCCAAGGTGGGAGGACTGCTTGAGCTCAGGAGTTGGAGGTTACACTGACCTATGATCTCACCACTGCACTCCAGCCTGGACAACAGAACAAGATCTTGTCTCTAATACACATACATACATGTAAACAAGTGGGCCAGAGGCAGTGGCTCAGGTCTGTAATCTCAACACTTTGGGAAGCTGAGGCAGGTGGATCACTTGAGGTCAGGATTTCGAGACCATCCTGGACAACATGGCAAAACCCTGTCTCTACTAAAAATACAAAAATTTTAGCCACAGGAGTGATGGCACATGCCCGTAATCCCAGCTACTCAGGAGGCTGAGGCCCAAGAATCGCTTGAACCCGGGAGGCAGAGGTTGCGGTAAGCCAAGATCACGCCACTGCACTCCAGCCTGGGCAACAGAGCCACACCCTGTCTCAAAAAAAAAAAAAATGTGGCGTGTCAGAATGATGCTTAAATTTTGAGATAACATTATTGGAAGAGTGCAATAATGACATTTGCAAACAATTGTGAGATGAAGTAGCAGGTGGAAGAATCCATGTTTGCTCATTTCTGCTTGCCAGCATAATTCCACAAAGCCCCTGACTCTGTGAGGATGTGCAGCTCGCCAGAAAGATGCTCTCAAGACAAAACAGGTTAGAGTACAGGCCCACCATGTCTCTTCCCTGAGTCACTATTTTCCTTAAAAGATAAGTAACCTCAGTCCTTGCCTTTCCCCACACATAAGGTAATGTCTGAAGGAGTTAGTGATTATGCTTCTGTAATCTGTAACCAGATGTACACTTATGCCCAAACCTAGAGGTGATTCTGCTTAAATGTAGCTTCTGAGCAAGTTTGATGTACTCATTAATACATAACCTACTGACATTGAAAAGGACACTGATTTGTTTCTAAATCATAAAGTTTTATGGATTGTCTTGTGCATAAAACATTTTAGTGGCCAGGTGTGGTGGCTCACACCTGTAATCCTAGCACTTGGGGAGACCAAGGCGGGCAGATCACTTGAGGTCAGGAGTTCAAAAGCAGCCTGGCCAACATGGCGAAACCCTGTCTCTACAAAAAATACAAAACATTAGCAGGGTGTGGTGGCCCACGCCTGTAATCCCAGCTACTCTGGGGGCTGAGGCAGGAGAATCACTTGAACCCTGAAAGCAGAGGTTGCAGTGAGCCGAGATTGCACCACTGCACTCCAGCCTGGGTGACAGAGCGGGTCTCTGTCCCAAAAAATAATAAATTTTGTTACCTTGTATGTTGTCATCTCTAGCCAATGATTGTAACCGCTGTATTGTAACCTCCAATGAAGAAGGACAACTCCAACTGAGAAATCCCCCTCCTTTCCCCTAAACTTTCTTATCAAAGCCTTCCAACTTGTAACAGACTCTTAACACCAACTTTTTGTTGGTGTGTCTTCCCAGGTCAATCCTCACATTTGACTTCCAATAAACCTTTATGAAATTATTTATGCCTCAACAGCCTTAATTTTGGTCAACACAATTATTATTAAACTGTCAAACAAAAAGAAGACTCCACTTTGTTACCAAAATCAAAATCAAGGGTTAAATTTGTGAGGGTGTTGGGGAGAGTGGGTTAGCAGAAAGATCCAGCCACTCCTCTGAGATGCTGATGATGGTCACTGCTAGAGTCTGTACCTGCTGTACCTTTTGTACCCTCTGTACCAGGTGAAAACCAACCATGATATTCTGATATAATAGGAAATGCATATTTAGACTTCATCTCCAGTTCCTGGCACAGAGCTTCTAAAACCCTTTTAATTTCCTGAGTGATAGGAGTGGTAGAAGCATCTTTTGCTATAATATTTGGTCTCAGTCCCCGGTTCCTAACACAAGACTCTTGGAATCTCTGGAGTGATGTGTCTTCTGTATGCTAATAATATGACTGGTGGCTGAGAGTGCTAGGTAGCTTCAGGATGGGCTGGTCACCAGAAAACTATGGCAGGATTAGAGGGTTGGGACTTTCCTCCCCACCTGCAACCTCTAAGGAGGAGAGAGGGACTAGAGATTGAGTCGATCACCAATGGTCAATGGTTTAATCATAATGAAGCCTCCATAAGAACTCATAAAGCATCACACTCCGGGGACTGTTGTGGGGTGGGGGGAGGGGGGAGGGATAGCATTAGGAGATATACGTAATGCTAAATGACGAGTTAATGGGTGCAGCACACCAGCATGGCACATGTATACATATGTAACTAACCTGCACATTGTGCACATGTACCCTAAAACTTAAAGTATAATAATAAAATTTTTTAAAAAAAGTGCTGGGATTACAGGCATGAGCCAACATATTTGCATTTATCTAGTTGAGGCTACAGGGAAGTAGGAGGGCCTAGTTGTCCTTGTTGTTTTGTTAGAGCAATAATTCTTGGACTCAAGGGCTAGACAATGGATTAATGTTATTAAGTATTGTTAAATATTAATAAGTTTATTAAATCCATTAAGTATTGTTAAATATCAATAAATTATATTTATTAAATACTGCTAAAAAAAAAGAACTCATAAAGCACCGAAAGACTTCCAGTGTTTTAATCCGTTTCCCAACTATTTAACTTTGAGTAAGTTGCCTAAACTCTCTGTGCCTCAGTTTCACTCTCTGTAAAATGGGAAAATAAAGGCACCTTCCTGACAGTGTTGCTGTGGAGATGAAATGATTTAGCACAGTAAAGTGTCTGTAACAGAGCCCAGCTGCCCATTAAGAGTTAGCTCTTACTATTAACCAAGGCCCTCAGGACAATGGCTTCTGCCACAGATAGACAGGGTTTGAGCCTTGAATTCATTATCCACTGGTTGAGTGACCTGGAAGCAAGGTCACATATCATCTCTGTGCCCCAGTTTCTTTATCTGTAAAACAGAGGTCATAATGGGGCCAGCACCTCCTCAAAAGATATTGTGATAATTAAGTTAGAAAATACCTGAAAAGCAGTTAGCACATCCCTGGCACTAAATACCTGAACAACACCAAGACTGTTCATAATTAATTAGCTAAACTGATGCTACCTGGTGAGCCCAGTATCTCTTCTTGGGTAAGTCAATGCTGTTCCACTTGCCTGGTGTCTTAGTGGTTTTGTGTTGCTATAACAGAATACTTGAGACCGGGTGATTTATAAAGAAAGGCAATTTATTTCTTACAGTTCTGGAGGCTAAGTTCAAGGTTGAGGGGGCACATCTGGTTAGGATGGTCTTACTGGTGGGGACTCTCTGAGAGTCCTCAGGCAGTGCAGATAGGTATCACATGGCAAGGAGGCTAAGTGTGCTAGTTCAGGTTTCTTTTCCTCTTTTTATAGGGCCACCAGTCTCACTCCCATGGTAACCCGTTAATTCATTAACCCATTAATCCATTCATGACGGCAGAGCCTTCATGACCCAATAACCTTTCAAAGGTCTTACCTCTCCACACTACCAAATTGGGAATTAAACTTCAACATAAATTTTGGAGAGGACAAATACTCAAACCATAGCAGCGACCTTGGGGAATTCACCTGTCCTCTCTGAGTCTCATTCAAATGCCCACCTTGGAGGACATCTGTGCATCTTAGTGATGTTTGCAATGTGCCTGGCTCCCATCCATTCTTCAACTAGAGTTTTCTGAGAATCTGCTATGTGCCTGAGTGCTGTTCTAGGTGCTAGGGATACAACAGAGAACAAAACCAACAAAGTCCCTGACTCACCCCAGAGGCTACAGTAAAACTCTGGGGCCCAGACCAAACTGGTAAAAGGTTAAGAATTCTTCCTGAACTCAGCATCCCAGATTTCCATGTGTAGACTATGGTCAAGACCAGGTGGTAAAAATTTCTCCTTTCCAAGTTTAGATTAACAGGAGAAAACATTTGTGTGAAGTTAGTTCTCTGGGTTTGTGTGACTTTGATCATTTCTTACTGATCCATCTCTCTCTCAAAGGGTAGCCACAATATTCTTTTGTCTCTGTCTTTTGTGTCATTTGTCATAAGAGGAAGAATCATAGGGTAAAATGCAGGCATATGTCCTATAAGCCTGTTGTTCAACCTCACAGATTGGTGAGTTTACAGTTCTCACCGGACCAGTCTCCATTTGAACCAACTTTGCTGTGGGTCACCAATTTTTTAAAAAGATGAGATTTTTCTTCCATCTTATCTTGTGTCTTGAGAGCTTGGCTTGGATCCATTGAGAGCACATTCCCCCTGGTTTTTCTGCTGGCGTTGCAGGTTGTTGGGCTTGCATCTGTAGGTGGTGAGCTATCAGGATGGGGACCCAAGATACTTTGCCTAGCAACTGTGCCAACTCTCAGAGCTGAGTCTGCGTCTTTTCTCTTTGCTGCCTTACATGTGCTAGGGAAATTCCTGTCCCAGTATTGCCTACCTGGTGTCACAGATTAGTGGGTTTGTGATTGAAGGTGTCTCACTTTTGTGGAAGACTGGAGTTTCCTTACCACCTGTGACAATGAATGCCTTCATATTCCATGTCTATCTTTGGGAGTGACCTATTTGGAATCACAGGGGCAACATCATCTGCACCCATTTCAGGGATGTCTCTTTTGTCCATGGTAAAAACTTACTCTCGGCCTGGAAATTTGCCTCTGGGTCTTTCCATCAAAAGGCTTTATGGTTTCTGCCACATTCGGAGTAGGTGTATCTTTCAGAGGTCCTATCCACTGATGGCCAGACACAGATCCTTTGGTTTGACATCTAAAATAATCTTTAGAGAGCTCTCATCCTAAATAAATATCCTCTTGGTACCTGTGGAAAGATCAGATGGGAAGAAGAAAAAAAGAAATGGGAGAGTGCATTTCTGAGAGCAAAAACCCCCTTAACAAGATTAGGAAGCAGAGATCAGACTTAGAATAAAAGTTAAGACTTACAAAAGACACTCAGGCAGGTGTGGGACTTATACAAACACTGATAGCCAGCAACTAGCTTTAACAAAGCCACCCAACCTCTGACCCCCAAAAATGCGCAGCAAGGCTGTTTTACTGCCCCTTACTCTACAACCATCAGCTCCAGGCACTCCCACACAATTCCCTTTGCGGATGCATTTTGGACCCCCACCACAAAGAAATCTGCACTTAAAAAAAACACAAATAACAATTGCCCTGGGTTTCCAACAGTAAGCAAATGTGCCTTCTCAGAGAAAATTTACAACCTTTCTCTGTCCCTTGGAGTTGTAACTCTTACCATATTTTTATCAGGCCTGACGCGGTGGCTCACATTTGAAATCCCAGCACTTTGAGAGGCCAAGGCAGATTGATCCCTTGAGCCCAGGAGATCGAGACCAGCCTGGGCAACATAGCAAAAAGTCCATCTCTACAAAAAAATGCAAAATTAGCCGGGCATGGTGGGGTGCACCTGTGGTCCCAGCTACTTGGGGAGCTAAGGTGGGAGGATTGCTTGAGCCTGGAGCATAGAGGCTGTAGTGAGCCAAGATCGCACCACTGCACTCGAGCCTGGGCGACAGAGTGAGATCTTGTCTCAAAAAAAAAAAATAGATAGATGATAGATAGATAGATAGATAGATAGATAGATAGATAGATAGACAGACAGATAGATAGACAGATAGATGATAGATAGATACATAGATAGATAGATAGATAGATAGATAGATAGATAGATAGATAGCATAAAACATCCAAAGAGATCATTCTTGGCTAAAGCCACCATCTGCAACCACCTGAGACTGAAGAGGGAGAAAGAGGCTTTTGAAAACAAATTGCTACCTGGCATTTCCAGAGAGTCCTTCAACCAAAACTTGGTCTATTGTCATCATAAAATTATTTATCATGGGCAAATGAAAGTCTCAAAATTCTCTTCCACAAATAGTAAAATTAGCCCTCATTAAACAGGTAACCTTAATTTGCCCATCTGCCAAAAACACAATTTGGATCTGACTATTGTATATAAACTAGTGAGTTTTTTATTACTATGTTTGCCTGATTCATAGCTAAAAATTTTAAATGAAAGCTATAAGATCTCTATTTGCATTTGCCTGTACCTTTGTACATTTGTCCATGTATGTATGTATATATGTTATGTATAGGTGGTATTTTCTACCTTGCAATAGTGCTGTCAAAATTAACTCATAAAGTCCTGTAAAAGAGCTCTGCTTTAATTGGTCTAAAATAAATTAAGCACTTATGTAAATTAAGTATTCCTAGAACTCTTAGAAAACTAGAATCCAATCCAATTTTTTTTTCGAATTCACATAATCTGGGATAATCTTTGGTAAATAAAGTTAGGTTAAGATTGCTGAGTTAAGATTTTTGGTTAGGCTGGGTGCAGTGGCTCGAACCTATAAACCCAGTACTTTGGGAGGCTGAGGAGGGAGGATCGCTTGAGCCCAGCAGTTTGAGACCAGCCTGGGCAACCTAGTAAAATCCCGTCAATACAAAAAATACAAAAATTAGCCAGGCGTGGTGGTGGGAGGCTAAGGTGAAAGGATCACCTGAGCCCGGGAAGGTTGAGGCTGCAGTGAGCCATAATTGTTCCACTGTACTCCAGCCTGCGCAACAGAGTGAGACGCTGCCTCAAAAACAAAACAAAGTAAAACGAAACAAAAAGACTGTTGGTTAAATAAAAACAGCTTGTCTTCACAGTTGACAGCATTAAATATTATACAGACGTGATTTTATTCTCTTGGGTTTACAAGTTAAATAATGTTACATTATCTGTACTAGGTGTTTAAGAGTTAAAAATTATAAATTTAAGCTAAAAACCAAATGTACAATAAAAACAAATTGCTGGTGGGTGGGGCAGGAGGATCACTTGAGGCTAGAAGTTCAAGGCCAGCCTGGGCAACATGGTGAAACCCCCTCTCTACAAAAACTACAAAAATTAGCCAGGCGTGGTGGCATGCACCTGTAGCCCTAGTTACTTGGGAGCCTGAGGTGAAAGGATCACTTGAGCCCAGGAGGAGGAGGTTGCAGTGAGCCATGATGGCACCATTGCACTCCAGCCTGAGCAACAGAGTGAGACCTGTCTCAAAAATAAATAAATAAATAAATTGCTTGTGTGTATGAAGTACACCAGTAAAAACAAATTTGGGGAGCCATGTGTTTAATTTTTCAGGTGCTTTGTTCTGTAATGTTTGATGCTTGCCTAATATACATGTGTTATAAAATTGGTCAGCAAGAAAAATAAGATGATGGCTAGCTTTGTTTAATGTCTCAGGAAATTTTCATGAACAATTCATGCATAATTGTTAATAACAAGTGAATTAAATGAATGGAAATGGGCTAAAAGTTTATAAATGAACTTTCCAACAATAACTATTATATGTTTTATTTATTTATTTATTTAATAATTTTTGAGACAGAGTCTCACTCTGTCACCCAGGCTGGAGTGCAGTGGCACGATCTCAGATCACTGCAACCTGCACCTCCTGGGTTCAAGCGATTCTCCTGCCTCAGCCTCCTGAGTAGCTGGGACTATAGGCGCCCGCCACCAAGCCCAGCTGACTTTTTTGTATTTTTAGTAGAGATGGGATTTCACCATGTTGTCCAGGCTGGTCTTGAACTCCTGACCTCAGGTCATCTGCCCGACCCGGCCTCCCAAAGTCTTGGGATTACAGGCATGAGCCACCGTGCCCGGCCTATTACATGTTTTATAATGTTTGCTTGAAAATGCTTCCAAAATCTTTTTGGTAATTTGAAGCCCTAAAAGTATACTAAGTAACATTAAATGATAGATAGATAATCATTAAATATCTAGATGATTAACAAATAATATAAAATACTGCAACATCAATTGCTAAACATAAGTTTAAATTCATCTAATTTTGGCTTCTTAATTTTTACAGAGATACTAAAGATATTGGGACCTGTTACTAAAAATATCCTTTGCCACATCAAAAAATTATACTACAGGGAAGCATATATCTCTAGGAATTATGAAAGGGTGTATCCATAAATTTGCTAATCTACTACAAAATGTTGGTATGTGACAGTTTACACTTCCTTGCTTTCTAATTTTAACTGAGAATGAAGATTGCTAAGGGTTAAGAATTCTAATCAATATATTTAACTACTAGAAATAATAAGGACAAAGGAAAAAATTCTATATGCAAAGTGTGCAAGGAAAATAAGATGTGCTTTGGTAAGAAAAGGTCTGAGGTATGAAGGGTGCATTTTTGTTAAGGGAAAAGGAGAGTAATTTTGTTCTAGTTGAGGGGTTATTTAAATTTTGTTTCAAAATGAGAAAGGGGAAAATAAAGGACAAAAACTGAAATAGATATAAAATGTAAAGAAAGAGACTGAGAGACACACAGAGAGAGAATCTTATCTCCTGTGGTCAAACAGGCCTTAACCTGTCATTTTAGCGACAATTAAATTGTCGTCTATTTTAATTGAATGAGTTTATTATAACAGTTTTTAAAATGAGATTTAATATCAGTAATGTACCTATGCAAAACTATAATTTGAATTTCTCTCTCTGTTAAAATGAAAAAAATTGGATTATTGTAAGGGGGTTTTCTTTACCTATTGAGTAAGTAATAGAAAACAAAAACAATGATAGACTGGATTAAGAAAATGTGGCACATGTACACCATGGAATACTATGCAGCCATAAAAAATGATGAGTTCATGTCCTTTGTAGGGACATGGATGAAATTGGAAATCATCATTCTCAGTAAACTATTGCAAGAACAAAAAACCAAACACCGCATATTCTCACTCATAGGTGGGAACTGAACAATGAGATCACATGGACAGAGGAAGGGGAATATCACACTCTGGGGACTGTTGTGGGGTGGGGGGAGGGGGGAGGGATAGCACTGGGAGATGTACCTAATGCTAGATGATGAGATAGTGGGTGCAGCGCACCAGCATGGCACATGTATACATATGTAACTAACCTGCACAATGTGCACATGTACCCTAAAACTTAAAGTATAATTAAAAAAAAAAAACAAAAAAAAAAGAAAACAAAGATTCTGTGTCTTTTCAAATAATTTCAAACATACAATTAGATAAAAGGAACAAGTTTTAGTGTTTGAATACACAGTAGGGTGACTATAGTTAACAATTTATTGTATATTTCAAAAGCAGCTAGAAGTGGCCAGGCATGGTGGCTCATGCTTATAATCCCAGCACTTTAGAAGGCTGATGTGGGAGGATCACTTGAGCCCAGGAGTTCAAGACCAGCCTGGGCAATATAGCGAGACCTCATCTCTACAAATAATTTAAAAAGTTAGCTAGGCATGGTGGCATATGCCTGTGGTCCCAACTACTCAGGAGGCTGAGATGGGAGGATCACTTGAGCCTGGGCAGCCGAAGCTGCAGTGAGCCATGATGGCACCATTGCACTCCAGACTGGGCAACAGATCAAGACCCTGTGTTAAGAAAAAAAAAAAGGCTAGAAGAGAAGATTTGAAATATTCCTAACACAAAGAAATGATAAATGTTTGACATGATAAGTGTCCTAAGTACCCTGACTTGAACTAAGTATGCATGTATCAAAATATCACCTGTACCCCCTAAATATGTGCACTTATTATGTATCAATAAAAAATTTTAAAAATAATTTTCTGTGCTTCATATTGTCTTTATCAAGCCTTTGATTACTTAATGAAATGGAATTTTCTCAGTATTGAAAGAGCTAAGCAATTTTTTATACATACGTTACTTTCTATATTTGCCTTTGAAATCTTTTATTGTCATTTTGTTTTAAATAGATAACTAAGTATTGTCTCATAGTGTTCTTGATCTTATATAATCAGGTGTTCAAACCTTTTGACATTTTTTTTACAAACTTCCCCAAATGAAATTCTAAATGAAATCCTTTTTTGCCTCAAACTAACTGAGATTTCCCAGAGGGCCCCTGTAAAATCTCAAAGGACTTGTTCTCTCTATCACCTTGTAAAAGAGAGATGCTAAACTAATTAGATGTATTTGATATGTTAAATTATATGGGAATCATTGTGAAATGTGAACTGATGCTTAACCTTCTTTAGGTTATATTTGTAAATATCTATGTTATTAATATAAGTGTTTCAGGCCAGGCATGGTGGCCTATAATTCCAACACTTTGGGAGGCCCAGACAAGAGGATCTTGTCTTGAGGCCAGGAGTTCAACCAGCCTGGGCCACGTAGTAAGACCTACGTCTCTATGAAAAATTAAAACATATATATGTATGTGTTTCAGAAATTGTATAATATTCCTAAAAATTTGTCAATGTCTTTACTGTCTATATGTTCTGGTATTCCAGATATTATGGATTTAACATAATTTAACATAATTCCAGATATTATGTTAAAATATCTTATGTCACAGAAATAACCAAATTTCATCATCAATTGCATTATAATTAGTTAGATCTTTAACCATGGCTATTTTAAGTATTTTGTCATTCACAGGCAATTATTATTTTGGTTTTTATCTGATAGCTTTTACAATCACCTGTAAGCAAAAAACAAAAGTGCTCCATCTTCAAAAGGATTCAAACAAAAGACTCTGACGAGTATTCCAAAGTACGGGTTTCCAATAACCTTAAGATCATACCACTGAACTTGGCCAGGCACTGTAGCTCACACCTCTTATCCCAGCACTTTGGAAGGCCGAGGCGGGCAGATCACTTGAGGCCAGGAGTTCGAGACCAGGCTGGCCAACATGGTGAAACCCTGTCTCTACTAAAACTACAGAAATTATCCGGGCATGGTGGCGGGCGCCTGTAATCCCAGCTGCTCCGGAGGCTGAGGCAAGAGAATCGCTTGAACCCAGGAGGCGAGGTTGCAGTGAGCCAAGAATGTGCCACTCCACTCTAGCATGGGCGACAGAGCAAGACTCCATTAAAAAAAAAAAAAAAAAAAAAAAACTGAGTAAAAATTCCCAGAACTCAGGTTTAAAAAAAAAACAAAATTCTCATGACTTTATAAAGCTGCTAACCCAAGATCAAGCAGGACAAAAATTAATTACATGGCCCTGAATAAACTGATGAAGATGATTATAATTTTTATGACTTTCTTTTTGAAACATTGTAGGTTCTTTAGTGTTTTATTTTCCAGATTTAAGAAAACGCTTTTTCTCTTTTCTCTTAAACTATTTATAACTTACAACAATTTGTTAGATTATACCTTTGTAAATGAAAATAAAATATTTATTTTTCTCCCTATCTCATCCTTCCAGAATTCAGAAACTCTTATTAAATATTATTTTCGTGGTAATATTGTTATTTGCATATCTTCAGTAAGGATCTTTTCTGTAACAGGATACATGGTAATATAGTTATTTGCATAAGTTCAATAAGAATCTGTTCTTAAAACAGGACAAAATTAGAAACACTGGTTATCTTACCAAGGATTTGAATGGAATGTCATATTTAAGAATAAGGAACATAGAATCAGATAAGACCAAACAGATGTAAGGAACTAAGGTTGACTTTATGGAGCCAATGCTTACAAAGCCCTCTTGGAACACCGGCTTGGTACCTGTCTTACAGGATCCCTCTTCTTACAGATGAATAAGGAAGGCCACTTCCTGACAGGTCCAAGAATCTTAAAATATATTGGAAAATTTGCCAATATATTGGCAAGTATATTGGTGGCTCATGCATGTAATCCCAGCACTTTGGGAGGTCAAGGGGGGTGGATCACCTGAGGTCAGGTGTTTGAGACCAGCCTGGCCAACATGGTGAAACCCCATCTCTACTAAAAATACAAAATTAACGGGACATGGTGGCACATGCCTGTAATCCCAGCTACTCAGGAGGCTGAGGCAGGAGGGTCGCTTGAACCTGGGAGGCGGAGGTTGCAGTGAGCTGAGATCGTGCCATTGCACTCCAGCCTAGGCAACAAGAGTGAACATCTGTCTCCAAATATGTATATATATTTGGTGCCACACACCTGTAATCCCAGCACTTTGGGAAGCCAAGGCCAGCAGATCGCTTGAGCTCAAGAATTCAAGACCAGCCTGGGCAACATGACAAAACCCATCTCTACAAAAATACATAAATAAGCTGGGTATGGTGGCACATGCCTGTGGTCCCAGCTACTCTGGAGGCTGAGGTGGGAGAATCACTTGAGCCCAGGAGGCGGAGGTTGCAGTGAGCCAAGATTGCACCACTGCACTCCAGCCTGGGTGACAGAGTGAGACCTTACCTCAATCAATCAATCAATCAATGAAAGACTAATTTGAGATTCCTTATTAAAAGATCCAGCAAAGCAGACTTAAAAGAGTCTATATGATCAGTCACTATTCTTGCTGCACTTATGCACTTATCAGGCCAAGTTTAATGAGACAAGACTTACCTTGTAAGCAAATGAGTCTTCCTTTGATGATCTTTGATAGAAATGAGAGTGATTATAGAAAGAAAAATTCTGTTCCTGTGAGAAACTATAGCACACCCTTGTGGGTTGTCAAATTCTAGCCATGTTCACTATCTTTGAACATTTTGTTTTGTTTTGTCTTTTTACCTCTTTGTAAACTGGATCCTGCTGTTCTGTGCTTTTTGTCAGTAATTAACATTTCTAATTATTCTCTCACCCCCTCTGACTTGATGCCACTGAAAACTAAGATCTGACTGCCCGGGTCCTTATTGGGACTATCTAAAAAGCCCTGCAAGCTGAAGCTGGATCCATTCATGCTCTGCTCTGAGAAAAAACCATGACTGTGACACTGCAAATCAGGAAAATCAGTGGATTGCCACTGCCTACTCCCACTCTATCATCTAAAGATGCTTCCGGTCCAGCACCTAAAAGCCTTGAATGACTGCCCTCTGGACTAAAAATCTGGGTGTAAAGTTTTTCTAACCATTAACTTTTGTTTTTCTTTTGTTTCCACAGACATGCCACTTCATAAATGCCTATTTTTAGGCAGTTAGGGGGAAGTAAAGAGCTTTTCCTGCATCTGCTGGTTATCAATGGTCTTTAGCACAAAATAATGTATATACCAAAGAGGCATATTTTGGAGTGGCATATTCTGGTACCCTTCAAAACTTTAATAACTGTGCAGGGGGAATCCCACAAGAGAGATTTCTCATGTTCTAGCAGTACTCACCCTCCAGTTTCTCTCCCACTTGTAACAGTATTTTCATTTCAGAGGCCAACTCTATTTGACTTTATTGGGCATTCAGATTAAAATCTGGTGGAAGATGAAGCTGTTTGAGAGAGAACCAAAATCCTTGGATGGCTCAGCCAGAAGCCATGGGGGCTCAGGCCAGAAACTCTGCAAATATCAGGGTACTGAGGCTTCCTGTTTTTGTTGCTGATGTTGGAAGATAAAACACGGGAACTGAAGGCTGTTAGCTTTAAGATTTCCCTAGTCTAGATATCTCACTCAACAAATGAGGAAACTGAGGCATATATGATGTATAAAGCTTGCTCAATGTCACATAACCAATTCTGTAGCCAAACTGAGGTTCCAGAGCTATTTTCTTTCTTTCTTTCTTTCTTATTTTCTTTCTTTCTTCTTTCTTTCCTCTCTCTTTCTTTTTCTTTTTCTTTTTTTTTTTTTTTTTGAGACAGAGTCTCACTATGTCACCCAGGCCGGAGTACAGTGGTGCAATATCAGCTCACTGCAACCTCCTTCTCCCAGGCTCAAGCAATTCTCATCCCTCAACCTTCCAAGTAGCTGGGATTACAGGCACACGCCACTGTGCTAGCTAATTTTTGTATTTTTAGTAGAGATGGGGTTTCACCATGTTGGCCAGGCTGGTCTCGAACTCCTGGCCTCAAGTGATCCGCCCACCTTGGCCTCCCAAAGTGCTGGGATTACAGGCGTGAGCCACCATGCCCAGCCCCAAGAACTATTTTCAAACAACCTTAAGGATTCTTTAAATCCTGTGCTCTTACAGCCCATGTCCCCAAAGAAGATGCAGGTGAGTGTCTGAAAGAAATTTGACATCTTCGAACACAAAGAAGTGATCATGCAGCCTCATATTAAGTGTCTTGAGATGATGGGCAGGAGAAAGAGAAGGAATCCTGGGTCTGGCTCCACTACCCACCACCATAGGGAAGAGAACCCACATGCCCCTGTAATTTTCTCTGAGGGCAGCTTGTCCTAACTAGGATGTTCTCATGTGATTAAAGGTAATGTCTATAAATATTCATGAATAATTGGATGTGCTCTGAAACAGAAAGCTCAACTTGGACATTAATGGAATCAGGTCAAAAACATAAATGTTTACTATAGGAGGAAAGAACCAATCCTCACTTATACATCATATACCTATTGTGTCCCCAGGTCGGCAGTACACTGCACCAAGAGGGATGTAAGAAAAAGAAGGGACCTCAACACTATTTCCTGCTTTAAGGGAGCCCATACTTCAGCTGGCATAAGAAGATGAAGGAGCCTAGGATTTTAGGAAGCATAAGCAGGACAAGGTTGTTCTATTTACACTCCAGGTGCTAAGACTATCAGAGAGAGCCAGATGAACCAGAGCGACTATGATGGCAGCAGCAACCCATCTGGAGCAGCTGCTGCCAAGGTGCTGGCTACAGCCGGGAGGCACAGGGCTGCAAGTTACAGGGAGCTGGTGGGAGCCAGGGACAAGCAGGAGCTGCACCCCTTCCAAGTTGGTGGGGAGGGAGCTGCTGCAGCTGCCCTGCCATGGCTCCAGACCCAGGCTTCCCTGTGCTCTTGGGGGCTAGGAGCAGGCGGGAGCCCCACCCTCCTGGACATAGCTGCAACCATCCAAGCCACAGCTGCAGACCTGGGCATATCTGCACTCTCAGGGTCCCAGGAAGACCCCCGTCCCCCCACAGGCTCAGAGGGGTCTGCTCCTTCTGCCTGGCTTCTCCACACTCCCAGCGCCCACTCCAATCTCAGAGCAAGGTTGGGGCCAAGCCCAGGTGCTATCACAGCCTGGCCGTGTGTGTGCGCACTCTAGGCAGTGCTGACATGCCAGCCCCCTGCTGCCTCAGCCCTCTCCAGACTTTGGGCACTGACCAGCACAGGAGGGAGGCCGAGGGGGTGCTGAGGGCAGCTCCACACTGGCCTGCAGGCACTCCTTGGCACAAACAAATTGGGCACCATAGAAAGCCATAAGAGACAGGCTCTGGGGTAGAAAGTAGTGGGTCCCCGGTGAAGCCCTACCTTCAGGCTGGGGAAGGCCTGAAGCCTGGAAGCCAGGCCTCCAGTCCTGCTGACCGGAGGGGGAACTGGTGATGTTTTTCCTGGGCCCAGCCATGGCTGCCCATGGACCAATCAGCACACACTTCCTCCCCTCTGAGGCCCATGAGAACCCTGGACTCAGCCAGACTCTGGGAGACATCACCATAATGTGCCTGTAAAGAAGAGCTACCCATTTCAGGGCTTCCTTGCTGCTGAGAGCTGAACACTCTCATCTGAAAGATGACCTGCCTTCAGAGAGGAGCTACCCATTCCAGGGTTTCCTCTGAGCTATTCAGTCACTCAGTAAAGCTCCTCTTCACCTTGCTCATTGTCCATTTGTCCATGTACTTCATTCTTCCTGGACACAAGACAAGAACTCGGGAGCTGCCGAACGGCAGAGCTGAAAGAGTTGTAACACAAACAGGGCTGAAACACACCTCTTGCTTGCCACGTTGCAGGCAAAGAAGGAAAGAAGAGCTGCAGCCCTTCAGGGAACCCAGATGTGGGTGCTCCCTGAGCCAGGGCTGTGACTTCCTCTTTGAGGTCCTGTGGTTCCTAGAGTCTCCAAGTTTCCAGGCACCACTGTTCCCCAGTGCCAGCCATGGAAGCTGCTTGTGGTGTGCCTGGTCCAGCTGCAGCCTCGCAGTGAGCCAGCATCCATGCTGGCACCTGGAGCTGCCTGTCCCACTGCAGCAGCCAACATGCTTGACTGTGTGCAGTGGCTGGACCCCCTGCTCACTTGCTCACACACCCCTCACTGTTCCATGCCTGGCTTGCCCTTGGCAGGTGTGGGGTCCAGGGCAATAGCATGAGCAAAGCACAGCCTGCCAGGCTGAGTGGGTGGAACCAGCCCAGCGGGCCTGAGCAAAACTTGGGCAAAGGCGCCACTGGCCACAGAGGTTTCCAGCCAGAAAAGCAACACCCAGGAATCCTGCGACAGCTACAGAACTAGTCCACTGGCAAGTTAACAGAAGTGGTTGTGGAGCCCCTTCTTTGGAGTGATTCAGAGATGAGATGAGTGTTGTTGATGAAAAGAGTCACACTCTGTAAAGTATTTGAAAATATGTATTCAGAGCCAAATATAAGTGACCAATTGTCTGTGACACAGCCCTCAGGAGATCCTGAGAACATGTGCCCACGGTGGTTGGGGTACAGTTTGGTTATATATATTTTAGAGAGACATAAGACATCAATCAGTACATGTAAGATGTACATTGGTTCGGTCAGAAAAGACAGGACAATTCCAAGTGTGGAGGTCCTTCCATGTTACAGATAGAGTCAAAGATTTTCTGATTGGCAATTGGTTGAAAGAGTTAAGTTATTGTCTAAAGACCTAGAATCAACAGAAGGGAATGTCTGGGTTAAGATAAGGGGTTGTGGACACTGGGGCTTCCATTATGCAGACAGAATCAATAGAAAGGAGTGTCTGGGTAAAGGGGGAGTTGTGGAGACCAAGGTTCCCATTATGCCAATGAAGCCTCCAGGTAGCAGGCTTCAGAGAGAATAGATTGTAAATGTTTCTTACCAGAGTTGGTTCTCTCCTGGATCAGGGAAAAGGCCTGGAAAAGGAAGGGGATTCTCTTCAGAGTGTACATTTTCCCCATAAAAGACAGCTTTGCAGGACAAAGATATGGCAAATAAACATGATTTCGGGTAAAATACTTTGATTTATTTCAGGGCATGCTATCTGTCGTGTGATGCTGTACTAGAGTCAGGATGGAATTTGATATCTTCTTATTACAAAGAGTCTGCTTTGTCAGCCTTAAGGTCTGTGTTAATGTTAATACTGGTCAGCTGTGCCAGAATTCTAAAAGGGAGGAGGGCATAATGGGGCATGCCCTACTCCTCCTTCCCATCATGACCTAAACTAGTTTTTCAGGTTAACTTTGGAATACACTTAGCTGAGAGAAGGGGTCCATTCAGATGGGTGGGGGGCTTAGAATTTTAGTTTTGCTTTACAGAGTTGACAAAGAATTACCAGATGGAACAGTGTAAATGGTCAATATTAGGAATGAGAGAGGTAACATCACTACTAATTCTATTAAAAGAATAACTAGGGGTGTATTATGATATTAAAATTATATTAAAAGGTGATTCAAGGGAATATTGTAAACTTTACACCAATAAATTTGAAAACAGCCAACACAGCTTTGAAAAAGAGGAAAAAGGTGGGCTAACACTACCTGACTTCAAGACATGATAAAGCATATTAATTTGTATTGCTGCCATAACAAATTATCACAGACCTTTAAAACAACACAAATTTATTAAGTCACAGTTCCTGTAAGTCAGTAGTTCAGTTGGGTAATCCACTTCCAGGGTTATTCAGGATGTTGACGGAATTTAGTTCCTTGCAGTTACAGAAATGAGGTTCTTGTTGCCTTGCTGGCTGTCAGCTGGAAGCCACTCTTTGCTCCTAGAGTCCTCTTTGGTCCTTTCTGTGGACTCCTCCATCGCAGAGACAGCAAAAGTGTGTGGAATCCTTCTTACTCTTGGGATCTCTCTGATTTCTCGCACCTCTCTGCTGCATCTCTCCTACCTGACTCTATCGCCTTATCTTTCTGACTTCAGCTGCAGAAAGCTATCTGCTTTAAGGGTTCGTGTGATTAGATTAGGCACACCCAAATAATCCAAGATAATTTCCCTATTTTAAAGTCCGTAACTTTATTTACATCTGCAAAGTCCTTCTTGCCAGCAAGGTGCAGTGGCTCAGGCCTGTAATCCCAGCACTTTGGGAAGCCAAAGTGGGAGGATTGCCTGAGCCCAGGAGTTTGAGACCAACCTGGGAAACATAGCGAGACTCCATCTGTACAAAAAAATAAAAAAAGTAGCCAGGGGTGGTGGCACGTGCCTGTAGTCCCAGCTACTTGAGAGGCTGAGATGGGAGGATCACCTGAGCCTAGAAGGTCGAGCCTGCAGTGAGCTGAGATTGCGCCACTGCCCTCCAGCTTGGGCAACATAATGAGACTCTGTCTCAAAAAATAAATAAGTAAAATAAATAAATTTTTTAAAAAGTCATTTTTGCCAATGTAACACAACAAATTCACAGGTTTCAGAGATTACAGCATGGATATCTTTGGGGAGCCATTCCACCCATAACTTAAAGTTATAGTAATTAAAAGAGTGTAGTTTTGACATCAAGGTAGACAAATAGACCAACGAAACAGAATACAGTCAAGAAATAAACCTACACAGATATAGATCACTGATATTTTACAAAGGCACAAAAGAAACACAGTAGAGAAAGGATAATCTCAACAAATAAATGGTAATAAAACAATTGGATATCCATATGTGAAAAAAAGAACAAAGAACCTCAAGCCATACTTTCTACCATGTGCATAATTACCTCAAATGGATCATAGACCTAAACATAAAACCTCAAACTATAAAACTTGTAGGACAAAACCTTTGTGATGTTGGATTAGGAAAAGTTTTCTTAGACATGACAGCAAAAGAACAAGTCGAAAAGAACAAATTAATAAATTTGACTTAATCAAAACTAAAACGTTTCTGCTTTTCAAAAGACACAGGAGAATAAACTGACAAGCCGCAGACAAGGAGAAAATATTTGCAAAGCATATATCTGATAAAGGACTTTTATCCAGAATTTATAAAGAACGCTTAAAACTGAAAGATGAGAAAACAAGCAACCAAAAAATATAGGCAAAGAATTTGAACAGACACTTCACCAAAGGAGACACTCAATTGGCAAAGAAGCACATAAAAAGATGCTCAACATTATTAGTCATCAGGGAAACGCAAAATAAAACCACAATGAGGTACCATTCTACAGGCGCACACCTATTAGAATGGCTAAAATTTTTTAAAAGCTGACCATACTATGTGCTGATGAGGATGTGAAGAAACTGGAACCCTTATACACCACTGGTAAGAATGTAAGATACAACCACTTTGGAAAATTATTTGGCAACTTCTTACAAAGTTAAACATATACATATAACCCAGCCATTCCACTCCTAGGTATTTACCCCAAAGAAATGATAGTATAAGTCCACACAAAGACTTGTACACAAATGTTCAGAGCAGCTTTATTTGTAATAGCCCACAGCTGGAAACAACCCAAATGTTCATCAATAGTTAAATAGATAAATTGTGTTATATCTACACAATAAAATACTACTCAGCAATGAAAATAAATGACCTATTGAAACACGCAACAATTTGGATGAATCTTACAGTAATATGAGTAAAAAAAGACAAAAAAGAATGCATACTATATGATTCCATTTATATAAATTATAGAAAATGCAAAATACCTATACTGACAGATAGCAGATCTCTGATTTTCTGAGGAGGTGGTGGCAGGGAGGACCCAGAAGGAGGGATGACAAAAGGGCATGAGGACACTTTCAGGGGTGATGAATATGTTCACTATATTGATTGTGGTGATGGTTTCATAATGTAAACATATGTCAAAACTTACCAAATTGTACAGTTTAAATGTGTGCCATGTATTGTATGTCAATAAATGTACCTCAATAAAGCTATAAAAAAATTGTAAAGGACACAATGTCCTTAGGGAAGTGTTACTCATGGAGGAGATGAAACTGAAACTTGATGGATGAGGAGCATTTGCACGGATACGGAGAATGGGTGTAGGGGATAAAGTGGTAAGAAGATATTGATAGGAAGAAACATAAAGACTTAGATGATGACAAATGCAAAAGGTGTTCAGGCCAGGCACCGTGGCTCACGCCAGTAATCCCAACATTTCGGGAGGCTGAGGTGGGTAGATCACCTGAGGTCAGGAGTTCAAGACCAGCCTGGCCAACATGGTGAAACCCCATCTCTACAAAAAAATACAAAAATTAGCCAGACGTGGTGACGTGTGCCTGTAATCCCAGCTACTCGGGAGGCTGAGGCACGAGAATTGCTTGAAGCAGGAGGTGGAGGTTGCAGTGAGCCGAGATTGGGCCACTGCACTCCAGCCTGGGTGACAGAGTGAGACTCCGTCTAGTTTAAAAAAAAAAAAGGGGGGGGTGTTTGGAGAATTAGACATAACATAAGTAAGGATTCACGAAGGGCTGTTCTATGGGCAAGACTATAGTATGACTTTTCAGAGGATAAAGGACGATAAAGGAGCTATACAAGAAATTTCTTCAGATTTCCAAAAAGATTACTTTCTGACTAAGGAGAAGTAGGGGTCCATCTGAGGGTCTACCTTAGCCACCATTTTTGCCTTGGAAAATAGAAGCTTTCTGATAAAAACAGTAAGTTGCAATCACTAGAAAGGAGGCTTAGCTTCAATGTGATTGCTAAATTTTAAGAAAAGGAGACAAGGAAACCATGGGCAGCAATTGTATTCAACTCTTCAAAGCTCCTGGAAGGCAGTAACCAGTTCCTGACAAAACGAAGATCCAATTCCAAGGACAAATGTAAAAGGTGAGGGGGAAGAGGCTGGTTGTTCAGCACCAGAGGGGGGATGCTCTGCCTTAGAGATGATAAGAAAATGTATCCAAAAACTTGGAAATAGAGCAAGTGGAGATCAGTGTGTCTTCTTTATTTATTTATTTAGAGATGGAGTCTCGTGCTGTTGTCCAGGCTGGAGGGCAATTGTATGATCATAGCTCACTATAACCTCAAACTCCTGGGCTCAAGCAACAGCATGTCTTTTTAATGTCATATTGGAGCATTGTTTAACAGGCTCGCCCAGGAACTACTGAATTCTGTAAGTAGAATGTGCCTTTCTTTGATACACTGTCTACTATTGATCAAAAGCCTAGACTCTGTGAAGTTTTCTATTAACTTGCAGATGTTTGTCCAGTAGAGAAACAAATGATTTTTGTTCTGTCAGAAAGATAACTCCAAAGGATATGGTTTCATTGCCCTGTGACACATTAATCTGTTTTGTACCTAACCTAACAGTATTAATCTAATATTCTTTTTTATAAAGGATTATATAAATCCAGGTCCTCAAATGCTCTCGGAACCAGCATTAGCATACTGCTGTTTCCTCAACGATAAGTTGAATAAAATATTTGACACTTTGAGGTAAACATAGAGATGCACCACCCAGACCACCTTTCAAGGAAAGACTCACTGTGCAGCTGCAGGGAGTGCAGTGGGCAGGCAGCCTCCAGTTGTCAGCTCCATCAGGGTTCGCTCCAGCTGCAAAAAGCTACCTCTCGAAGGTCATGCCCTTTCCCCAAAACAGGGGACACTCTACTGCGCTGTCCCTGCTCCAGAGCTCCCCACTGGGTTGGCCAAGGCTTTGTGTGGCCTGCATCCCACTCAGCTCTCCCTCTGCCTGATCCTGTTTATTCACCCCTTCCTTTCATATCAATTGATCCCCAATCTTGTACCCAAAACTCCATCTCAGCAACTGACTCAGGAAAACCCACCCTGTGATAGATAATACTGGGAGGAGTCTAAGAAAGTAAGAGATGGCCAGGCACAGTGGCTCACGCCTGTAATCTCAGCAGCTTGAGAGGCCAAGGTGGGTAGATCACGAGGTCAGGAGATCGAGACCATCCTGGCTAACATGGTGAAACCTCGTTTTACTAAAAATACAAAAAATTAACCAGGTGTGGTGGCATGCGCCTATAGTCCCAGCTACTTGGGAGGCTGAGGCAGGAGAATCGCTTGAACCTGGAAGGTGGAGGTAGCAGTGAGCCGAGATTGCACCACTGCACTCCAGCCTGGGTGACAGAGTGAGACTCCAAATGAGAGAGAGAGAGAGAAAGAGGAAGGAAGGAAGGAAGAGTAAGAGATAAGATGGGCATTTGGAGCTGGATCATTCACCATCAGCTGGCAATGAGGACCCCATCCTTGGTGGCAGATGGAGCACAGACAGCCCCTGGTACAAAATAGGGGTTTGGCTGTTAAAGCTTTCACTGTTTGTGAGTTGGGAGACTATACAGGTGGGAAAGAATGCATGATTGAACAAGATGTATCAGGCGTTAGAGATATATGGGGGAAACAGTAGATGAAAGGATCTAAGGATAAAAGCATTGGATGGCTATTACAAGTGCCACTGATGCTTTACAAAAAGATAATGTTATTCAGACAACTGGACTGTGACAAATGACTGAAAGCCAGATGTGAACACCAGAGGGCCTCCTTATTTGCATTCAGAATCCCAGCTCATGACCGGCAGCTCCAGGTGCATGATGTCTCAGTGCTCCATGGCCAAGCATTCCATCTCTACCACAGCCCAGTAACACATCAGGGCCATATATATATATATGAAACAATGTTCACCATTTTTATTTGTGAGATTCTGAGTCTCTTCTTTGTTACCAACTTAACCATTTCCAAGTCTATGGTCCAGTGGTGTTAACTCGATTCGCATTGCTGTGAAACAGATCTCCAGAACCTTTTCATCTTGCATAACTGAAATTCTTTTCTTTTCTTTTCTTTTTTCTTTTTTTTTGAGATGGGATCTCACTCTGTCGCCCAGGCTGGAGTGCAGTGGTATGATCTCGGCTCACTGCAACCTCCGCCTGCCTCCCAAACTTAAGTGATCCTCCTACCTCAGCCTCCCAAGTAGCTGGGACCACAGGACTGCGCCACCACACCCAGCTAATTTTTTGTATTTTTGATAGAGAAAAGGTTTTGACATATTGCCCAGATTGGTCTTGAACTCCCAGGCTCAAGCAATCCACTCGCTTCAGCCTCCCAAAGTATTGGGATTACAGGCGTGAGCCACTGCACCAGCTGCATAACTGAAATTCTACACTCATTAAACAACTCCCCATTCCCCACTCCCCTCAGCCCCTGGCATCCCCCATTTGGCTTTGTCGCTATGATTTTGACTACTCTAGGTACCTCACAATATGTGGAATTATATAGTATCTGTTCTTTTGTGACTGGCTTATTTCGCTTAGCATAATGTCCTCCACGTTCATCCATGTTGTAGCCTGTGTCAGGATTTGCCTGGGCCTTTTTTAAAAAAAACAATTCACACATTGTCTAGCTATGTTGCCCAGGCTAGAGTGCAGTGGAATGATCATGGCTCACTGCAACCTCGGCCTCCCAAAGTACTGGTATTACACGCATGAGCCACCATGCGCTGCCCAGGGCCAATTTTTTAAAAATGTATAATTCTCCACTGTACATGTCATAGGCCTGCTCCAGAACCTCAGAAGTCTAAGCTTGGATATGCCCACTGGGGCTTACTACAAATTCTATACCATCTTTTCCCACCACTGATACTTCCAACACTCTAGTGGTTGCCAGGTCACATGGCCCAAGCAGCAGAGCTGTTTGAACTGCATCCTGAACCTGCTATGAGGCCCTTTCCTGCTCTGGGTTCCATTCAAAACTGGTAGCCTTCTATATCATGTGGTATCAGCAATATTCCCAGGTGTCAAATATGCTGCCTGCAGAATCTGATGAAGCCCACCAGGCATTGTCCCTCCTTCATGGTGGGAGATGCAAGATGCAATCATCTGTCCTTTACTTTGTGGATTTTTTTGTTTTTTTTGGTTCTCATTTTGAGACAGAGTCTCACTCTGTTGCCCAGGCTGGAGTGCAGTGGTGCAATCTCAGCTCACTGCAACCTCTGCTTCCTGAATTCAAGCGATTCTCCTCCCTCAGCCTCCCAAGTAGCTGGGATTACAGGTCTGCACCACCACGCTCGGCTACGGGATTTCACCATGTTGGCCAGTCTGGTCTTGATCTCCTGACCTCAAGCGATCTGTCTCCTTTGGCCTTCCAAACTGCTGGGATTACAGGCATGAGTTACCGTGCCTGGCTTGTCCTTTACTTTGGAGGGAACGTTCTAGGACTGAACTCCAGACCACTGAACTCCTAACATTTGTAGGCACGTGGCAGTTTCCTGAATTTTCAGTGTTCATCTCCTACCCTCTGGAGCCCATGTCTCTTACCAAGTCCTTCATTGTGCTGGCCCCCTCTTACATAATGTAATCGATATCATGACTTGATGTGATGTTCTGTGGGGTATCCAGACTGTCCAGATTCCCTTTTACTAATTATGACAGAAGGCAGGAGAGTTAAAATACCTTTGGGACAAAACTATAAATGAATATTGTCTCCCATTTTGTGTGATTGTAAACTGTTTTTGATCTTATTTTCTGATAGGGATAGAAAAGCATGCATTCGACAAATTGAGGGCCACATACCATCGACCTGAGGCCAGGTTAAGCTTCTCTAGAAATGATACAACATCTGGCTGCCACTGGGGCTGCTGTTATTTGGTTGAACTGTGGCAGTCCTCTGTCAACCTTCAGGATCCAGCCAGTTTCTGAAGGAGCCAGACTGACAAATTAGATGGAGACACGATGAGACTCACCATCCCTGCATCTTCTAGATTCTTAAAGGTGGTGCTAATCTCAGCCATAACCCCAGGATCCAAAATTGCTTTTGATCCTCTGCTGAGTGGTGGGTAGTGTTATGGGTTGAATAGTGTTCCTCCACCCCACTGCAATTCAGATGTTGGAGTCCTAACCCCCACTACTTCAGAAAGTAATCTTATATGGAAATAAAGGCATTACAGATGTAAATTAGTTAAGTTAGGATGAGATCATACTAAAGCAGGTGGGCCCCTAATCCAATATGACTGATGTTCTTAAAGGGAAATTTGGGCACAGACACACAGACACATAGACACACACACACACACACACACACACACACACACGCCACGTGAAGATGAAGGCAGAAATTGGAGTGATGCTTTTACAAGCCAAGGAAAGCCAAAGATTGGCAGCAAACCGCCAGAAGCTAGGGAAGAGGCAAGGAACAGATTCTCCCTCATAGCCCTCAGAAGGAATCAACCCTGACAACACCTTGATTTTGGACTTCTGGCCTCCAGAACTGTAAGATGATGAACTTCTGTTATTTAAGCCACCCAGTTTGTAATACTTTGTTATGGCAGCCCCAGAAAACCAACACAGGCAGTTCCAGAGGTTTCCACTTAGCCTTCCCCACATCCAGCTCTTACCCCACAGGCCAAGAAACAAATGTAGGAGTTACGCTAACTACCAATTATGTCAATCCCAATTATACATTCAAAGACCAGTAAAATGACAACCAGCTGGGGCCTTGGCCCCATTGCCCCAGTGTAAGCACCATAAAGTCCCACTATAAGGTGGACTTGGGCCAGGACTCTACTTATTATCTGGCTTTTGTACACGCCACTCTAACAGAGGGGCCACAATGACACTTTGCGTCTCTAGATATCAGTGTCAACTCAGACCCTGTGTCCAACAGTCCTTGAAAAGTCTGGATATTTTTCTTTTCCTAGTGCAGTTGTCTAAGACCAGCTCCAATGGCAAGGGTTATGATTCATCCCACTAGTTGCCCTCATTAAGTTAACCTGAAAGAACAGCAGCCCACCAGAATTTTAGAGGAATAGACCATGCAAACATAAACCCGTACCACCCAGGGCCCCTTCAAGTTCTTTCAGGGACTGCCTCAGCTTCAGAGAGCTGCCTGGGCTGAGGTCACATACTTCCTAGGATGGCCCACAAGCAGTGACTCAGTGAGGCCACGGGGGAATACAGGGCCGGCCATCTTGGCCCAACACAAGACACTCAGGTGAACAGTACTCACTGCAATGGACTGAATGTTTGTTCCCCTACACTCCCCACTCCACCGAAATTCACTTGTGGAAACCCTAATCCCAATGTGATAGTGTTAGGAGGTGTGGCCTCTGAGAGGTCATGAGGTCATGAGGACTCTGCTAATAGGATTAGTGCCTGCCAATAGGATTAGAGCCAGAGAACTAGCTAGCTCTCTTTCCACCATGCAGGGACACAACATGAAGTAGGCATGTCTGCAACCGGAAGAGGGCCCTCACCAGAACCCAGCCATACTACCACCCTGATTTTGGACTTCCAGCCTCCAGAACAGGGAGAAATAAATACTTTGTGTTTGAGCCTCCCAGTCTATAGTTAATGTGTTCCAGTAGCCCAAGCTAAGACACTTACTCCAGAACTCCTGTCCAGATTAGCTGGCCAGGGCTTTGTTGGGCTCTCCATTGTAGTTCCGTTTGTTCCTCTGCCCAGTTATACTTCTGTCCCCTCCCTTTTACAGGGCTGATGCTTACTAAAGGTCTTGTCAGGCTCAGTGGCTCACACTTGTAATCCCAGAGCTTTGGGAGGCCAAGGTGGAAGGATCGCCTGAGGCCAGGAGTTCAAGACCAGCTTGGGCAACATAGAGAGACACCCATCTCTGCAAAAAAAAAAAAAAAAATTAATTAGCCATCATGTCATTGCACTCCTGCCTGGATAACAGAGCAAGGCCCTGTCTCAAAAAAGAAAAAAAAAAATTAGCCAGCTGTGGTGGTGCACACCTATAGTCCCAGCTACTTGGGGGCTGAAGCAGGGGGACCACTTGAGCCCAGGAGTTGGAGGCTGCAGTAAGCCAAGATTGTGCCACTGCACTTTGACCTGGGCAACATAGCGAGACCCTGTCTCTAAATAAATAAGCAAAGTCTTGCCAACAAACCTCATCTCAGCAACAGTTGCCAGAGAATGCACCTTGTGATATATGTTCACTCCATATTTGTATCAGGGCCACGCTTGTGACATTTTGAAAAGTGTACTTCAACAGATATCACAGGCAGCATAGAAATGTTGCAAGGGCCCGCTGTAGCCACCTCTGAGCCCGCCGCCACCGTCTCTGAGCAGAAGATGGCTGTGCCACCCACGTATGCCGATCTTGGCAAATCTGCCAGGGATGTCTTCACCAAGGACTATGGATTTGGCTTAATAAAGCTTGATTTGAAAACAAAATCTGAGAATGGATTGGAATTTACAAGCTCAGGCTCAGCCAACACTGAGACCACCAAAGTGACAGGCAGTCTGGAAACCAAGTACAGATGGACTGAGTATGGCCTGACGTTTACGGAGAAATGGAACACCGACAATACACTAGGCACCGAGATTACAGTGGAAGATCAGCTTGCATGTGGACTGAAGCTGACCTTCGATTCATCCTTCTCACCTAACACTGGGGGGGAAAAATGCTAAAATCAAGACAGGGTACAAGCAGGAGCACATTAACTTGGACTGCGACATAGATTTTGACATTGCTGGGCCTTCCATCCGGGGTGCTCTGGTGCTGGGTTACAAGGGCTGGCTGGCCGGCTACCAGATGAATTTTGAGACTGCAAAGTCCAGAGTGACCCAGAGCAACTTTGCAGTTGGCTACGAGACTGATGAATTCTGGCTTCACACTAATGTGAATGACGGGACAGAGTTTGGCAGCCTCATTTACCAGAAAGTGAACAAGAAGTTGGAGACCGCTGTCAATCTTGCCTGGACAGCAGGAAACAGTAACACGCGCTTTGGAATAGCAGCCAAGTATCAGATTGACCCTGACGCCTGCTTCTCAGCTAAAGTGAACAACTCCAGCCTGATAGGTTTAGGATACACTCAGACTCTAAAGCCAGGTATCAAACTGACACTGTCAGCTCTTCTGGATGGGAAGAACGTCAATGCTGGTGGCCACAAGCTTGGTCTAGGACTGGAATTTCAAGCATAAATGAATACTGTACAATTGTTTAATTTTAAACTATTTTGCAGCATAGCTACTTTCAGAATTTAGTGTATCTTTTAATGTTGTATGTCTTGGATGCAAGTATTGCTAAATATGTTAGCCCTCCAGGTTAAAGTTGATTCAGCTTTAAGATGTTACCCTTCCGGAGGTACAGAAGAAACCCATTTCCAAAAAAAGTCCTTTCAGTGGTAGACTCGGGGGGAACTTGGTGGCCACTTTGAGATGCCAGGTTTCTTTTTTATCTAGAAATGGCTGCAAGTGGAAGCTGATAATATGTAGGCACTTTGTAAATTCATATTGAGTAAATGAATGAAATTTTGATTTCCTGAGAATTGAACCTTGGTTTCCTAACCCTAATTGAGGAGAGGCTCGCTTCTTGATGTTGTGTACAAACTCACCTGAATGGGACTTTTTTAGACAGATCTCCATGACCTGTTCCCACCCCAGTTCATCATCACCTCTTTTACACCAAAAGGTCTGCAGGGTGGGGTCACTGTTTCTTTTGTGCCATTTTGGGGTGGAGAAGGTGGATGTGATGAAGCCAATAATTCAGGACTTATTCCTTCTTGTGTTGTGTTTGTTTTTTTTTTTTGCCCTTGCACCAGAGTATGAAATAGATTCCAGGAGCTCCATCTATAAGCATGGAAGTGTCTGTGTGATTGTAATCATATGGTTACAACACTCAGAATCTAAATTGGACTTCTGTTGTGTTCTCACCACTCGATTTGTTTTTTAGCAGTTTAATGGGTACATTTTAGAGTCTTCCATTTTGTGTGGAATTAGATCCTCCCCTTCAAATGCTGTAATTAACATCACTTAAAAAAAACTTGAATAAAATATTGAAACCTCAAAAAAAAATGTTACAAGGGCAAGCGCCTGGATAGGACAGAGAATCAGTTATTTATTAAGAGCTGTGTGACATGGACACAGGGAGGGGAACATCACACACCGGAGCCTGTCAGAGGGTGGGGGGCAAGGGGAGGGAGAGCATTAGGACAAATACCTAATGCATGCGGGGCTTAAAACCTAGATGACAGGTTGATAGGTGCAGCAAACCATCATGGCACATGTATACCTATGTAACAAACCTGCAAGTTCTGCACATGTATCCCAGAACTTAAAGTAATTAAAAAAAAAAGACCTGTGTGAGGTTAATTGATATCTTTACTATTATCTCAACAAAACTGCTATGTTCTGGGTACCCTGCCTTGGGAACACGTTGAGACTCTCTAACAGAGAAAGGGCAGTGCATACTCTAAAAGATGTAAAGGAAAGGGAACGTTCTCAGTAACACTGTAAACAGGGTGAGTTTCTTCAGGGTTTTCCCTTTTTCCTTTTGGCATCCCCTTTGCACTCTCTTCCTTCTCCTCTATTATCCATGCCAACTGCACTGTGCCCTGGGTCTCCAGAAAATCTCCGGGACCTTTTCCTCCATCCCCTTCCCCTGTCCACCAAAAGGGACCTATGCTTCATTACCCCTCTGGTAATGTCTCATTCCCTTAGACACTTGCTAAGTGACTCATTCATCTGGTCAATCAGGCTATTAATAGCTGCTAATAGCACTGTGAACAGTCCCATTTCTATGCTTTTTCCAGGAGAGGAGTATAATGTGGGGTTTTAGAGCCGTAGTAGGGCCAATAGGACAGACAGCTGCAAGTAGAAGCAGCCACAAATCATGACTTCTCAACAACCACTTTGATATGAAAAGACAGAGTTCAGAGTAGGATCCTAGGAAAGGGATAGTGACAAGTATGGCCTTCAGCAGCCAGAAACAAGTGGCCCGGACTACTCCAGGGACTGGAGAAGTGAAGGGACCAGGGAGAAGAGTGAGACTGCTCCAGCCACCTTCTTGTGAGTTCTGACTTGTATTCAGAGGCAATTCCCAACAAAAAACTGATTTAAAAACAGTCCGAGTTGTTTGCTAACAGTTTGCTGCCCTTGTCCTGGAGAAATCTGGCTTCAGGTAAATGTCAAAATCCTGATTAAAAGAAACAGGAAGCATTCAGAACTCTTGACAAAAAGAAAATAAAATTGAATAATGAAGGCTGTGCACATGGAGCCCTTCCTCTGTGATAAGACTGACACAGCCAGGAAACTGTATTCAAAGTTGTCTGGAAGAATACTTTTCCCTGTGGGTTATGGTTTTGATTAAGAGTTAGGTTCATTTGCGTATGCTTGTATTTACTTTTGGGGGTTGCTTTTTTCCTCCCATTTACATTTACTTTTTTTTTTTCACTAGGTGGCTTTTTCTCATTTTCCTATACATCACAAGAGGAAATGCTGGAAACATACACTGCGAACAGAAGAATTTTTAATTGCCTTTAGATAAAGATTTATGTTGTGCAGATTGCTGAGCCAGGCAAGGTGGCTCACGCCTGTAATCCCAGCACTTTGGGAGGCCGAGGTGGGTGGATCACCTGAGGTCAGGAGTTCAAGACCAGCCTGGCCAACATGAAGAAACTCCGTCTCTACTAAAAATACAAAAATTAGCCTGGTGTGGTGGTGCATGCCTGTAATCCCAGCTACTCGGGAGGCTGAGGCAGGAGAATCGCTTGAACCTGGGAGGCAGAGGTTACAGTGAGTGGAGATTGTGCCACTGCACTCCAGCCTGGGCAACAGAGCAAGACTGCATCTCAAAAAAAAAATACTAGATTGCTGTACCATCTCAAGATATTAAACCTGGCTCCAGGTCCTTAATGTACTTCTGGAATTAACAGCAGAAAGAAAACCCAAGAAGAACAAAGCTGGAGGCATCACGCTACCTGACTTCAAACTATACTACAAGGCTACAGTAACCAAAACAGTATGGTACTGGTACCAAAACAGATATATAGACCAATGGAACAGAACGGAGGCCTCAGAAATAACACCACACAGCTACAACCATCTGATCTTTGACAAACCTGACACACACAAGCAATGGGGAAAATATTCCCTATTTAATAAATGGTGTTCAGAAAACTGGCTAGCCATTTGCAGAAAACTGAAACTGGACTCTTTCCTTACACCTTTTACAAAACTGAGCTCAAGATGGATCAAAAACTTAAACATAAGACCTAGGACCATAAAAGTCCTAGAAGAAAACCTGGGCAATACCATTTAGGACATAGGCATGGGCAAAGACTTCATGTCTAAAACACCAAAAGCAATTGCAACAAAAGCCAAAATTGACAAATGGGATCTAAGTAAACTAAAGAGCTTCTGCACAGCAAAAGAAACTATCATCAGAGTGAACAGGCGACCTCCAGAATGGGAGAAAATTTTTGCAATCTATCCATCTGACAAAGGGCTAATATCCAGAATCTACAAAGAACTTAAACAAATTTACAAGAAAAAAACAAACAACCCCATCAAAAAATGGGCAAAGGATATGAGCAGACACTTCTCAAAAGAAGACATTTATGCAGCTAGCAGACATATGAAAAAATGCTCATCATCACTGGTCATTAGAGAAATGCAAATCAAAACCACAATGAGATCTCACGCCAGTTAGAATGGCTATCATTGAAAAGTCAGGAAACAACAGATGCTGGAGAGGTTGTGGAAAAATAGGAATGCTTTTACACTGTTGGTGGGAGTGTAAATTAGTTCAACCATTGTGGAAGATAGTGTGGCAATTCCTCAAGGATCTAGAACTGGAAATACCATTTGACCCAGCAATCCCATTACTGGGCATATACCCAAAGGATTATAAATCATTCTACAATAAAGACACATGCACATGTATGTTTATTGCGGCACTATTCACAATAGCAAAGACTTGGAACCAACCCAAATGTCCATCAATGATAGACTGGATTAAGAAAATGTGGCACATATACACCATGGAATACTATGCAGCCATAAAAAAGGATGAGTTCATGTGCTTTGTAGGGACATGGATGAAGCTGGAAACCATCATTCTCAGCAAACTATCACAAGATCAGAAAACCAAACACCGCATGTTGTCACTCATAAGTGGGAGTTGAACAATGACAACACATGGACACAGAGAAGGGAACATCTCACACTGGGGCCTGTTGGGGGGTAGGGGGCTAGGGGAGGGATAACATTAGGAGAAATACCTAATGTAGGTGACAGGTTGATGGGTGCAGCAAACCACCAGGGCACATGTATACCTATGTAACAAAACTGCACGTTCTGCACATGTAACCCAGAACTTAAAGCATAATTTAAAAAATAAATAAATAAATAACATCACAAAGCCACTTTTGATTGAAAAATCAAAATCAAAAAAAGAAAAAAGAAAACCCACATGGAAAAATATTTCATCACAGAAGTACCAGCTGCTGGAGACTGGGCTCGTCTAAGGGACCCCTGCTCTGTGGTCCTGGGGTGAGGGGCCCTCCACCAGGGCAGGAATTCTGCTTAATAAAATTTTTTCTTTGAAGTTTCCCTAAATCCCAAATCCGACGATGCAATTTTAGCAATGGAACAAATGAATTAATAAATGAATACACTGCAAGAATGACTGACTGGAGGCAGGGTGCCTGCTGGGCTTGTGACTTGAGTTTAGGGATGAATGGGCACCACAAGACTGCAGGAGCATACATGAAGTCAACCCCCATCACCCGTGCACTAAGAGGCAGAACGCTGTTACAAGCCAGTGATCTCCGTGAATTCTACTACAGGATTTACTATCTTTGGCCCCTTTGACAAATGTCAGTCTCGAGGCACCGAGACAGGATTCGAATCTCTCTTCTCATCCCAAAATTCCCAGGAACCGCAGCCCGGAACTCTGGCCAAGCAACCATTGCGCCTGCGCCGAACCAGCGGCCAATTGGAGGTCGGCGCGCGACCGAGTTGAGGTGCGGGAGTTTGCCCCTTTTGCGCGCAGAAAAAGCTTAGGAGAAATGAAAGCTCGCGTTGACCAGTCAGATCCGAGAACGAGCCTTGCAGCCCGCTCCCTTCTGCTTGGATCCAATCACGTGCCCCTGCAAGCGCAAGCCACAGTTTCAAAGTCAAAAAGCCAAAGAAGGCGGTGCCCAAGGAGCTGGGACTGGACCCGAGGAGAGGTGGAGGCCTGTCATGCTAGCTGGTGCCTGCCTGGGATGGGAAACGAGAGGGTGGGTGTGAGCTACGGACAGTCAAGGTAGCGTGATTCCTGCCTTCTTCAGAGTCTTGGGCTGCAACCACTTGCATGGGGTGGAAGCGGCCCTTCGAGTCCCCCCAACACACACAATGGTTTGATCCAAGCCCCCTACCCAGTGGTGCCTCCCAGAGCTGACTGTTCTGTCTCTGCCTACCGCAGTGGTATCGCCTGGCAGGATGTTTCCATCCTTGATTTGTTGTCCCCTCCTTCCGTAGGCCCCCTAGTGGTGCGATCAAGGAAGCTTCTGTGCAAATGCCTTGCAAACCGTTCCTTCTCCACCTCCCTACTCCCCAGTGGACCATTCCATCCCCACCTCCCGTTATTTCATACTCATGACCCCAGAGGGATCGCCCGTCCCAGGTCCTGACCCTGAAGATCATGCAGAGAGCAAAGGCCAAGGCGTTTATTCACCTGCCTCAAAGCCCCCACCCCAGGAGTGAGCTGAGGATGCCGGTAATTGGACAGCAATATGGCAGCATCTACCAAAATAAAAACTGGAAACATCCTTCACAAGAATTTCCGCTCCATCAAGGCAGGCACATATGGCCTTCTAATTCCCCGATGTATTCCCAGCACCTAGAACAGCACCCACCACAGAGTAGGCAGTCATTAGGTGTTTGTTGAATGAATGGCTCCTTTGACGAAACCATTCCACTTGTAAGAATGTGACGTTAAAAGAAAAAACACTCACCGGGCACGGTGGCTCACTGTAATCCCAACACCTTGGGAGGCCGAGGCGGGAGGATCACCTGAGTCAGGAGTTTGAGACCAGCCTGACCAACATGGAGAAATACCGGCTCTACTAAAAATACAAAATTAGCCGGGCGTGGTGGTGCATGCCTGTAGTCCCAGCTACTGGGGAGGCTGAGGCAGGAGAATTGCTTGAACCTGGGAGGCAGAGGTTGCAGTGAGCCAAGATTCCCATTGCACTCCAGCCTGGGCAACAGGAATGAAACTTCGTCTCAAAAACAACAAAAAAAAAAAAAGAAAGAAAGAAAAAACACTCGCACGTGCGCACAGAGCAATGTGGACAACAATGTCCGCAGCAAACTACTGGCCTGGGGTGGGGGAGACTCTAAATGACCACTTATAGCCAATGACTTGCAGAGTAAAATTAACCATGGGGTTCATGTTATACCACAGAGACCCCCCTCACTAGACATGATGCAGAATGGATAGGACCTGAGGGGGGTGGAGCCAAGATGGCTGAATAAGAACAGCTCCAGTCTACAGCTCCCAGTGTGAGTGACACAGAAGACAGGTGATTTCTGCATTTCCAACTGAGGTACCGGGTTCATCTCACTGGGGAGTGCCAGACAGTGGGTGCAGGACAGTGGGTGCAGCACACCGTGCATGAGCCGAAGTAGGGCAAGGCATCACCGCATCAGGGAAGTGCAAGGGGTCAGGGAATTCCCTTTCCTAGTCAAAGAAAGGGGTGACAGACAGCACCTAGAAAATCGGAACACTCCCACCCTAATAATACTGTGCTTTTCCAATGGGCTTAACAAACGGCACACCAGGAGATTATATCCCGCGCATGGCTCGGAGGGTGCTATGCCCACGGAGCCTCGCTCATTGCTAGCACAGCAGTCTGAGATCAAACTGCAAGGCGGCAGTGAGGCTGGGGGAGGGGCGCCCGCCATTGCCAAGGCTTGAGTAGGTAAACAAAGTGGCCGGGAAGCTCGAACTGGGTGGAGCCCACCGCAGCTCAAGGAGGCCTGCCTGCCTCTGTAGACTCCACCTCTGGGGGCAGGGCACAGAAAAACAAAAGGCAGCAGTAACCTCTGCAGACTTAAATGTCCCTGTCTGGCAGCTTTGAAGAGAGTAGTAGTTCTCCCAGCACGCAGCTTGAGATGTGGGAACAGGCAGACTGCCTCCTCAAGTGGGTCCCTGACCCCGGAGTAGCCTAACTGGGAGGCACCCCCCAGTAGGGGCAGACTGACACCTCACACAGCCGGGTACTCCTCTGAGACAAAACTTCCAGAGGAACAATCAGGCAGCAGCATTTGCGGTTCACCAATATCCGCTGTCCTGCAGCCACCGCTGCTGATACCCAGGCAAACAGGGTCTGGAGTGGACCTCCAGCAAACTCCAACAGACCTGCAGCTGAGGGTCCTGACTGTTAGAAGGAAAACTAACAAACAGAAAGGACATCCACACCAAAAACCCATCTGTACGTCACCATCATCAAAGACCAAAGGTAGATAAAACTACAAAGATAGGGAAAAAACAGAGCAGAAAAACCAGAAACTCTAAAAAGCAGAGTGCCTCTCCTCCTCCAAAGGAATGCAGCTCCTCACCAGCAATGGAACAAAGCTGGATGGAGAATGACTTTGACGAGTTGAGAGAAGAAGGCTCCAGAAGATCAAACTACTCCAAGCTAAAGGAGGAAGTTCAAACCAATGGTAAAGAAGTTAAAAACCTTGAAAAAAATTAGACGAATGTCTAACTAGAATAACCAATGCAGAGCACTCCTTAAAGGAATTGATGGAGCTGAAAACCACGGCCCAAGAACTACGTGATGAATGCAGAAGCCTCAGTAGCCAATGCGATCAACTGGAAGAAAGGGTATCAGCGATGGAAGACGAAATGAATGAAATGAAGCGAGAAGAGAAGTTTAGAGAAAAAAGAATAAAAAGAAACGAACAAAGCCTCCAAGAAATATGGGACTATGTGAAAAGACCAAATCTATGTCTGATTGGTGTACCTGAAAGTGACGGGGAGAATGGAACCAAGTTGGAAAACACTCTGCAGGATATTATCCAGGAGAACTTCCCCAATCTAGCAAGGCAGACCAACATTCAAATTCAGGAAATACAGAGAACGCCACAAAGATACTCCTCGAGAAGTGCAACTCCAAAACACATAATCGTCAGATTCACCAAAGTTGAAATGAAGGAAAAAATGTTAAGGGCAACCAAAGAGAAAGGTCGGGTTACCCACAAACGGAAGCCCATCAGACGAACAGCGGATCTCTCGGCAGAAACTCTACAAGCCAGAAGAGAGTGGGGGCCAATATTCAACATTCTTAAAGAAAAGAATTTTCAACCCAGAATTTCATATCCAGCCAAACTAAGCTTCATAAGTGAAGGAGAAATAAAATCCTTTACAGACAAGCAAATGCTGAGAGATTTTGTCACCACCAGGCCTGCCCTAAAAGAGCTCCTGAAGGAAGCTGGAAAGGAACAACCAGTACCAGCCACTGCAAAAACATGCCAAATTGTAAAGACCATCAAGACTAGGAAGAAACCACATCAACTAATGAGCAAAATAACCAACTAACATCATAATGACAGGATCAAATTCACACATAACAATATTAACCTTAAATGTAAATGGGCTAAATGTTCCAATTAAAAGACACAGACTGGCAAATTGGATAAAGAGTCAAGACCCATCAGAGTGCTGTATTCAGGAAACCCATCTCACGTGCAGAGACACACATAGGCTCAAAATAAAGGGATGGAGGAAGATCTACCAAGCAAATGGAAAACAAAAAAAGGCAGGGGTTGCAATCCTAGTCTTGGATAAAACAGACTTTAAACCCACAAAGATCAAAAGAGACAAAGAAGGCCATTACATAATGGTAAAGGGATCAATTCAACAAGAAGAGCTAACTATCCTAAATATATATGCACCCAATACAGGAGTACCCAGATTCATAAAGCAAGTCCCTAGTGACCTACAAAGAGACTTAGACCCCCACACAATAATACTGGGAGACTTTAACACCCCACTGTCAACACTAGACAGATCAATGAGACAGAAAGTTAACAAGGATATCCAGGAATTGAACTCAGCTCTGCACCAATCGGACCTAATAGACATGTACACAACTCTCCACCCCAAATCAACAGAATATACATTCTTTTCAGCACCACACGACACCTATTCCAAAATTGACCACATAGTTGGAAGTAAAGCACTCCTCAGCAAATGTAAAAGAACAGAAATTATGACAAACAGTCTCTCAGATCACAATGCAATCAAACAAGAACTCAGGTTTAAGAAACTCACTCAAAACCACTCAACTACATGGAAACTGAACAACCTGCTCCTGAATGACTACTGGGTACATAACGAAATGAAGACAGAAATAAAGATGTTCTTTGAAACCAACGAGAACAAAGACACAACATACCAGAATCTCTGGGACACATTCAAAGCAGTGTGTAGAGGGAAATTTATAGCACTAAATGCCCACAAGAGAAAGCAGAAAAGATCTAAAATTGACACCCTAACATCACAATTAAAAGAACTAGAGAAGCAAGAGCAAACACATTCAAAAGCTAGCAGAAGGCAAGAAATAACTAAGATCAGAGCAGAACTGAAGGAAATAGAGACACAAAAAATCCTTCAAAAAATCAATGAATCCAGGAGCTGGTTTTTTGAAAAGATCAACAAAATTCATAGACCGCTAGCAAGACTAATAAAGAAGAAAAGAGAGAAGAATCAAATAGACGCAATAAAAAATGACAAAGGGGATATCACCACCAATTCCACAGAAATACAAACTACCATCAGAGAATACTACAAACACCTCTACGCAAATAGACTAGAAAATCTAGAAGAAATGGATAAATTCCTCGACACACACACCCTCCCAAGACTAAACCAGGAAGAAGTTGAATCTCTGAATAGACCAATAACAGGCTCTGAAATTGAGGCAATAATTAAGAGCTTACCAACCAAAAAAAGTCCAGGACCAGATGGATTCACAGCCGAATTCTACCAGAGGTACAAGCAGGAGCTGGTACCATTCCTTCTGAAACTATTCCAATCAATAGAAAAAGAGGGAATCCTCCCTAACTCATTTTATGAGGCCAGCATCACCCTGATACCAAAGCCTGGCAGAGACACAACAAAAAAAGAGAATTTTAGACCAATATCCCTGATGAACATTGACACAAAAATCGTCAATAAAATACTGGCAAACCGAATCCAGCAACACATCAAAAAGCTTATCCACCATGATCAAGTCGGCTTCATCCCTGGGATGCAAGGCTGGTTCAACATATGAAAATCAATCAATGTAATCCAGCATATAAACAGAACCAAAGACAAAAACCACATGATTATCTCAATAGATGCAGAAAAGGCCTTTGACAAAATTCAATAGCCCTTCATGCTAAAAACTCTCAATAAATTAGGTATTGATGGGACGTATCTCAAAATAATAAGAGCTATCTATGACAAACCCACAGCCAATATCATACTGAATGGACAAAAACTGGAAGCATTCCCTTTGAAAACTGGCACAAGACAGGGATGCCCTCTCTCACCACTCCTATCCAACATAGTGTTGGAAGTTCTGGCCAGGGCAATCAGGCAGGAGAAGGAAATAAAGGGCATTTGATTAGGAAAAGAGGAAGTCAAATTGACCCTGTTTGCAGATGACATGATTGTATATCTAGAAAACCCCATCGTCTCAGCCCAAAATCTCCTTAAGCTGATAAGCAACTTCAGCAAAGTCTCAGGATACAAAATCAATGTGCAAAAATCACAAATATTCTTATACACCAATAACAGACAAACAGAGAGCCAAATCATGAGTGAACTCCCATTCACAATTGCTTCAAAGAGAATAAAATACCTAGGAATCCAACTTACAAGGGATGTGAAGGACCTCTTCAAGGAGAACTACAAACCACTGCTCAATGAAATAAAAGAGGATACAAACAAATGGAAGTACATTCCATGTTCATGGGTAGGAAGAATCAATATCGTGAAAATGGCCATACTGCCCAAGGTAATTTGTAGATTCAATGCCATCCCCATCAAGCTACCAATGACTTTCTTCACAGAATTGGAAAAAATACTTTAAAGTTCATATGGAACCAAAAAAGAGCCCTCATGGCCAAGTCAATCCTAAGCCTAAAGAACAAAGCTGGAGGCATCATGCTACCTGACTTCAAACTATACTACAAGGCTACAGTAACCAAAACAGCATGGTACTGGTACCAAAACAAAGATATAGACCAATGGAACAGAACAGAGCCCTCAGAAATAATGCCACATATCTACAACTATCTGGTCTTTGACAACCCTGACAAAAACAAGCAATAGGGAAATGATTCCCTATTTAATAAATGGTGCTGGGAAAACTGGCTAGCCATATGTAGAAAGCTGAAACTGGATCCCTTCCTTACACCTTATACAAAAATTAATTCAAGATGGATTAAAGACTTACATGTTAGACCTAAAACCATAAAAACCCTAGAAGAAAACCTAGGCAATACCATTCAGGACATAGGCATGGGCAAGGACTTCATGTCTAAAACACCAAAAGCAATGGCAACAAAAGCCAAAATTGACAAATGGGATCTAATTAAACTAAAGAGCTTCTGCACAGCAAAAGAAACCACCATCAGAGTGAACCGGCAACCTACAGAATGGGAGAAAATTTTTGCAATCTACTCATCTGACAAAGGGCTAATATCCAGAATCTACAATGAACTCAAACAAATTTACAAGGAAAAACAAACAACCCCATCAAAAAGTGGGTGAAGGATATGAACAGACACTTCTCAAAAGAAGACATTTATGCAGCCAAAAAACGCATGAAAAAATGCTCATTATCACTGGCCATCAGAGAAATGCAAATCAAAACCACAATGAGATACCATCTCACACCAGTTAGAATGGCGGTCATTAAAAAGCCAGGAAACAACAGGTGCTGGAGAGGATGTGGAGAAATAGGAACACTTTTACACTGTTGGTGGGACTGGAAACTAGTTCAACCATTGTGGAAGTCGGTGTGGCGATTCCTCAGGGGTCTAGAACTAGAAATACTATTTGACCCAGTCATCCCATTACTGGGTATATACCCAAAGGACTATAAATCATGCTGCTATAAAGACACATGCACATGTATGTTTATTGCGGCATTATTAACGATAGCAAAGACTTGGAACCAACCCAAATGTCCAACAATGATAGACTGGATCAAGAAAATGTGGCACATATACACCATGGAATACTATGCAGCCATAAAAAAGGATAAGTTCATGTCCTTTGTAGGGACATGGATGAAGCTGGAAACCATCATTCTCAGCAAACTATCGCAAGGACAAAAAACCAAATACCGCATGTTCTCACTCATAGGTGGGAATTGAACAATGAGAACACATGGACACAGGAAGGGGAACATCACACACTGGGGACTGTTGTGGGGTGGAGGGAGCGGGGAGGTATAGCATTAGGAGATATACCTAATGCTAAATGGCAAGTTACTGGGTGCAGCACACCAACATGGCACATGTATACCTATGTAACAAACCTGCACGTTGTGCACATGTACCATAAATCTTAAAGTATAATAATAATAAAATTTAAAAAAAAGAATAGATAGGACCTGTGTGTGCCTGCGGGGGACAGGGGGCAGGGAGAATGCCTTTTACAGGACAACACTGTAAGCAGGGAAAAGTGGATGGGTGTGTGTGTGCGTGTGTGTGTGTGTGTGTGTGTGTGTGTGTGTCCAATCCCAACAGCCTAGTGCCTCATCCCAACAGAGGGAGGGGAAGACAGAGCTTTGTTAACCTGAGGTCTGGCCCCACACCACTCCATAGGCTGTCTCAGATGGGTGGGCTTGGGGAGGGCTGACTCAGGAGCTTGGGAGATGGTAAGCCATCTCTTTTTGCTTCATTTGGTCAGTCTTCATTCACTCACTGACAAATACCATTGGCTGACCTTAACCTTTATGACTTGAATGAAGATACAATGAGACTCATTCAGACTGACAATGAGAGGACAAGAATCCCCAGATCCTAACAGTGGGGAGGAGACAGACCTCCTCCAGGGAGCCCGGTGTAAAGTCCTGAAGCCCAACTGGACTTCAGGCAAGGAAAGGGGGCTCCATATCAGTTCGGAAAGCGCCAACCAGTTCAGTTGGGAGTCACAGGGAAATCTCGGAGCCTGGAGCTGCAATAACAAAAGTGGCATCCAGAATGGAGGAGGGGGACAGGGCTCCTGCTAAGGGATGGAGACTTAACACTATGACTACACGTTAAGAAAGACGTAATGAAATAAGCACAGCAAACCTTGGAGGGTAGTGCTTTTAGCATCCCCACTTTACATTATGTTCTCTTCCCATTTCCCTTCTTGATCTTCCGTGGGCTGCATTTCTTTTTTTTTTTTTTTTTCAGACAGAGTCTCTCTCTGTTGCCCAGGCTGGTGTAATGGCCTGATGTCAGCTCACTGCAACCTCTGACTCGTAGGTTCAAGTGATTCTCCTGCCTCAGCCTCCTGAGTAGCTGGGATTACAGGTGTGCGCCATCACGTCCCACTAATTTTTGTATTTTTAGTAGAGATGGGGGTTTCACCATGTTGGCCAGGCTGGTCTCGAACTCCTGACCTCAGATGATCTGCAAGCCTTGCCCTCCCAAAGTGCTGAGATTACAAGCATGAGCCACTGTGCCCGGCCTCATGGGCTGCACTTCTAATTCGATGCTTTAAAGTGTTTTCATTAGCAAGCACATATTGAATATTTAATGTTATGTCAGGACCCATTCTAAGTTCTTCACAAATATTAACTCACCTAATAGTCCTCACAATAACCGAATGAAATAAATAATTTTTTTCCTCCATTTTACAAATGAGGCACCTGAGAAACAGAGAGGTTAAGTAACCTGCCAGAGATCACACAGCTGGGAAATCATGGAACCAGGATTTGAACCTAGTCCATCTGGATCCAGAGTTCCATCCTCATAACTACCTACTGCTATGCTTTTCCTTTTCTTTTTATTTTTGTTGTGTTTGTGTGTGTCAGCCTCCCTCACCAGACTGTGACACCTGAGGATTTGTGTGATGCTTGTGTGACTGCCGGGTTTCCAGCAGTCAGGATGCACCTGATGTTGTGTGGGCATCCTTGGACAGATGCTGAATCAGTGGATTAACTCCTCCTCCTTCCATCCCAACCTGGGCATCCATCCTCAAAGTGGGCACCATGGGGTGTGATTGTGTATCTGCCCCCAGGAAGGTCCTTCTGGGCAGCTGGGAGAGGCTGAGGGGCCAGGCATGCCCTGAGGCATGACTTCAGCAGTGGTTCCTGAACTCCAGTCACTCACTTCCCACCTGAGGGGACTGCCCTGTCACAATCCCTTTCAGACTAGTAGAGCCATCTCAAAGTTTCCCCAAGGTCAAATCGCTTTTGTTCTTAAACGAAATGTTTTGAAAAGATTCTATCACTATACAAAATTAGAAACAATTGCCACAGAAGGTAACTGTAAAATTAAATAATGAAAAATGTCCTATTTTATCAATTCTAAAATGTACTTTAAAATATATTTTTATATTATACATAAATATATATATTTTAAGATAGGGTCTCACTCTATCACCCAGGCTGGAGTGCAGTGCCATGATTATAGCTCGCTGCATGTCAAACTCCTGAGCTCAAATGATCCTCCCACCTCATCCTCCCAAGTAGCAAAGGCTACAGGCATGCACCACCATGCCTGGCTAATTTTTTACTTTTTTGTAGATATGGGGTCTCTCTATGTTGCCCAGGCTGGTCTGGAACTCCTGGGCTCAAGTGATCATCCTGCCTTGGCCTCCCAAAGTGCTGCGTTTACCAGTGTGAGCCAGTGCACTCAGCCTTAAAATATTTTAATGTATCTGAAATCAGGAATGCATCATACAGTCACTGAGTTGAGAAGGCAACAGGTCAGAGTTCAATTAGTAGCATTCTTTCTTTCTTAGGGTTACTTACAATAAGAGTGTGACACACAATCTATAGCATCTGAGATTTGATGAAATATGGTAAAAGTGTCATGAAGCTTTCAATCTTAAATTTATTTTTTAATTAATTAATTTATTTTTTCCTTGAGCCGTAACAAGAAAGTATCAATCTTAAATTTAAAGAACTTTGTTTTAGGTAATCACAGATCTGACTTGCAGTATCCTAAGCCCTTCTTATGTGCTATCTCATTTAATTCCCACTAGGACCCTTGGAAGAAAACCCTGTCACCTCTGTCACAGATGAGGACACTGAGGCACTGAGAAGGCAGGTCCCTGGCTCAGGCCCTCCAGCTAGGGTGGGGCAGAGCTGGGGCCAGATGCCAATGCCAGGATGACCGCAGTTGGGGCACTCCCTATGCTCACGCTGCTCCTGTCCCTCCCAGGGTCCCTTCTCTGTCCTCACAGACCCAGCTCTGCAGTGTCCTCCCATCTCCTGAGGTGACACTCACCCCAGTGCCTCCTTCAGGAATATCACCCCACCTCTTCCAGCCCTAGGTAAATTGCCCTGGACTCTCAGTCTGGATCTGAAGTTTCATCTGGATCTGGGAGACATTTCCAGTTCTGCCTTAACAGGGATGTTGTGACAGGCCCCAGTAGCCAGCAGGCATAGGGATTTGGGGAAAGATATAGTGAGGTGTCCCAGAAGTCCTGGTCCAGACACCTGCACCATTCACAGTCTGCTGCTCACCCATTCCCAAGATGCCCACAGGAAACTAACTCCCCTAGACTGCCTCCTGCTGACCTTCAACAACAGAGGCCACTTTAATGGGAGACAGGGCTGTGGGTGTTTCTACACTAGCTGCAGAGTTTTGTGTAGGGCAGGCTGCCGTGTGTGTTATGGGTCATGATTCCCACCCCACTCATAAGTAACCCTGAGCAATAGAAGTTAAACCATGAATATAAGACACCATGGTGTGTGTGTGTGTGTGTGGTGTGTATGTGTGTGTGTGTGTGTGTGTGTGTCAGAGAGAGAGAGAGAGAGAAGGAGGAAGGGGGAGAGAGACAGAGAGAGAGAGAAAGGTGAAGTCAAACAGCCTCTTTGCAGGTCCAGAAGTGATAGCTATTTGGCCACTAGCGAATTCCTAAAATCCATCCTACAGGTCTAGCTCCATAAATGATCCACTCTGAGGAGGCCTCCCTCCAACTCCTCAGGGGTAATGACTTGAGGTAGGGCTTAGGGGCACAGGCTGCAGAGAAAGTCTGAGCACTAACCCTGGCTCTTCTGCTGCCTGCCATCTGTGTGACACCAGGCAAATCATAGAGCCTCCCTGGACCTCAGATTTCTCGTTGTAGAATAGGAATGGTGGCACCTATGATCCCTGCAAAGCGATGGCACATGCCAAACCTGGGGTAAATGGTAGCTGTTATTATCAACATTGTCATTATTATTATTCCTAGTGGCTGTCAACCACTGCTGTATTTTTCTCCTTGTATTGACAGAGCTAGGCCCCATCCGTGTCCACCTCTGTGGTCCAATGTGGGGACAGTGACAGTCACTACAAACGCTTAGGGAGGGAAACGGGGTGTGGTATGAAGAATATGGCCCCCAAAGATGCCCATATCCTAATTTCCAGGATCTGTGAATATATTATCTTACACGGCAAAGGAACTTCGCAGATGTGATTAAGTTAAGCATCTTGACATGGGGAGATAATCTTGGATTATCTAGGTCATAACAAAAATCTAAACACATTTAAAAGAGCTGAAATAATGCACAGGATGTTTTCTAACTATAATGAAACTAAACTAGAAATCAATGACAAAAATATCTAGAAAATCTCCAAATATTTGGAAATTGAACATACTTATAAATAACCTATTTATAACCAAATAATAAGTCGCAAAGCAGTTTAGAAAATAGTTTGAATTAAATGACACCAAAAACACAACACATCAAAATTTGTGACATAAAGCAGTGCTTAGAGGAAAAATTATAGCATGAAATGCTTACGTTAGAAATGAAAGCTTGGGTTTGGACAATAGGAAGAAAAAATAGAAACAAAAGGCTCACATCTAAGCTTCCACCTTACAAAATGAGAAAAAGACAAATAAACCTAAAGCAAGCTGATGGAAGAACATAATAAAGATAAGAGAAGAAATCAAGACAATTGAAAATGAATAACAATAGAAAAAAAATCAATGAAACCAAAAGCTAGTTCCCTGGAAAGATTAATAAAATTGATCTAACTAGCCAGACTGACCAAAAATACAAAAAAACAAAAAACAAAGAGAAGACATAAAACCAATATCAGGAGTGAAAGAGGGAGACAGAAGGGTAAATAGAAAGTCATGGTTTAATAAGTACAGTTTCAGCTTTGCAAGGTGAAAAAGTTCTTGAAAATGATAGATGATGTAAATGTGCTTAATGCTACTGAACTGTACACTTTAAAATGCCTAAAATGGGCTGAGCTTGGTGACTCACACCTGTAATCTCAGGGATTTGGGAGGCTGAGGCAGGAAGATTGCTTGAGGCCAGGAATTCAAGACCAGCCTGGGGAACATAGAAAGACCCCATCTCTAAAAAACAATTTTTAACTTATCTGGGCATGGCAGCTCATGCCTGTAGTCCCAGCTACTTAAGAGGCTGAGACGGGAGGATCACTTGAGCCTAGGAGTTTAAGGCTGCAGTGAGCTATGATTGTGCCACTACACTCTAGCCTGGGCAAAAGGGCAAGACAATCTCTCAAAAAAAAAAAAAAAAAAAGGAAAAGAAAAAGCCATGATGGTAAATTTTATGTTATATGTATTTTATTACAATTTTAAAATAAATAAACTTTTAAAACTAATCAATGGCTGTTACCAGTATACCAAAGCAGACAGTTTTGGTGAAGGAGGAGGAGGTGCCACAACTTCTGCAAACACTCATCCTGCGAGTTCTGGAATTTCAGATGCCTGTAGCCCTCATTGACCTGAGACTCTTGGCCTGAGCAGCCTGGTGGAGCTGGTACCTCTCTTCGGAATTCATCGTGGATGTCTCAGTGTCATGACACCCAATAGACAAGTCTAGGGGTGGGGTAGGGTTGTGGTCCTCCTGAGGCCTTCATTCCCTGTGACATAGACCAGTTTGTGTATAATAACTATGTACCTTACCTGGGACAATAATCCCAGTAGCCTAGGTTAATATTTCCTCTGCCAGGTGCCCTGGCTGATGGGGGCTAGAACCTGTCTTCTGCATGGCTTCTGATGCAGCCACACAGTTCCTGACAGAGGTCTGTGATCCAAAGCCTGAACAATAAGAAGACAATTCCAGACACCTTTAATGGGTAGACTGGAATCTAAATAAACCAAACTTCATGGGTCTATCTTTTTCTGTAAGAAAAAAAAAAAATCTTCCCACCTTTCATCATTGCCCACAATTTCCATCTTCCCTTCAAGTGCCTCCACACTCAAATTTCTGAATCAAAGACAATCATTGAGCAACAGGGAGAAAAACAGGCATCAGCCAGTTTCCCTGACTTTCAGTTTGCCCTAAACTGAGATTAGCTCAATGAAAGCACTCCCATGTTGATACAACTAAAAAATCCCTGTCTCCACAGGCCATCGTTTATCCTTTTCAAAAACAAAACAAAATAAAAACATTTAGGTTGTTGTCAAGGCTGAGGAATGTCAGGGCATGAAAGTCTATGGGCACCATACAACTCCAGGGCTATGTGAACCCTTCCACTGGGGAGGGAAAGAATGACTTTCCATTATTTTGTAGGAAGTTGCCATGATACTGGTATCAGAACTCAACAAGGAGAGTTTAATTGGGTAAGCTGTACGTCTATGTTTTAGGCATCCATTAAGTCAGAAAAAGTAGAATTATTTTTGCTTCTTATTTTATTTTATTTATATTATTTAATATAATATATTGTATTATATATAATTATATATATATTATATATATATATAGAGAGAGAGAGAGTGAGTCAGACTCTCACTCTGTCACCCAGGCTGGAGCGCAGTGGGACCATCTCAACTCACTGCAGCCTCCACATCCTGGGTTCAAACGATTCTCTTGGCTCAGCCTCCCAAATAGCTGGGATTATGGGTGCCCACCACCACACCTGGCTAATTTTTTTTTGTATTTTTAGTAGAGACAGGGTTTCGCCATGTTGACCAGGCTGGTCTCTAACTCCTGACCTCAAGTGATCTGCCCACCTCAGCCTCCCAAAGTGCTGGGATTACAGGCATGAGCCACCGTGCCCGGTCTTGCTTTTTACAAAGGTGAAACAAAAGTAGATTTCTAAAAATTTCCTGGAAATCAGGTAGTTAATAAAAAGCATTCAATGGGAAGACTTGAAAAAGCCAGGTAAGCAAACCTTCCAGAAAGTTGAATAAATAGGCAAAAGGAGTGAAACAATATAAAAATAAAGTCTTAATAAAAATGGTCTAGAATTAGATTAAGAAAATTTCCTGTAATCCCAGCACTTTGGAAGGCTGAGGCCAGCAGATCACATGAGGTTAGGAGTTCAAGACCAGCCTGGCCAACATGGTGAAACCCCGTCTCTACTAAAAAAATACAAAAATTAGCCAGGCATGGTGGTGCACACCCGTAATCCCAGGTACTCGGGAGGCTGAGGCAGGAGAATTGCTTGAACCCGGAGGCAGTGGTTGCAGTGAGCCAAGATGGTGCCACTGCACTCCAGCCTGGACGACAGAACGAGACTCTGTCAGAAAAAAAAAAAAAAAAAAGAAGAAGAAGAAGAATAGAAAAGAAAATTCCCTGGCAAAGAAAATTCCCTGGCTGGGTGCGGTGGCTCACACCTGTAATCCCAACACTTTGGGAGGCTGAGGCTGGCAGATCGCTTGAGCTCAGGAGTCTGAGACCAGCCTGGCCAAAACAGCAAAACCCTGTGTCTGCTAAAAATACAAAAATTAGCGGGGGCATGGTGACACACGCCTGTGGTCCCAGCTACTTGGGAGGCTGAGGCAGGGAGAATCACTTGAGCCCAGAAGGCAGAGGTTGCAGTGAGCTGAGATCATGCCGCTGCACTCCAACCTGGGTAATAGAGCAAGACTCAAGGAAAGAAAGAAAGAAAAAGAAAAGAAAAGAGAAAGAAGAGAGAGAGAAAGAGAGAGAAAAAAGAGAGAGAGAGAAAAAAATAAAATATGTTCAACGTGTTGAAATGCAAATTAAAACTGCAAGGAGGTATGACTACACACCTATTAGAATGGCTAAAATGTAAAAAACTGGTAGTATCAAGTGTTCATGGAGATGTAGAGCAAATGCAGCCCTCATACACTGCTAGTAAGAGTGCAAAATGTCTCAGCCTCTGAAAAACATGTTGGCACTTTAGCAATAAAGCTGTAAAATAAAAAGGGACTCTGGGGGCAAGCTGAGCAAGGAACTGTATTTATGGCGAATGTGAATTAAAACAGAAGACGATATTAAGAGCACAAAAAATGCTTATAATGAAAAGTACATGGGTGTTCCAAGAGTCCTAGGTTGAAAACTGGCTGCACCAGGGACTACTGACTTGACCATGAATGAGATACTTATCTTCTCTGATCTCGTTACCTCATCTATAACATGAGAATAATTGAGCAGTGAGATTTTTATTTTTTTAATGAAAAGGGGGATAATGAACAGAGATTAAAAGTTATTTACCGGCCTGGCACAGTGGCTCATGCCTGTAATCCCAGCACTTTGGGAGGCTGAGGCGGGCGGATCACCTGAGGTCAGGACTTCAAGACCAGCCTGGTCAACATGGCAAAACCCCATCTCTACTAAAAATACAAAAATTAGCCAGGCGTGGTGGCAGGCGCCTGTAATTCCAGCTACTCGGAAGGCTGAGGCAGGAGAATCACTTGAACCTGGGAGACGGGGGTTGCAATGAGCCGAGATCATGCCTCTGCACTCCAGCCTGGGTGACAAGAAGTGAGACTCTTGTCAAAAAATAAATAAAATAAAATAAAATAAAATAAAATAAAATAAAATAAAATAAAATAAAAGTTATTTACTGGCCGGGCGCAGTGGCTCACGTCTGTAATCCTAGCACTTTGGGAGGCCAAGGCAGGTTGATCGCTTGAGGTCAAAAGTTGGAGACCAGCCTGGCCAGCATGGTGAAACCCCATCTATTAAAAATACAAAAACTAGCCGGGCAAGGTGATGGGCGCCTGTAATCCCAGCTACTCGGAAGGCTGAGGCAGAAGAAACGTTTGAACCTGGGAGATGGAGGTTTCAATGAGCCAAGATCATGCCATTGCACTCCAGCCTGGGTGACAGTAAAAATAAATTTATTTATTTATTAATAAGTAATAAATAAATAATATTTATTACTAAATAATAAATAAATAAAAAGTTATTTACAGTGCAGCAGTACTTAGAACACACATCATCCCCTGGGAGTAGACTCTGAGCTCTGTGATAACTCTTATCCTGCATGAATCATTTCTCGATCCTCAGTCTTTCTAGCCCAGGGCACAGAGCCTGATTCCCAGCAGCTGATTCTCAGACAAGTTTTTGTTGTTGGTTTTTGCATTGTTTCGTTGTTGCTGCTGTTGTTATTGTTGGGAGAGAGAGAGATGATGACATGCTCCTTGCTTACTTAAGTGTAGCCATTATTAAACTAGTAATTTGCTTACTGGAAATAATACATTGCAGATGAGACATCACAGGAAATCTCTCTTTGCAAACTTCTGTTCTCTTAGAGGAGTTTGTGCAGGAAAGGATTAACTCAGCAGGACTGCCTGATAAGAGTGTTTTTTATGCCTGAGTCTTTGGGCCACACTGTTAACAGTGGGATCCAATAAGTTTGTTTAACAATGTGATTTATGGTGAATGTTTGTTTTTGCTCAGGAAGGCTAGAGTCTGAGTAGCTGAGGTCAGTTACACAAGTTTTGCATGCCTACGTGACTCCCAATAAAAACCCTGAACACCAAGGTCAGGTGAGCTTCCCTGGTTGATAATACTTCACGCGTTGTCACACATCGTTACTGGGACAGTATATAAACGTGTCCCTGTATCACTCTACTGGGAAAAAACACCTAAAATCTTGCCCCTGGTCTCTCCTGGATTTCACCCCATGTGCCTTTTACCTTTGCTGATTCTAATCTGTATCCTTTCACTTTAATAGATTATAACTGTGAGTATAACAACTTCTGAATCCTGTGCGTCTGGAAGATCATCAAGCTGAAGGTTGTCTTGGGGATCTGTCACAGAGGGCTTGTGCCCTTCACCACGCACTTTGCCCAGAAGCATCTAGTACCAATGTATTACCTTTTATACTTTTGTATTTATAGTGAATATATAATATTTTATAAATATTAAACACTTTTACATTTATAATGAATCTGGGACACTGCTACTTTCTTAGATCATTTCTCAGTTAGGGGCTACATTGGCTAATTTGCTGATGTCTTCTCATATATAAAGGAGCTGATAAAGAAACAGCCCTCAATAAATACTTTTTGAATAAGCACAATACTGCCATTCTGGTTATTTTAGTTTTCAAGTGTGAGGCACAGATGTCACTCAGCCTTCAAAAAATAAAGAGGCCAGGCGTGGTGGCTCACGCCTGTAATCCGAGTACTTTGAGAGGCCAAGGTGGGCAGAACACTTGAGGTCAGGAGTTCGAGACCAGCCTGGCCAACATTGTGAAACCTCATCTCTATTAAAAATACAAAAATTAGTCAGGTGTGGTGGCGTGCACCTGTAATCCCAGCTACCTGGGAGGCTGAGGTGGGAAAATCACTTGAGCCTGGGAGGCAAAGTTTGCAGTGAGCCAATATTGTGCCACTGCACTCCAGCCTGGGCAACAGAGCGAGACTCTGTCTCAAAAAAAAAAAAAAAAACAGGGTCTCGCTCTGTTGCCCAGGCTGGTCTTGAACTCCTGGGCTCAAACAATCCTCCTGCTCAGCCTCCCAAATTGCTAGGATTACAGGTGTGAGCCTCCATGCCCTGCCGTCATTCAGCCTTATATCAACAGAATCAAGTAGATGAACCCAGTGATCAGTGGATATGAGAAGTCCAGTAGATCTCTTTCACTCTCACAAGGCTTTTCTCCTTGTTTTTCTCTTGCTTCTTAGCTACCCCATTCACTTTCGGGGTGTGTGTGTATGTGTGCACCCCAACTGCTCTTCTGTTTATGTGTCTGTCTGCCCCACCGAACATATCCCTCGTGGGAAACACCATATGTATTGGCATCTCATTCTTCATAGCAATCATTTAGCGTAAATATTTTAATTCGTACTTTAGAAATGGGGAAACAGGCCCAAAGAATGTAAGAACCTTTCCCACCATTTCACCATTGCAAAGTCAGTGTGTCAGAGCCAGGATGGAAACCCATGGCTATTTCATGCCACTGCCTATTAAGGAGACAGTGTAAGTAGGACCCAAGTAATTTTGTCTAAGCAAATTTTCCTGGTTGCTTTCCCTTTTCTTCTATATAGGTTCTAATCCTTTCTGCCACCTCCACAACCAAGGGACCCCTCATGTATTTGGGGTAAATTGAGATACCCTGCATTTAGCCTCACTCTTTACTTGAATCATAGATTTTCAGTCCTCTTGGATCAGGAAATATTTTTAAGCATCTGCAAGAGGGAGAAATCACTGTTGTTTATAATCCCTTGTCATTCCCTAAGCAGGGTGGATTCTGAATAGGATTTTTTTTTTGGCAGAACTGTTTTCTTGGGGTGGGGGGTGCTGTGAAGATGCAAACAAGACCTCAGAGGTGTAACCTGTCTTTGTGTATAGTAATAGCGGTAGAAGTCTGGAATCGGGCAGCAAGGAGGGGCTTCTGAGTGAGATCTCTTGACTATCAAGCCAACAGAGGATTTTGTGGAAGAAAAAAAGAGATTTGTGGCTGCTCCCTCCCCACCTGTGAGTAACTTCAAAGGACAGATGTGTTTGTAGGAGATGTTGTGGCACTTTGCCATGCGATTTGTGACACACGTTCTTAACTTTCTCCCCACAAACTGTTGCAAATGGCTTTAGTGTTATATTTTCTGTAACATAATAAGCACATTATCATGAAAAAACGTTTTTAAATGTTTGTTTTTGTATTAATGATTTCATCCAGCCAAATCCACGGCCGGAGCAGGAAGCAGAAGTAGGAGAGTTCCCACAAGGTAGTGCCCCAGACCGACTAGAGATTGGGCCTGTCAAGATTTCCAAGGAACATTAAACACCAGGGTGATCAGTCCAAAGCATTTATTGGGAGAACTTAGAGTAGGCTAAAGCATCCTCGCAACAGGCAACAAGAATGTCATGCCTAGGTATATCCGCACTGAGGGGGTCAGGTTATGGAGTTTTATAGGAGAGTTTAAGGGATTTGGTTCAAGGCCAGAGCTAGATTCTTTCCATATTTTGAGCAACAACTTAAACACCTTTATGTTCAAGGCTCCAGCTTGGGTTCAAGCATGCTGGGTAAACATGCAGCTGGCTGGGTCACAGCACAGTCAAAGCACTTTGTTTTTCAGTCAGAACAAGAGAAAAAGCAGGGGAAATGCGGGGTAGGAGGCCCTAGAGACACCATGCAAGGTTTGTGTGCCACATTTTGGTAGATGCTTCCTTTAAGGGAAGAACAAAGCCTTTTGAGTCAAACACTTTTGTATATGTAAATTTTTAAAGAAAACATCAGATTACAACTAAAATCATCATATACACCATCAGTTCGTGTACATTTAACACTTTCAAAAGCTTTACTTTGAGAAAAGTGCAAGGGCTTTGAGCTTAGAAATTGAAATCCCCCCAAATCTGCTTCTTACTGGAGTCAGTCATCAATTTCATGAAAATTCTGCCTTATCTTGTGAGGATCTAAAGAGGTCATACATGTACACAACCTAGCACAAAGAAGTAATTCATAGATAGTACACATCCAGTAAATAGGAATTTTATAATAATTCCTCTTATTTTAAAAATAAATGGAGCCATTGTCATAATTATACACAGATCTAGGGTCAGTCAGCCCATTCTCAGCCACACAGCACAGATCAAAATCTAGGGAAATTAATAACCAGTGACGTTTAACTTTCTGTGCACAGAGAGTTAATATCAGCAGAGAAACAGGAACAGATAGCTTTCAAATTGAAGAGGCATCTTCAGAGAACGCGACCCTCACAAAGTTTGAGGGGATAGGTACCTGGAGCTGCCCGTTTGGTCACTGCTGTTTAAGTAGGGTCCAAATCTGAGAGAAGCATTCTAGAAAAGCTCATTATGGGAAAGCCTAGCCCTGCATTACTCACAGCCTTGAGGAGACTTGAGTTCCAGTGAATGGAAAAAGAGGTTTTACATACCAACCCGTTTTATGAAGCTAGAGGAACCTTGATAACAACGTCCAACAAATGAGCATATGAAATAAAAGTACAGGTAATGTCACTCATGAGGATATACATAAAAATCCTTAAATAAATTATTAGGACATAGATTACCCATGACCAAATTGTTGGTTTAAATGTACAAAATTTCCAGGCACCGTGACTCATTCCTGTAATCCCAGCACTTTGGGAGGCTGAGGCTAGTGGATGGCTTGAGATTAGGAGTATAAAACCAGCCTGGGCAACATGAAAAAATACCATCTCTAAAACAGAAAAATTAGCTTGGCATGGTGGCATGTACCTATAGTCCTAGCTACTGAGGAGGGTGAGGTGGGAGGATCGCCTGAGCCCAGGAGGTTGAGGTTGCAGTAAGCTGTGATCACACTACTGCAGTCAGCATGGGTGACAGAGTGAGACCTGTCTCAATTGTTAAAATTTAAAAAGTACAGATTTATCAACGTAATTGACTACATAAACAGATTACTGGGGGAAAAAACCCTGTGGTAATCACAATAGATGATTTCAGTTTTCAACATACAGAATCAAACATGAAGCAAAATGTTTTTCATGCAACATGACAAAAGTAAACATGAAGCAGAGTGCCCGCTCACTTTCTTAGTAGCAAAGAAATCTCAATTCACATGTTTTAAGATGACTCAGGTCAGTGTTTGATGAAATTCAACATATATTCAAAATGAACACTCTCAACAAACTAAAACAGAATGGCTTGACTTACTCTGAAAAAGTCCATCTACAAAAAAAGTACACTAAATATTGTCGTGAAATGTTGAAATTTTTCCATTTCTCATCAGGAATAACACAAAAATTTCCACTATCACAATTGTATCCGGTAGATCTGCTCAATGCCATAAAATCAGAAAAGGAAATAAAAGGGTTTAAAATGGCAAAAACAGGACCAGCACGGTGGCCCATGCCTGTAATCCCAACACTTTGAAAGGCCAAGGAGAGTGGATTACTTGCGCTCAGGAGTTCAAAAAAAGCCTAGGACACAGGCCAAAATCCCACCTCTACGAAAAATACAAAAGAAAAAACAAACAAAAAAGGCAGAAACAAAATTGTTCTTATTCAAAAATGATATGATTCTGTAGGTTGAAAACTGAAAAAACCTAGAAGTAAACTTTTAAAATTCATAAGCATATTTAACAAGGTTGCTGGATAGAAAATCAATACATGAGAATTATGCCTCTACACACAGCTCAAGGAGATAGAATACAAAATTGCAAAGAATGAAACATTTCACAGCATCAAATAGCTAGAAATAAAATTGACAAAAGATTCACAAGACTTCTTTGCAGAAGGCTGTAAAGCTTTATTGGGAGAACTTCAATGAAGAATTTTCCAACATAGGAGCAGCCTGCAACATTTCAGCATGTCTTCTTTTAACACTGTGATTGCCCTTCACCTGAAACAAAACAAAACAGTTGGGAACATTACAGAGCAACAGATTATTATTATTATTATTATTATTATTATTATTATTATTATTTTAGATGGAGTCTCACTCTGTTGCCCAGGCTGGAGTACAGTGGAGCAATCTGGTTCACTGCAACGTCCGCCTTCTGGGTTCAAGCGATTCTCCTACCTCAGACTCCTGAGTAGCTGGGACCACAGGCGCGTGCCACCACAAGGGCTAATTTTTTGTATGTTTAGTAGACACGGGGTTTCACCGTGTTAGCCACGATGGTATACAATTCCTGACCTCATGATCCACCCGCCTTGGCCTCCAAAGTGCTGGGATTACAGGCGTGAGCCACAGCGCCCGGCTGAGCAACAGATTATTTAGATGGCCCTAAAGGCATACAAAGCACACTACAGTTTGGGTTTTATTAAATGGACTAAAAACAGAACGCTAAGGTGATCCTCTGTCGTATATCCAATTGAATCTCGGAATACACTTTGAGAGTAGCCCTCCAGAATTTAAAGGTAATTTCTTCCCTAAACATCAAGTGCTTCCTTTCAAGTCACAAGCAATTACAATTAACAGTCAGCAATTTGGAAAACACATGTGTGAAATATACTTCAGTTGATTACTCAGGAAGGACTAGAGTCATGGTCTTTCAACTTTAAATCTTATCAATTCATGTCTCTAAAGCTGAAATTTACATGTAACATTTGATATGATTAGAGATGATTATATCATATGTGTGTCTACAGTCTTATTAGAAATAGTGGCTCATCAAGACTGACAGTGGGGCAGGGAGCATGCATAGCACAGGCATCTTACTCACACCCATGCTGAGCATCACTGACTTACATGCCACAGATGATAGGAACTAAACGGTCTCTTGCCATTTGATATTTCAGTCACTCAAGGTTTCCGTGGGGAAAGATTTAAGAAGCAATTGTTCATTAAAAGCCAGAGAATCCCAGTCTGGGCAACATAGTGAGACCTCATCTCTACAAAAATGAAAAAAAAAATTTTACTCAGGTACGTTGGCTTGTGCATGTAGTTCCAGCCACTCAGGAGGCTGAGGTGGGAGGACTGCTTTAGCCTGGGAGCCAGAGGTTGCAGTGAGCTGAAAGTACACCACTGCACTCCACCCTGGGTGACAGACTGAGACTCCGTCGCAAACAAACAAACAAACCAAGAAGAGGGAGAATTCACAATTTCACAAGATCTTACACTACGTATTCAGCTCTCCACACGGAAAAACTAGGATGAAGCAGAGTGCCCCCTCACTTTCTTACTAACAATGAAATCTCAATTCAGAGATTTTCAGATGACTCGGGCCAGGGTTTCATGATTTGTGATTAACAAACCATGCGAAGCAGATGATCTCTGTGTCCCACGCATTCTATGCAACAGGATCAGAGTATGAAAGAACCGGAATGGAAAATGGTTTTAAAATCTCTGACTTAAACTCACTATTTTCATAACAACCAAAGATAGGTTTAGAAGTGAAAGGACTCACTCAGAATCTCACCAAGGCTGTAAGAGCTGATATTAGAACCCGCATGAGTGCTTCAGCATTTTTCACACCAAGTGATGGGTGTTACAAATGTGTTATGTATTGATTAAAAGCAGACCTTTGCAAAAGCATTTGAAAATTATGAGCTACTGGTTTGAGGATTTATACTCAAAACTTTTAATTCAACATACCTTTGACTCAGCTTGTTTCCCTATCTGAAAGTCTATCACTCGGGTGCTGGGGCCTGAACTACATTTCAAATAACCTTTATATAAGAACTCTTTACTAAAGAGGCAGTATTGTTAACTCTCTCTTACTAAAAATATAATGCTGGGTCTGGCACAGTGGCTCTCGCCTGTAATCCCGGCAATTTCAATGGTCGAGGCAGGTGGATCACCTGAGGTCAGGAGTTCGGGAACAACCTGTGCAACATAACGAAACCCTGTCTCTACTAAAAATACAACAATTAGCTGGGCACGGCGGAGCACGCCTGTAACCCCGGCTCCGCCAGAGGCTCAGGCAGGAGAATCACTTGAACCCTGGAGACAGAATTTCCAGTGAGCCGAGATGGCACCACTGCACTCCAGCCTGGTCTTCAGAGCGAGACTCCGTCTCAAAAACATAGTAAGACTTACAATATGATACTGTGGAAACAGACACCCTACAATGTGCATGCCTAATGGATTGCCTACCTTCTTCAGGCGTTTTCACCTCCTCTGGATTTGGCGGGTCCATCTCCTGCCCATCAGGACCATCTTCACACTCACACCCAGTCTGTGGGTGACCCTGTTCCTGGCTATCAGCTTCAGGCTTCGGCCCTTAAAAATAAAAAATACGTATCAATTTAAGCAGTAAAACATAAAATATGAATAAGAAAATGATATTCATGCTCTCGGTATTATTATATAAAAGCTTTAGCTAACGTAATAATAAATGTGTTGATAAGAATCCCAGGAACATTATTTCAGGAGTCCGTTAGCAGAAAACAGGAAAACAAGGTGTTCCAAATATTACCCTCTTCCTTTCCGAAGACTGCCCTCAGACAACTTTGCTGCCTCCTTTGCACTTCTCTCTTATTCTACTTCTGATTGTCCTTCTCGTATTAAATGACTCAAGGCTCAAATCCCGTCTCTCACAGCACTTACACTCCTAGCGCTTAGACTCTTACATGGCATGAGTAGCCACCAATAAACGCTGAGTGAGAAAACTCTTTTAAAAATACATGAAAAAGCCCAAACTGCAGAATATTCTGCAAACCAACTGGTCTATCCTCTCCAAAAATGTCCGTATCGTGAATGACAAGAAAAATTAAGGAAACATTACAGGTTAAAGGAAACTAAAAACACCTGAAAAGCACATGCAAGGTGTGATTCTGAACTGGACTCTGGATCAGAAAAAGAAATCCTATCAATAAAATTATCTGGGCCGGGCGTGGGGTCTCACGCCTGCAATCCAAACATTTTGGGATGCCAAGGTGGGCAGAGCAGGTGAGGCCAGAAGTTCAAGACCGCAGTGGCCGGCGCCTGTAGTCCCAGCTACACGGGAGGCTGAGGCATGAGAATCCCTAGAACCTGGGAGGTGTGGGTTGCAGTGAGCCGAGATCGCACTACTGCACTCCCACCTGGCCCACAGAGAGAGACTCCGTCTCAACAAAGAAAAAAAAAAGGAAAAAAGAAATTTTCTGGGGAACTGGCAAAATTTGAGTATGCACTCTGTATTAAATGACTCCATTTTCTCATTGTTAAATTTCCTGATTTTGATCTTTGTGCAGTGATGATCCAAGAAATGACTTTCTCTTTGTTCTGACGATAAACACACCCTCAAGTACATAGGGTAAAGGACCATAATACCTGAAACTTTATCGAAACAATTCAGCATTAATAACAGTAAACATATATCCGTATGTGTGTGTGTGTGTGTGTGTGAGTGTGTGGGCAGCACGGTAAGAGACGGAGGGAAGAGATGTGAAACCTATGAAGCGAAAGCTACTAACAATTGGTGAATCCAGATGAACAGTATATGAGTTCATTGTACTATTCTTGCAAATTTTCTATGAATGCTATGACTTGAAGATACATACAGGAAAAATTTAAAAGAATATATGATAACTGCACTGAACTTTAGGAAGAAAGGAATTTCCAATTGTGGTACAAAATACAGATATCCTAAAATTTACCATCTTAACTATTTTTAAGTGGTACAGTTCACTAAGGAGTTACGTTTGCAACATTACCAGCCACTAGGCACAAAAACTTTGCATCTGTGTTTTCCTATACCATGAAAACTTTATTTATTTAATGAATTTATTTATGTATTTATTTATCCATTTATTTATTTATTAGCGATGAGGTCTCACTGTGTTTCCCAGGCTGGGCTTGAACTCCAGGACTCAAGCAATCCTCTCACCTCGGCCTCCCAAGTAGCTGGGACTATGAGTGCATGGCATTCAGCCCAGCTTTAGACCTTTCTCCTAAATGACAATCTAAGGATAAACCACAGGACATGTATAATGCTTATATTCAGCCCTAGAGTACCAACAGCAGTGTGCGTCAGCTGAGAAATCTGAAGTCTACCACGTGGGTAGGATTTCAGTTACAATTACAATGTCAGTTTCTGAAGGATTGATTAGCTGGATGGATTTGAGGACTATGGAAAATCTTACAGTCACGACACCCATTACCTATTGGGGTAAAGAGAAACTTCACTTTGTTCAAATAAAGTTATATTTAGGTCCGAAGGTCCTAAAGGTAATATTCCATAAATGAACCCCGTGAAGAACAAAGCACCAAATATAACATTGTTTGTGAATCACAGAAAATATACTGTCCCCCGCACTGAGAATAAGGGAGTGGGCGGACAGCAATTAATGGGCATTGTTGTCAGTCAGATTCTAGGAACTTTTAACAGTGCATCCCTGGAATAATCCATGACCTCCGTTACATAAATGCTTCCTTTCAAAACATTTTATCTCGGAGAAATTATTTCCATCTCACGTTAATCTCAGGATAATTCCGTTTTTGCTTTTCTAACCATAAAAGGATTTAATCACCTCCTAAAGGCCGCTGAGAAAAATCACTAAACCAGCTACCTGTATGGCAGTATCCTCATTTATCCAGCTTTTATCAAACGTACCATATAAAAATATCAATCAAAGGAAACGGGGGCCAACATTCAGCGACTCGGTTTTTGGAGCTGCTCCTGCTCCTCTGAACTGGGTCTATTCTTGGGTCAGTACTAAGCTACCTTACAGTAAAGCCTTTTGAGTTTTAAGCATTTTCAGCAAAATCACTTCCTTCTTTACAGCAACATACATGATAGGAAGACACAAACCTTGGAACACAGTACAAATGTTGTATTCACCAGTCAAGGGTTCTTGGATAACACACAATCCTGGCACCTCCATTCTCTCATTCATAAAGTCGAGATCTTTTACCATAGTGAGGGATTTGCCTAAGCTAAGCTGCGAACTACATAGCCTCCTCGCTTTTCCAGTCAATTTCAGGCATTCTTTCCATTGTTTTCTTTCCTCCTCTTCCTCCTATGTGACAATGCCTAACACACACACACACACGTGCACACACACACACACGAACACACACACACGCACACACCAGCAGACGTTCTTCTTCCCTTTCCCTCACCTTGACCTGCAGATGCTCCCTCATCCTCTCCCTCCTGAGCAGCTGCAGGATCCTGACGTTGAGTTGCTGGTTCCCCTTCTTCAGGTGTTGCTGGTTCCACTTCATCACTGAACTGCTCGGGCTGGGGAATACGTGTGGGTGTGCAAATAAAAAATAAGTTTCGTTATTGATACAAAATTTTACATATATACACAGAATACATAGCTATTTCTGGTCCTAACTAAGCCTAAAGACATTTCTCCAACTCTATGCTCTATGCCCAATAAGGTTACTCCACCCACAGGGAGGTTACTGTGAGAAAAGTGACGCACGAGGACTTTGGGGGCTATTATACTCTGTGTTGGAATACATGTGTACAATCTGTCATTAACAAACAAAGCCGGAGAAAGAAGTCATGGGCAAAAGCTGAAGAACACGAGAGGAAAAAAAAAATCCTCCAGAATCAATGTTTCCTTCATGAGATGCCATCCTCATTTTTTATGAGCAGGAAAGACCTTTATCAGCATTTCCACACTAATGCAACGACGCTATCACAAAAATTAATTTCTACTAATAGAAAACATCGAATTAACGTTTAAGCACTCACCCGCATAGGCCCAATCATTTCAGGAGGCTGTACATAGCGCCTTGGTCTAGGCCAATAATAGGTCGATCTTCCTCGCCAACTCATATTTCACACTGAAAACAGACAACCGTGATTGGGAACGTGCGCTCCAGAGGGCTGCTATATTCGATCACTTCCATGGATAAATGTTAACTTGCCGTTTTACTTTTGAAAATACTCTCAAAATAAGTCCCAGAGTTAAGCATACGTGTGTACGCTGTCTGAGTGCCTACAAAGCCACTTCTGCTGGCCAGGCTGGCAGAGCAATCATCTTAAGGCGTGTGGCAAAAGGCAGAGGACATTTTTTTCTAAATTTCTTTTGGACACGCGGTCTCGCTGTGTTGCTCAGGCTGGAGTGCAGCGGCGTGATCACAGCTCACTGCAGCCTCGACCTCCCGCTCAAGGGATCCTCCCACCTCAGTGTCCCCAGTAACTGGGAATACGTAGGCGAGCGCCACTGCGCCCCGCAGACAGAGGTCATTTCTGATGAGGTTTAGTTTCACAAGTGCACTCCCCACGAAAACCCTAGTGAATCACAATTCTCGTGATTGCTGCTTTGGGCACACTCCCACTTCCTAGAGCCATTCACCCCCCCTCACAACAAGTTTGGTTGGACCGCACTGCCTCGCCCACTCCTTCCCACTGTTTTCGGACCTTCCATGGCGGAGGTGAGACCTTGCAGTGCTTCTCACTCGGGCGCTCCGCACTCCACACCGCTGAGGGGGCGCTCGCCAGGCCGCAGCCTTCCCAGGTGCCAGGCCCCTTCTTCACCGCCCGCCTCGCCCCCGCCGGGGGCCCCATTCAGGGAATCTGCCCTGTGTCGTCGGGGATCCCGGCACCTCGGGACTTCCATCCCCCCAACAGCACTCACCCCGTCTTCACCTGAGCCCCTGACCGCCTCCCCTCCACGGCCCACCTTCCTCCCCGTCCAGGCCCCTTCACGACCACGAAGCCGCCGGTGGCCTCGCAGCCTGTGAAGGGAAGGAGGACGACCTCGTGGCCCTTCTCCCTCGGAGGCCACAGACCAGGAAGCGGGACCCGCCTGACCCACCCGAGGCCCTCTCCACCCTCACTCACACTTCAGCCCCCGGGATGACTGGCCTGCACACCTACCAGATGAATCTCAGTAGAGGAAAAAGAGTCCGGACGGCAGGAACCACACAGCACTGCCTCACAGCTCCCTGGCGTTCTTCACGTGGGCGAAGGGGCCGGGCAGAAGACGCCCAGTGAACATGCGCACTGAGGCGGGAGCCCAGGGAGCATGCGCGGCTGTGGGCTGGGGAGGGCTGCCGTTCCCAGCGCCACGCCCCAAACCCTCCATGCCCATCCTCATTGAGGATAAGGGAATCCCACCTCCCTCTGCTGTTTCCTATGCCTCTGGGACTCAAGTAGTGCTCCCCTCAAAACTCACCCCATCTTCAACTGAACCCCACCCCCAACCCAGGGCCCTCTCTTGCCCCGGACCCACCATGGGGACAAGGACCACTGTGACTGGCTGGGAAGACAGGTAAACCACCTGCGAAAACAGAAATAGCAACCTATCCCAAAAGGAAATTGTTCAATGTGAACAAGTCAGAGAAAGAGACTGAAAGAAAAATGAATAGAATCGCTAGGACCCGTAAGAAAATGCTAAAACGATATCTATCATTTGTAGCATCAGAATCGCAGAGGGTGAAGTGACAGTATTAGGGAAACAGGACAGCCAGAGTGACACCACGTGAAAATATACTCCGTCTTGAAAGCAGCAAGATACATAGTCCTACCAGTCACAACCCATGGTCCTAAGATGTTTGGAGTTGAGAAAACAGATGAAAGGTACCTCCAAGGACATGCTCCCACAGCAGCGGAAAGTGCACGGTTCCCAACACCCATTAACAATATATGCTTTCAACAGAATTATGCTTTCATGGACTTACACACTGGTAAGTCAAGGACAGTTTTCTTTAAATCAATAGAATGATAAAAGTCATCATGCTCTTAGCCCACCCGCACAAAGGCACAGATTAACTTTAGTCTTTATATAGATAAGACCCCTATATAAGAAAAACCAGACCAGGCCAAGGCTCACGCCTGTAATCCTAGTATTTTGGGAGGCTGAGCTGGCCAGATCACCTGAGCTCAGGACTTCGAGACCAGCCTAAGCAACATCAGAAAATCTCATCACTACAAAAAACAAACAAAAAACCATCGAAAAATTAGCTGGGCATGGTGGCATGTACCTATACTCACAGCTCCTCAGGAGGCTGAGGTGGGAGGCGCGCTTGAGCCCAGGAGGTCAAGGCTGCAGCGAGCTCTGATAACACCACCGCACTCCAGCCTCGGTGACAGAGTGAGACGCTGTCTCAAGTTTTAATAATCGAACCTAAAAACGTACAAATTTATCAATCGAATTCACTATATTAACACATGAATGGGAAAAAACGCTGTGGTAATCGAAATAGATGCACTGTTTGATGAAAATCAACATATATTCAAATGAATACTCTCAGCAAATTTGGAACAGAATGCAATGACTCACTCTGATAAAGTCCGTCTACAAAAAAAGGAGAGTGAATAGGATGGTGAAATGTTGAAATTTTTCGGTTTCTCATCAGGGATAAGACAAGGATGTCCACTGTCACCATTGTAACGGGTGGGTCTGCGCAATGCCATAAAATCAGAAAAGGAAATAAAACTCTTTACAATGGCAACGACGGGCCCGCCACGGTGGCCCACGCCAGTAATCCCAGCACTGTGGGAGGTGAGGTGGGTGCATCACTTGCACTCAAAAGTTCAACAACAGCCCGGGAAACATGGCAAAACCCCGTCTCTACAAAAAAATACAAAAGGGAAAAGAAAAAAATATGGCGGAAACAAAACTGCTCTTATTCCAGGATGATATGTTTCTGTATATTGAAGACTGAAAACGACCTAGAAGTAAACTTTAGAATTCACAAGCATATTTCACAAGGCCGCTGGATAGAAAACCAATATGTAAGAATTATGTCTCCACCGGGCGCGGAGGCTCATGCCTGTAATCCCAGCACTTTGGGAGGCCAAGGCAGGTGAATCACGAGGTCAGGAGTTCAAGAGCACCCCGGCCAAGATGGCGAAAGCCCATCTCTAGTAAAAACACAAAACTTAGCCAGGCGTGCTGGTGGGTGCCTATAATCCCAGCTACTCGGGAGGCTGAGGCAGACAATTGCTTGAATCCGGGAGGCGGGGTTGCAGTGAGCAGAGATCGCGCCACTGCACTCCAGCCTGGGCGACAGAGCAAGACTCCGTCTCAAAAGAGGACAAAGAAAGAAAGAAAAAAAAAAGAACGATGTCTCTACATACCAGCTCAGAGAGTTACAATACACGATTTCAAAGAATGATACATATTTCACAGCATCAAAAAGCTAGAAATAAACTTCACAAAAGATGCGCAAGACTTCTTTGCAGAAGGCTGTAAAGCTTTATTGGGAGAATTTTAATGAACAAATTTCCAACATAGGAGCAGCCTGCATCATTTCAACGTGTCTTCTTTTAACACTGTGATTGCTTTTCACCTGTAACAGAAACACAACGATTGGGAACATGACTTAGCAACAGATTATTCAGATGACCCTAAAGGCATACAAAGCACACTACAGTTTGGGTTTTATTAAATGGACTAAAAACAGAACCCTATGGGTGATCCCGTGTCTTACACGCAATTGAACCTCTGCATAAACTTTGAGCGTAGACCTGCAGAATTTAAAAGGAATTTCCTCCCTGAACATCAAGTGCTTCCTTTCAAGTCACAAGCACTTACAATTAACAGTCAGCAATTTGGAAAACACATGTGTAAAGCATACTTCAGTTGATTACTCAGGAAGTACTAGAGTCATGGTCTTTCAACTTCAAATCTTATCAATTCATGTCTCTAAAGGTGAAACTTACATGTAACATTTGATATGATTAGAGATGATTATATCGTATGTGTGTCTACAGTCTTATTAGAAATAGTGGCTCATGAAGACTGACAGTGGGGCAGGGAGCATGCATAGCACAGGCATCTTACTCACACCCATGCTGAGCATCACTGACCTACATGCCACAGATGATACGAACTAAACGGTCTCTCGCCATTTGATATTTATTTCAGTCACTCAAGGTTTCCGTGGGGAAAGATTTAAGAAGCAATTGTACCATTTGACCCAGCCATCCCATTACTGGGTATATACCCAAAGGACTATAAATCATGCTGCTATAAAGACACATGCACACGTATGTTTATTGCGGCATTATTCACGATAGCAAAGACTTGGAACCAACCCAAATGTCCAACAACGATAGACTGGATTAAGAAAATGTGGCACATATACACCATGGAATACTATGCAGCCCTAAAAAATGATGAGTTCATGTCCTTTGTAGGGACATGGATGAAACTGGAAATCATCATTCTCAGTAAACTATTGCAAGAACAAAAAACCAAACACCGCATATTCTCACTCATAGGTGGGAACTGAACAATGAGATCACATGGACAGAGGAAGGGGAATATCACACCCTGGGGACTGTTGTCGGGTGGGGGGAGGGGGGAGGGATAGCACTGGGAGATGTACCTAATGCTAGATGATAAGATAGTGGGTGCAGCGCACCAGCATGGCACATGTATACATATGTAACTAACCTGCACAACGTGCACATGTACCCTAAAACTTAAAGTATAATGATAAATAAATAAATAAATAAATAAATAAATAAATAAAAGAAAAAAAAAGAAGCAATTGTTCATTAAAAGCCAGAGAAACCCTGCCTGGGCAACACAGTGAGACCTCATCTCTACAAAAATGAAAACAAAAAAATGTAGTCAGGCACGGTGGCTTGTGCATGTAGTTCCAGCCACTCGGGAGGCTGAGGTGGGAGGACGGCTTTAGCCTGGGAGCCAGAAGTTGCAGTGAGCTGAAATTGCATCACTGCACTCCAGCCTGGGTGACACACTGAGACTCTGTCGCAAACAAACAAACAAACCAAGAAGAGGGAGAATTCACAATTTCACAAGATCTTACACTACGTATTCAGCTCTCCACACGGAAAAACTAGGATGAAGCAGAGGGCCCGCTCACTGTCTTACTGACAATGAAATCTCAATTCAGAGATTTTCAGATGACTCGGGCCAGGGTTTCATGATTTGTGATTAACAAACCATGCGAAGCAGATGATCTCTGTGTCCCACGCATTCTATGCAACAGGATCAGAGTATGAAAGAAACGGAATGCAAAATGGTTTTAAAATCTCTGACTTAAACTCACTATTTTCATAAGAACCAAAGATAGGTTTAGAAGGGAAAGGACTCACTCAGAATCTCGCCAAGGCTGTAAGAGCTGGTATTAGAACCCGCATGAGTGCTTCAGCATTTTTCACACCAAGTGATGGGTGTTACAAACGTGTTATGTATTGATTAAAAGCAGACCTTTACAAAAGCATCTGAAAATTGTGAGCTACTGGTTTAAGGATTTACACTCAAAACTTTTAATTCAACATAGCTTTGACTCAGTTTGTTTCCCTACCTGACAGTCTATCAGTCGGGTGCTGGGGCCTGAACTACGTTTCAAATAACCTTTATATAAGAACTCTGTTACTAAAGAGGCAGTATTGTTACCTCTCCGTTATTAAAAATATAATGCTGGGTCGGGCACGGTGGCTCTCGCCTGTAATCCCGGCAATTTCAATGGTCGAGGCAGGTGGATCACCTGAGGTCAGGAGTTCGGGAACAACCTGTGCAACATAACGAAACCCTGTCTCTACTAAAAATACAACAATTAGCTGGGCGCGGCGGAGCATGCCTGTAAGCCCGGCTCCGCCAGAGGCTCAGGCAGGAGAATCACTTGAACCCTGGAGACAGAATTTCCAGTGAGCCGAAATGGCACCACTGCACTCCAGCCTGGTCTTCAGAGCGAGACTCCGTCTCAAAAACATAGTAACAATTACAATATGATACTGTGGAAACAGACACCCTACAATGTGCATGCCTAATGGATTGCCTACCTTCTTCAGGCGTTTTCACCTCCTCTGGATTTGGCGGGTCCATCTCCTGCCCATCAGGACCATCTTCACACTCACACCCAGTCTGTGGGTGACCCTGTTCCTGGCTATGAGCTTCAGGCTTCGGCCCTTAAAAATAAAAAATACGTATCAATTTAAGCAGTAAAACATAAAGTATGAATAAGAAAATAATATTCATGCTCTCGGTATTATTATATAAAAGCTTTAGCTAACGTAATAATAAATGTGTTGATAAGAATCCCAGGAACATTATTTCAGGAGTCCATTAGCAGAAAACAGGAAAACAAGGTGTTCCAAATAATACCCTCTTCCTTTCCGAAGACTGCCCTCAGACAACTTTGCTGCCTCCTTTGCACTTCTCTCTTATTCTACTTCTGATTGTCCTTCTCGTATTAAATGACTCAAGGCTCAAATCCCGTCTCTCACAGCACTTACACTCCTAGCGCTTAGACTCTTACATGGCATGAGTAGCCACCAATAAACGCTGAGTGAGAAAACTCTTTTAAAAATACATGAAAAAGCCCAAACTGCAGAATATTCTGCAAACCAACTGGTCTATCCTCTCCAAAAATGTCCGTATCGTGAATGACAAGAAAAATTAAGGAAACATTACAGGTTAAAGGAAACTAAAAACACCTGAAAAGCACATGCAAGGTGTGATTCTGAACTGGACTCTGGATCAGAAAAAGAAATCCTATCAATAAAATTATCTGGGCCGGGCGTGGGGTCTCACGCCTGCAATCCAAACATTTTGGGATGCCAAGGTGGGCAGAGCAGGTGAGGCCAGAAGTTCAAGACCGCAGTGGCCGGCGCCTGTAGTCCCAGCTACACGGGAGGCTGAGGCATGAGAATCCCTAGAACCTGGGAGGTGTAGGTTGCAGTGAGCCGAGATCGCACTACTGCACTCCCACCTGGCCCACAGAGAGAGACTCCGTCTCAACAAAGAAAAAAAAAAGGAAAAAAGAAATTTTCTGGGGAACTGGCAAAATTTGAGTATGCACTCTGTATTAAATGACTCCATTTTCTCATTGTTAAATTTCCTGATTTTTATCTTTGTGCAGTGATGATCCAAGAAATGACTTTCTCTTTGTTCTGACGATATACACACCCTCAAGTACATAGGGTAAAGGACCATAATCCCTGAAACTTTATCGAGACAATTCACCATTAATAACAGTAAACATATATCCGTATGTGTGTGTGTGTGTGTGTGTGTGAGTGTGTGGGCAGCACGGTAAGAGACGGAGGGAAGAGATGTGAAACCTATGAAGCGAAAGCTACTAACAATTGGTGAATCCAGATGAACAGTATATGAGTTCATTGTACTATTCTTGCAAATTTTCTATGAATGTTATGTCTTGAAGATACATACAGTAAAAATTTAAAAGAATATATGATAACTGCACTGAACTTTAGGAAGAAAGGAATTTCCAATTGTGGTAAAAAATACAGATATCCTAAAATTTACCATCTTAACTATTTTTAAGTGGTACAGTTCACTAAGGAGTTACGTTTGCAACATTACCAGCCACTAGGCACAAAAACTTTGCATCTGTGTTTTCCTATACCATGAAAACTTTATTTATTTAATGAATTTATTTATGTGTTTATTTATTTATTCATTTATTTATTTATTAGCAATGAGGTCTCACTGTGTTTCCCAGGCTGGGCTTGAACTCCAGGACTCAAGCAATCCTCTCACCTCGGCCTCCCAAGTAGCTGGGACTATGAGTGCATGGCATTCAGCCCAGCTTTAGACCTTTCTCCTAAATGACAATCTAAGGATAAACCACAGGACATGTATAATGCTTATATTCAGCCCTAGAGTACCAACAGCAGTGTGCGTCAGCTGAGAAATCTGAAGTCTACCACGTGGGTAGGATTTCAGTTACAATTACAATGTCAGTTTCTGAAGGATTGATTAGCTGGATGGATTTGAGGACTATGGAAATCTTACAGTCACGACACCCATTACCTATTGGGGTAAAGAGAAACTTCACTTTGTTCAAATAAAGTTATATTTAGGTCCGAAGGTCCTAAAGGTAATATTCCATAAATGAACCCCGTGAAGAACAAAGCACCAAATATAACATTGTTTGTGAATCACAGAAAATATACTGTCCCCCGCACTGAGAATAAGGGAGTGGGCGGACAGCAATTAATGGGCATTGTTGTCAGTCAGATTCTAGGAACTTTTAACAGTGCATCCCTGGAATAATCCATGACCTCCGTTACATAAATGCTTCCTTTCAAAACATTTTATCTGGGAGAAATTATTTCCATCTCACGTTAATCTCAGGATAATTCCGTTTTTGCTTTTCTAACCATAAAAGGATTTAATCACCTCCTAAAGGCCGCTGAGAAAAATCACTAAACCAGCTACCTGTATGGCAGTATCCTCATTTATCCAGCTTTTATCAAACGTACCATATAAAAATATCAATCAAAGGAAACGGGGGCCAACATTCAGCGACTCGGTTTTTGGAGCTGCTCCTGCTCCTAAGCTACCTTACAGTAAAGCCTTTTGAGTTTTAAGCATTTTCAGCAAAATCACTTCCTTCTTTACAGCAACATACATGATAGGAAGACACAAACCTTGGAACACAGTACAAATGTTGTATTCACCAGTCAAGGGTTCTTGGATAACACACAACCCTGGCACCTCCATTCTCTCATTCATAAAGTCGAGAACTTTTATCATAGTGAGGGATTTGCCTAAGCTAAGCTGCAAACTACATAGCCTCCTCGCTTTTCCACTCAATTTCAGGCATTCTTTCCATTGTTTTCTTTCCTCCTCTTCCTCCTATGTGACAATGCCTAACACACACACACACACACGTGCACACACACACACACGAACACACACACACGCACACACCAGCAGACGTTCTTCTTCCCTTTCCCTCACCTTGACCTGCAGATGCTCCCTCATCCTGTCCCTCCTGAGCAGCTGCAGGATCCTGACGTTGAGTTGCTGGTTCCCCTTCTTCAGGTGTTGCTGGTTCCACTTCATCACTGAACTGCTCGGGCTGGGGAATACGTGTGGGTGTGCAAATAAAAAATAAGTTTCGTTATTGATACAAAATTTTACATATATACACAGAATACATAGCTATTTCTGGTCCTAACTAAGCCTAAAGACATTTCTCCAACTCTATGCTCTATGCCCAATAAGGTTACTCCACCCACAGGGAGGATACTGTGAGAAAAGTGACGCACGAGGACTTTGGAGGCTATTATACTCTGTGTTGGAATACATGTGTACAATCTGTCATTAACAAACAAAGCCGGAGAAAGAAGTCATGGGCAAAAGCTGAAGAACACGAGAGGAAAAAAAAAATCCTCCAGAATCAATGTTTCCTTCATGAGATGCCATCCTCATTTTTTATGAGCAGGAAAGACCTTTATCAGCATTTCCACACTAATGCAACAACGCTATCACAAAAATTAATTTCTACTAATAGAAAACATCGAATTAACGTTTAAGCACTCACCCGCATAGGCCCAATCATTTCAGGAGGCTCTACGTAGCGTCTTGGTCTAGGCCGATAGGTCGATCTTCCTCGCCAACTCATATTTCACACTGAAAACAGACAACCGTGATTGGGAACGTGCGCTCCACAGGGCTGCTATATTCGATCACTTCCATCGATAAATGTAAACTTGCCGTTTTACTTTTGAAAATACTCTCAAGATAAGTCCCAGAGTTAAGCATACGTGTGTACGCTGTCTGAGTGCCTACAAAGCCACTTCTGCTGGCCAGGCTGGCAGAGCAATCATCTTAAGGCGTGTGGCAAAAGGCAGAGGACATTTTTTTCTAAATTTCTTTTGGACACGCGGTCTCGCTGTGTTGCTCAGGCTGGAGTGCAGCGGCGTGATCACAGCTCACTGCAGCCTCGACCTCCCGCTCAAGGGATCCTCCCACCTCAGTGTCCCCAGTAACTGGGACTACGTAGGCGAGCGCCACTGCGCCCCGCAGACAGAGGTCATTTCTGATGAGGTTTAGTTTCACAAGTGCACTCCCCACGAAAACCCTAGTGAATCACAATTCTCGTGATTGCTGCTTTGGGCACACTCCCACTTCCTAGAGCCATTCACCCCCCCTCACAACAAGTTTGGTTGGACCGCACTGCCTCGCCCACTCCTTCCCACTGTTTTCGGACCTTCCATGGCGGAGGTGAGACCTTGCAGTGCTTCTCACTCGGGCGCTCCGCACTCCACACCGCTGGGGGGGGGCTCGCCAGGCCCCAGCCTTCCCAGGTGCCAGGCCCCTTCTTCACCGCCTGCCTCGCCCCCGCCGGGGGCCCCATTCAGGGAATCTGCCCTGTGTCGTCGGGGATCCCGGCACCTCGGGACTTCCATCCCCCCAACAGCACTCACCCCGTCTTCACCTGAGCCCCTGACCGCCTCCCCTCCACGGCCCACCTTCCTCCCCGTCCAGGCCCCTTCACGACCACGAAGCCGCCGGTGGCCTCGCAGCCTGTGAAGGGAAGGAGGACGACCTCGTGGCCCTTCTCCCTCGGAGGCCACAGACCAGGAAGCGGGACCCGCCTGACCCACCCGAGGCCCTCTCCACCCTCACTCACACTTCAGCCCCCGGGATGACTGGCCTGCACACCTACCAGATGAATCTCAGTAGAGGAAAAAGAGTCCGGACGGCAGGAACCACACAGCACTGCCTCACAGCTCCCTGGCGTTCTTCACGTGGGCGAAGGGGCCGGGCAGAAGACGCCCAGTGAACATGCGCACTGAGGCGGGAGCCCAGGGAGCATGCGCGGCTGTGGGCTGGGGAGGGCTGCCGTTCCCAGCGCCACGCCCCAAACCCTCCATGCCCATCCTCATTGAGGATAAGGGAATCCCACCTCCCTCTGCTGTTTCCTATGCCTCTGGGACTCAAGTAGTGCTCCCCTCAAAACTCACCCCATCTTCAACTGAACCCCACCCCCAACCCAGGGCCCTCTCTTGCCCCGGACCCACCATGGGGACAAGGACCACTGTGACTGGCTGGGAAGACAGGTAAACCACCTGCGAAAACAGAAATAGCAACCTATCCCAAAAGGAAATTGTTCAATGTGAACAAGTCAGAGAAAGAGACTGAAAGAAAAATGAATAGAATCGCTAGGACCCGTAAGAAAATGCTAAAACGATATCTATCATTTGTAGCATCAGAATCGCAGAGGGTGAAGTGACAGTATTAGGGAAACAGGACAGCCAGAGTGACACCACGTGAAAATATACTCCGTCTTGAAAGCAGCAAGATACATAGTCCTACCAGTCACAACCCATGGTCCTAAGATGTTTGGAGTTGAGAAAACAGATGAAAGGTACCTCCAAGGACATGCTCCCACAGCAGCGGAAAGTGCACGGTTCCCAACACCCATTAACAATATATGCTTTCAACAGAATTATGCTTTCATGGACTTACACACTGGTAAGTCAAGGACAGTTTTCTTTAAATCAATAGAATGATAAAAGTCATCATGCTCTTAGCCCACCCGCACAAAGGCACAGATTAACTTTAGTCTTTATATAGATAAGACCCCTATATAAGAAAAACCAGACCAGGCCAAGGCTCACGCCTGTAATCCTAGTATTTTGGGAGGCTGAGCTGGCCAGATCACCTGAGCTCAGGACTTCGAGACCAGCCTAAGCAACATCAGAAAATCTCATCACTACAAAAAACAAACAAAAAACCATCGAAAAATTAGCTGGGCATGGTGGCATGTACCTATACTCACAGCTCCTCAGGAGGCTGAGGTGGGAGGCGCGCTTGAGCCCAGGAGGTCAAGGCTGCAGCGAGCTCTGATAACACCACCGCACTCCAGCCTCGGTGACAGAGTGAGACGCTGTCTCAAGTTTTAATAATCGAACCTAAAAACGTACAAATTTATCAATCGAATTCACTATATTAACACATGAATGGGAAAAAACGCTGTGGTAATCGAAATAGATGCACTGTTTGATGAAAATCAACATATATTCAAATGAATACTCTCAGCAAATTTGGAACAGAATGCAATGACTCACTCTGATAAAGTCCGTCTACAAAAAAAGGAGAGTGAATAGGATGGCGAAATGTTGAAATTTTTCGGTTTCTCATCAGGGAGAAGACAAGGATGTCCACTGTCACCATTGTAACGGGTGGGTCTGCACAATGCCATAAAATCAGAAAAGGAAATAAAACTCTTTACAATGCCAACGACGGGCCCGCCACGGTGGCCCACGCCAGTAATCCCAGCACTGTGGGAGGTGAGGTGGGTGCATCACTTGCACTCAAAAGTTCAACAACAGCCCGGGAAACATGGCAAAACCCCGTCTCTACAAAAAAATACAAAAGGGAAAAGAAAAAAATATGGCGGAAACAAAACTGCTCTTATTCCAGGATGATATGTTTCTGTATATTGAAGACTGAAAACGACCTAGAAGTAAACTTTAGAATTCACAAGCATATTTCACAAGGCCGCTGGATAGAAAACCAATATGTAAGAATTATGTCTCCACCGGGCACGGAGGCTCATGCCTGTAATCCCAGCACTTTGGGAGGCCAAGGCAGGTGAATCACGAGGTCAGGAGTTCAAGAGCACCCCGGCCAAGATGGCGAAAGCCCATCTCTAGTAAAAACACAAAACTTAGCCAGGCGTGCTGGTGGGTGCCTATAATCCCAGCTACTCGGGAGGCTGAGGCAGACAATTGCTTGAATCCGGGAGGCGGGGTTGCAGTGAGCAGAGATCGCGCCACTGCACTCCAGCCTGGGCGACAGAGCAAGACTCCGTCTCAAAAGAGGACAAAGAAAAAAAGAAAAAAAAAGAACGATGTCTCTACATACCAGCTCAGAGAGTTACAATACACGATTTCAAAGAATGATACATATTTCACAGCATCAAAAAGCTAGAAATAAACTTCACAAAAGATGCGCAAGACTTCTTTGCAGAAGGCTGTAAAGCTTTATTGGGAGAATTTTAATGAACAAATTTCCAACATAGGAGCAGCCTGCATCATTTCAACGTGTCTTCTTTTAACACTGTGATTGCTTTTCACCTGTAACAGAAACACAACGATTGGGAACATGACTTAGCAACAGATTATTCAGATGACCCTAAAGGCATACAAAGCACACTACAGTTTGGGTTTTATTAAATGGACTAAAAACAGAACCCTATGGGAGATCCCGTGTCTTACACGCAATTGAACCTCTGCATTAACTTTGAGCGTAGACCTGCAGAATTTAAAAGGAATTTCCTCCCTGAACATCAAGTGCTTCCTTTCAAGTCACAAGCACTTACAATTAACAGTCAGCAATTTGGAAAACACATGCGTAAAGCATACTTCAGTTGATTACTCAGGAAGTACTAGAGTCATGGTCTTTCAACTTCAAATCTTATCAATTCATGTCTCTAAAGGTGAAACTTACATGTAACATTTGATATGATTAGAGATGATTATATCGTATGTGTGTCTACAGTCTTATTAGAAATAGTGGCTCATGAAGACTGACAGTGGGGCAGGGAGCATGCATAGCACAGGCATCTTACTCACACCCATGCTGAGCATCACTGACCTACATGCCACAGATGATACGAACTAAACGGTCTCTCGCCATTTGATATTTATTTCAGTCACTCAAGGTTTCCGTGGGGAAAGTTTTAAGAAGCAATTGTACCATTTGACCCAGCCATCCCATTACTGGGTATATACCCAAAGGACTATAAATCATGCTGCTATAAAGACACATGCACACGTATGTTTATTGCGGCATTATTCACGATAGCAAAGACTTGGAACCAACCCAAATGTCCAACAACGATAGACTGGATTAAGAAAATGTGGCACATATACACCATGGAATACTATGCAGCCCTAAAAAATGATGAGTTCATGTCCTTTGTAGGGACATGGATGAAACTGGAAATCATCATTCTCAGTAAACTATTGCAAGAACAAAAAACCAAACACCGCATATTCTCACTCATAGGTGGGAACTGAACAATGAGATCACATGGACAGAGGAAGGGGAATATCACACCCTGGGGACTGTTGTCGGGTGGGGGGAGGGGGGAGGGATAGCACTGGGAGATGTACCTAATGCTAGATGATGAGATAGTGGGTGCAGCGCACCAGCATGGCACATGTATACATATGTAACTAACCTGCACAACGTGCACATGTACCCTAAAACTTAAAGTATAATGATAAATAAATAATAAATAAATAAATAAATAAATAAAAGAAAAAAAAAGAAGCAATTGTTCATTAAAAGCCAGAGAAACCCTGCCTGGGCAACACAGTGAGACCTCATCTCTACAAAAATGAAAACAAAAAAATGTAGTCAGGCACGGTGGCTTGTGCATGTAGTTCCAGCCACTCGGGAGGCTGAGGTGGGAGGACGGCTTTAGCCTGGGAGCCAGAAGTTGCAGTGAGCTGAAATTGCATCACTGCACTCCAGCCTGGGTGACACACTGAGACTCTGTCGCAAACAAACAAACAAACCAAGAAGAGGGAGAATTCACAATTTCACAAGATCTTACACTACGTATTCAGCTCTCCACACGGAAAAACTAGGATGAAGCAGAGGGCCGGCTCACTGTCTTACTGACAATGAAATCTCAATTCAGAGATTTTCAGATGACTCGGGCCAGGGTTTCATGATTTGTGATTAACAAACCATGCGAAGCAGATGATCTCTGTGTCCCACGCATTCTATGCAACAGGATCAGAGTATGAAAGAAACGGAATGCAAAATGGTTTTAAAATCTCTGACTTAAACTCACTATTTTCATAAGAACCAAAGATAGGTTTAGAAGGGAAAGGACTCACTCAGAATCTCGCCAAGGCTGTAAGAGCTGGTATTAGAACCCGCATGAGTGCTTCAGCATTTTTCACACCAAGTGATGGGTGTTACAAACGTGTTATGTATTGATTAAAAGCAGACCTTTACAAAAGCATCTGAAAATTGTGAGCTACTGGTTTAAGGATTTACACTCAAAACTTTTAATTCAACATAGCTTTGACTCAGTTTGTTTCCCTACCTGACAGTCTATCAGTCGGGTGCTGGGGCCTGAACTACGTTTCAAATAACCTTTATATAAGAACTCTGTTACTAAAGAGGCAGTATTGTTACCTCTCCGTTATTAAAAATATAATGCTGGGTCGGGCACGGTGGCTCTCGCCTGTAATCCCGGCAATTTCAATGGTCGAGGCAGGTGGATCACCTGAGGTCAGGAGTTCGGGAACAACCTGTGCAACATAACGAAACCCTGTCTCTACTAAAAATACAACAATTAGCTGGGCGCGGCGGAGCATGCCTGTAAGCCCGGCTCCGCCAGAGGCTCAGGCAGGAGAATCACTTGAACCCTGGAGACAGAATTTCCAGTGAGCCGAAATGGCACCACTGCACTCCAGCCTGGTCTTCAGAGCGAGACTCCGTCTCAAAAACATAGTAACAATTACAATATGATACTGTGGAAACAGACACCCTACAATGTGCATGCCTAATGGATTGCCTACCTTCTTCAGGCGTTTTCACCTCCTCTGGATTTGGCGGGTCCATCTCCTGCCCATCAGGACCATCTTCACACTCACACCCAGTCTGTGGGTGACCCTGTTCCTGGCTATGAGCTTCAGGCTTCGGCCCTTAAAAATAAAAAATACGTATCAATTTAAGCAGTAAAACATAAAGTATGAATAAGAAAATAATATTCATGCTCTCGGTATTATTATATAAAAGCTTTAGCTAACGTAATAATAAATGTGTTGATAAGAATCCCAGGAACATTATTTCAGGAGTCCATTAGCAGAAAACAGGAAAACAAGGTGTTCCAAATAATACCCTCTTCCTTTCCGAAGACTGCCCTCAGACAACTTTGCTGCCTCCTTTGCACTTCTCTCTTATTCTACTTCTGATTGTCCTTCTCGTATTAAATGACTCAAGGCTCAAATCCCGTCTCTCACAGCACTTACACTCCTAGCGCTTAGACTCTTACATGGCATGAGTAGCCACCAATAAACGCTGAGTGAGAAAACTCTTTTAAAAATACATGAAAAAGCCCAAACTGCAGAATATTCTGCAAACCAACTGGTCTATCCTCTCCAAAAATGTCCGTATCGTGAATGACAAGAAAAATTAAGGAAACATTACAGGTTAAAGGAAACTAAAAACACCTGAAAAGCACATGCAAGGTGTGATTCTGAACTGGACTCTGGATCAGAAAAAGAAATCCTATCAATAAAATTATCTGGGCCGGGCGTGGGGTCTCACGCCTGCAATCCAAACATTTTGGGATGCCAAGGTGGGCAGAGCAGGTGAGGCCAGAAGTTCAAGACCGCAGTGGCCGGCGCCTGTAGTCCCAGCTACACGGGAGGCTGAGGCATGAGAATCCCTAGAACCTGGGAGGTGTAGGTTGCAGTGAGCCGAGATCGCACTACTGCACTCCCACCTGGCCCACAGAGAGAGACTCCGTCTCAACAAAGAAAAAAAAAAGGAAAAAAGAAATTTTCTGGGGAACTGGCAAAATTTGAGTATGCACTCTGTATTAAATGACTCCATTTTCTCATTGTTAAATTTCCTGATTTTTATCTTTGTGCAGTGATGATCCAAGAAATGACTTTCTCTTTGTTCTGACGATATACACACCCTCAAGTACATAGGGTAAAGGACCATAATCCCTGAAACTTTATCGAGACAATTCACCATTAATAACAGTAAACATATATCCGTATGTGTGTGTGTGTGTGTGTGTGTGAGTGTGTGGGCAGCACGGTAAGAGACGGAGGGAAGAGATGTGAAACCTATGAAGCGAAAGCTACTAACAATTGGTGAATCCAGATGAACAGTATATGAGTTCATTGTACTATTCTTGCAAATTTTCTATGAATGTTATGTCTTGAAGATACATACAGTAAAAATTTAAAAGAATATATGATAACTGCACTGAACTTTAGGAAGAAAGGAATTTCCAATTGTGGTAAAAAATACAGATATCCTAAAATTTACCATCTTAACTATTTTTAAGTGGTACAGTTCACTAAGGAGTTACGTTTGCAACATTACCAGCCACTAGGCACAAAAACTTTGCATCTGTGTTTTCCTATACCATGAAAACTTTATTTATTTAATGAATTTATTTATGTGTTTATTTATTTATTCATTTATTTATTTATTAGCAATGAGGTCTCACTGTGTTTCCCAGGCTGGGCTTGAACTCCAGGACTCAAGCAATCCTCTCACCTCGGCCTCCCAAGTAGCTGGGACTATGAGTGCATGGCATTCAGCCCAGCTTTAGACCTTTCTCCTAAATGACAATCTAAGGATAAACCACAGGACATGTATAATGCTTATATTCAGCCCTAGAGTACCAACAGCAGTGTGCGTCAGCTGAGAAATCTGAAGTCTACCACGTGGGTAGGATTTCAGTTACAATTACAATGTCAGTTTCTGAAGGATTGATTAGCTGGATGGATTTGAGGACTATGGAAATCTTACAGTCACGACACCCATTACCTATTGGGGTAAAGAGAAACTTCACTTTGTTCAAATAAAGTTATATTTAGGTCCGAAGGTCCTAAAGGTAATATTCCATAAATGAACCCCGTGAAGAACAAAGCACCAAATATAACATTGTTTGTGAATCACAGAAAATATACTGTCCCCCGCACTGAGAATAAGGGAGTGGGCGGACAGCAATTAATGGGCATTGTTGTCAGTCAGATTCTAGGAACTTTTAACAGTGCATCCCTGGAATAATCCATGACCTCCGTTACATAAATGCTTCCTTTCAAAACATTTTATCTCGGAGAAATTATTTCCATCTCACGTTAATCTCAGGATAATTCCGTTTTTGCTTTTCTAACCATAAAAGGATTTAATCACCTCCTAAAGGCCGCTGAGAAAAATCACTAAACCAGCTACCTGTATGGCAGTATCCTCATTTATCCAGCTTTTATCAAACGTACCATATAAAAATATCAATCAAAGGAAACGGGGGCCAACATTCAGCGACTCGGTTTTTGGAGCTGCTCCTGCTCCTCTGAACTGGGTCTATTCTTGGGTCAGTACTAAGCTACCTTACAGTAAAGCCTTTTGAGTTTTAAGCATTTTCAGCAAAATCACTTCCTTCTTTCCAGCAACATACATGATAGGAAGACACAAACCTTAGAACACAGTACAAATGTTGTATTCACCAGTCAAGGGTTCTTGGATAACACACAACCCTGGCACCTCCATTCTCTCATTCATAAAGTCGAGAACTTTTATCATAGTGAGGGATTTGCCTAAGCTAAGCTGCAAACTACATAGCCTCCTCGCTTTTCCAGTCAATTTCAGGCATTCTTTCCATTGTTTTCTTTCCTCCTCTTCCTCCTATGTGACAATGCCTAACACACACACACGTGCACACACACACACGAACACACACACACGCACACACCAGCAGACGTTCTTCTTCCCTTTCCCTCACCTTGACCTGCAGATGCTCCCTCATCCTCTCCCTTCTGAGCAGCTGCAGGATCCTGACATTGAGTTGCTGGTTCCCCTTCTTCAGGTGTTGCTGGTTCCACTTCATCACTGAACTGCTCGGGCTGGGGAATACGTGTGGGTGTGCAAATAAAAAATAAGTTTCGTTATTGATACAAAATTTTACATATATACACAGAATACATAGCTATTTCTGGTCCTAACTAAGCCTAAAGACATTTCTCCAACTCTATGCTCTATGCCCAATAAGGTTACTCCACCCACAGGGAGGTTACTGTGAGAAAAGTGACGCACGAGGACTTTGGGGGCTATTATACTCTGTGTTGGAATACATGTGTACAATCTGTCATTAACAAACAAAGCCGGAGAAAGAAGTCATGGGCAAAAGCTGAAGAACACGAGAGGAAAAAAAAAATCCTCCAGAATCAATGTTTCCTTCATGAGATGCCATCCTCATTTTTTATGAGCAGGAAAGACCTTTATCAGCATTTCCACACTAATGCAACGACGCTATCACAAAAATTAATTTCTACTAATAGAAAACATCGAATTAACGTTTAAGCACTCACCCGCATAGGCCCAATCATTTCAGGAGGCTGTACATAGCGCCTTGGTCTAGGCCAATAATAGGTCGATCTTCCTCGCCAACTCATATTTCACACTGAAAACAGACAACCGTGATTGGGAACGTGCGCTCCAGAGGGCTGCTATATTCGATCACTTCCATGGATAAATGTTAACTTGCCGTTTTACTTTTGAAAATACTCTCAAAATAAGTCCCAGAGTTAAGCATACGTGTGTACGCTGTCTGAGTGCCTACAAAGCCACTTCTGCTGGCCAGGCTGGCAGAGCAATCATCTTAAGGCGTGTGGCAAAAGGCAGAGGACATTTTTTTCTAAATTTCTTTTGGACACGCGGTCTCGCTGTGTTGCTCAGGCTGGAGTGCAGCGGCGTGATCACAGCTCACTGCAGCCTCGACCTCCCGCTCAAGGGATCCTCCCACCTCAGTGTCCCCAGTAACTGGGAATACGTAGGCGAGCGCCACTGCGCCCCGCAGACAGAGGTCATTTCTGATGAGGTTTAGTTTCACAAGTGCACTCCCCACGAAAACCCTAGTGAATCACAATTCTCGTGATTGCTGCTTTGGGCACACTCCCACTTCCTAGAGCCATTCACCCCCACTCACAACAAGTTTGGTTGGACCGCACTGCCTCGCCCACTCCTTCCCACTGTTTTCGGACCTTCCATGGCGGAGGTGAGACCTTGCAGTGCTTCTCACTCGGGCGCTCCGCACTCCACACCGCTGAGGGGGCGCTCGCCAGGCCGCAGCCTTCCCAGGTGCCAGGCCCCTTCTTCACCGCCCGCCTCGCCCCCGCCGGGGGCCCCATTCAGGGAATCTGCCCTGTGTCGTCGGGGATCCCGGCACCTCGGGACTTCCATCCCCCCAACAGCACTCACCCCGTCTTCACCTGAGCCCCTGACCGCCTCCCCTCCACGGCCCACCTTCCTCCCCGTCCAGGCCCCTTCACGACCACGAAGCCGCCGGTGGCCTCGCAGCCTGTGAAGGGAAGGAGGACGACCTCGTGGCCCTTCTCCCTCGGAGGCCACAGACCAGGAAGCGGGACCCGCCTGACCCACCCGAGGCCCTCTCCACCCTCACTCACACTTCAGCCCCCGGGATGACTGGCCTGCACACCTACCAGATGAATCTCAGTAGAGGAAAAAGAGTCCGGACGGCAGGAACCACACAGCACTGCCTCACAGCTCCCTGGCGTTCTTCACGTGGGCGAAGGGGCCGGGCAGAAGACGCCCAGTGAACATGCGCACTGAGGCGGGAGCCCAGGGAGCATGCGCGGCTGTGGGCTGGGGAGGGCTGCCGTTCCCAGCGCCACGCCCCAAACCCTCCATGCCCATCCTCATTGAGGATAAGGGAATCCCACCTCCCTCTGCTGTTTCCTATGCCTCTGGGACTCAAGTAGTGCTCCCCTCAAAACTCACCCCATCTTCAACTGAACCCCACCCCCAACCCAGGGCCCTCTCTTGCCCCGGACCCACCATGGGGACAAGGACCACTGTGACTGGCTGGGAAGACAGGTAAACCACCTGCGAAAACAGAAATAGCAACCTATCCCAAAAGGAAATTGTTCAATGTGAACAAGTCAGAGAAAGAGACTGAAAGAAAAATGAATAGAATCGCTAGGACCCGTAAGAAAATGCTAAAACGATATCTATCATTTGTAGCATCAGAATCGCAGAGGGTGAAGTGACAGTATTAGGGAAACAGGACAGCCAGAGTGACACCACGTGAAAATATACTCCGTCTTGAAAGCAGCAAGATACATAGTCCTACCAGTCACAACCCATGGTCCTAAGATGTTTGGAGTTGAGAAAACAGATGAAAGGTACCTCCAAGGACATGCTCCCACAGCAGCGGAAAGTGCACGGTTCCCAACACCCATTAACAATATATGCTTTCAACAGAATTATGCTTTCATGGACTTACACACTGGTAAGTCAAGGACAGTTTTCTTTAAATCAATAGAATGATAAAAGTCATCATGCTCTTAGCCCACCCGCACAAAGGCACAGATTAACTTTAGTCTTTATATAGATAAGACCCCTATATAAGAAAAACCAGACCAGGCCAAGGCTCACGCCTGTAATCCTAGTATTTTGGGAGGCTGAGCTGGCCAGATCACCTGAGCTCAGGACTTCGAGACCAGCCTAAGCAACATCAGAAAATCTCATCACTACAAAAAACAAACAAAAAACCATCGAAAAATTAGCTGGGCATGGTGGCATGTACCTATACTCACAGCTCCTCAGGAGGCTGAGGTGGGAGGCGCGCTTGAGCCCAGGAGGTCAAGGCTGCAGCGAGCTCTGATAACACCACCGCACTCCAGCCTCGGTGACAGAGTGAGACGCTGTCTCAAGTTTTAATAATCGAACCTAAAAACGTACAAATTTATCAATCGAATTCACTATATTAACACATGAATGGGAAAAAACGCTGTGGTAATCGAAATAGATGCACTGTTTGATGAAAATCAACATATATTCAAATGAATACTCTCAGCAAATTTGGAACAGAATGCAATGACTCACTCTGATAAAGTCCGTCTACAAAAAAAGGAGAGTGAATAGGATGGCGAAATGTTGAAATTTTTCGGTTTCTCATCAGGGAGAAGACAAGGATGTCCACTGTCACCATTGTAACGGGTGGGTCTGCACAATGCCATAAAATCAGAAAAGGAAATAAAACTCTTTACAATGCCAACGACGGGCCCGCCACGGTGGCCCACGCCAGTAATCCCAGCACTGTGGGAGGTGAGGTGGGTGCATCACTTGCACTCAAAAGTTCAACAACAGCCCGGGAAACATGGCAAAACCCCGTCTCTACAAAAAAATACAAAAGGGAAAAGAAAAAAATATGGCGGAAACAAAACTGCTCTTATTCCAGGATGATATGTTTCTGTATATTGAAGACTGAAAACGACCTAGAAGTAAACTTTAGAATTCACAAGCATATTTCACAAGGCCGCTGGATAGAAAACCAATATGTAAGAATTATGTCTCCACCGGGCACGGAGGCTCATGCCTGTAATCCCAGCACTTTGGGAGGCCAAGGCAGGTGAATCACGAGGTCAGGAGTTCAAGAGCACCCCGGCCAAGATGGCGAAAGCCCATCTCTAGTAAAAACACAAAACTTAGCCAGGCGTGCTGGTGGGTGCCTATAATCCCAGCTACTCGGGAGGCTGAGGCAGACAATTGCTTGAATCCGGGAGGCGGGGTTGCAGTGAGCAGAGATCGCGCCACTGCACTCCAGCCTGGGCGACAGAGCAAGACTCCGTCTCAAAAGAGGACAAAGAAAAAAAGAAAAAAAAAGAACGATGTCTCTACATACCAGCTCAGAGAGTTACAATACACGATTTCAAAGAATGATACATATTTCACAGCATCAAAAAGCTAGAAATAAACTTCACAAAAGATGCGCAAGACTTCTTTGCAGAAGGCTGTAAAGCTTTATTGGGAGAATTTTAATGAACAAATTTCCAACATAGGAGCAGCCTGCATCATTTCAACGTGTCTTCTTTTAACACTGTGATTGCTTTTCACCTGTAACAGAAACACAACGATTGGGAACATGACTTAGCAACAGATTATTCAGATGACCCTAAAGGCATACAAAGCACACTACAGTTTGGGTTTTATTAAATGGACTAAAAACAGAACCCTATGGGAGATCCCGTGTCTTACACGCAATTGAACCTCTGCATTAACTTTGAGCGTAGACCTGCAGAATTTAAAAGGAATTTCCTCCCTGAACATCAAGTGCTTCCTTTCAAGTCACAAGCACTTACAATTAACAGTCAGCAATTTGGAAAACACATGCGTAAAGCATACTTCAGTTGATTACTCAGGAAGTACTAGAGTCATGGTCTTTCAACTTCAAATCTTATCAATTCATGTCTCTAAAGGTGAAACTTACATGTAACATTTGATATGATTAGAGATGATTATATCGTATGTGTGTCTACAGTCTTATTAGAAATAGTGGCTCATGAAGACTGACAGTGGGGCAGGGAGCATGCATAGCACAGGCATCTTACTCACACCCATGCTGAGCATCACTGACCTACATGCCACAGATGATACGAACTAAACGGTCTCTCGCCATTTGATATTTATTTCAGTCACTCAAGGTTTCCGTGGGGAAAGTTTTAAGAAGCAATTGTACCATTTGACCCAGCCATCCCATTACTGGGTATATACCCAAAGGACTATAAATCATGCTGCTATAAAGACACATGCACACGTATGTTTATTGCGGCATTATTCACGATAGCAAAGACTTGGAACCAACCCAAATGTCCAACAACGATAGACTGGATTAAGAAAATGTGGCACATATACACCATGGAATACTATGCAGCCCTAAAAAATGATGAGTTCATGTCCTTTGTAGGGACATGGATGAAACTGGAAATCATCATTCTCAGTAAACTATTGCAAGAACAAAAAACCAAACACCGCATATTCTCACTCATAGGTGGGAACTGAACAATGAGATCACATGGACAGAGGAAGGGGAATATCACACCCTGGGGACTGTTGTCGGGTGGGGGGAGGGGGGAGGGATAGCACTGGGAGATGTACCTAATGCTAGATGATGAGATAGTGGGTGCAGCGCACCAGCATGGCACATGTATACATATGTAACTAACCTGCACAACGTGCACATGTACCCTAAAACTTAAAGTATAATGATAAATAAATAAATAAATAAATAAATAAATAAATAAAAGAAAAAAAAAGAAGCAATTGTTCATTAAAAGCCAGAGAAACCCTGCCTGGGCAACACAGTGAGACCTCATCTCTACAAAAATGAAAACAAAAAAATGTAGTCAGGCACGGTGGCTTGTGCATGTAGTTCCAGCCACTCGGGAGGCTGAGGTGGGAGGACGGCTTTAGCCTGGGAGCCAGAAGTTGCAGTGAGCTGAAATTGCATCACTGCACTCCAGCCTGGGTGACACACTGAGACTCTGTCGCAAACAAACAAACAAACCAAGAAGAGGGAGAATTCACAATTTCACAAGATCTTACACTACGTATTCAGCTCTCCACACGGAAAAACTAGGATGAAGCAGAGGGCCGGCTCACTGTCTTACTGACAATGAAATCTCAATTCAGAGATTTTCAGATGACTCGGGCCAGGGTTTCATGATTTGTGATTAACAAACCATGCGAAGCAGATGATCTCTGTGTCCCACGCATTCTATGCAACAGGATCAGAGTATGAAAGAAACGGAATGCAAAATGGTTTTAAAATCTCTGACTTAAACTCACTATTTTCATAAGAACCAAAGATAGGTTTAGAAGGGAAAGGACTCACTCAGAATCTCGCCAAGGCTGTAAGAGCTGGTATTAGAACCCGCATGAGTGCTTCAGCATTTTTCACACCAAGTGATGGGTGTTACAAACGTGTTATGTATTGATTAAAAGCAGACCTTTACAAAAGCATCTGAAAATTGTGAGCTACTGGTTTAAGGATTTACACTCAAAACTTTTAATTCAACATAGCTTTGACTCAGTTTGTTTCCCTACCTGACAGTCTATCAGTCGGGTGCTGGGGCCTGAACTACGTTTCAAATAACCTTTATATAAGAACTCTGTTACTAAAGAGGCAGTATTGTTACCTCTCCGTTATTAAAAATATAATGCTGGGTCGGGCACGGTGGCTCTCGCCTGTAATCCCGGCAATTTCAATGGTCGAGGCAGGTGGATCACCTGAGGTCAGGAGTTCGGGAACAACCTGTGCAACATAACGAAACCCTGTCTCTACTAAAAATACAACAATTAGCTGGGCGCGGCGGAGCATGCCTGTAAGCCCGGCTCCGCCAGAGGCTCAGGCAGGAGAATCACTTGAACCCTGGAGACAGAATTTCCAGTGAGCCGAAATGGCACCACTGCACTCCAGCCTGGTCTTCAGAGCGAGACTCCGTCTCAAAAACATAGTAACAATTACAATATGATACTGTGGAAACAGACACCCTACAATGTGCATGCCTAATGGATTGCCTACCTTCTTCAGGCGTTTTCACCTCCTCTGGATTTGGCGGGTCCATCTCCTGCCCATCAGGACCATCTTCACACTCACACCCAGTCTGTGGGTGACCCTGTTCCTGGCTATGAGCTTCAGGCTTCGGCCCTTAAAAATAAAAAATACGTATCAATTTAAGCAGTAAAACATAAAGTATGAATAAGAAAATAATATTCATGCTCTCGGTATTATTATATAAAAGCTTTAGCTAACGTAATACTAAATGTGTTGATAAGAATCCCAGGAACATTATTTCAGGAGTCCATTAGCAGAAAACAGGAAAACAAGGTGTTCCAAATAATACCCTCTTCCTTTCCGAAGACTGCCCTCAGACAACTTTGCTGCCTCCTTTGCACTTCTCTCTTATTCTACTTCTGATTGTCCTTCTCGTATTAAATGACTCAAGGCTCAAATCCCGTCTCTCACAGCACTTACACTCCTAGCGCTTAGACTCTTACATGGCATGAGTAGCCACCAATAAACGCTGAGTGAGAAAACTCTTTTAAAAATACATGAAAAAGCCCAAACTGCAGAATATTCTGCAAACCAACTGGTCTATCCTCTCCAAAAATGTCCGTATCGTGAATGACAAGAAAAATTAAGGAAACATTACAGGTTAAAGGAAACTAAAAACACCTGAAAAGCACATGCAAGGTGTGATTCTGAACTGGACTCTGGATCAGAAAAAGAAATCCTATCAATAAAATTATCTGGGCCGGGCGTGGGGTCTCACGCCTGCAATCCAAACATTTTGGGATGCCAAGGTGGGCAGAGCAGGTGAGGCCAGAAGTTCAAGACCGCAGTGGCCGGCGCCTGTAGTCCCAGCTACACGGGAGGCTGAGGCATGAGAATCCCTAGAACCTGGGAGGTGTAGGTTGCAGTGAGCCGAGATCGCACTACTGCACTCCCACCTGGCCCACAGAGAGAGACTCCGTCTCAACAAAGAAAAAAAAAAGGAAAAAAGAAATTTTCTGGGGAACTGGCAAAATTTGAGTATGCACTCTGTATTAAATGACTCCATTTTCTCATTGTTAAATTTCCTGATTTTTATCTTTGTGCAGTGATGATCCAAGAAATGACTTTCTCTTTGTTCTGACGATATACACACCCTCAAGTACATAGGGTAAAGGACCATAATCCCTGAAACTTTATCGAGACAATTCACCATTAATAACAGTAAACATATATCCGTATGTGTGTGTGTGTGTGTGTGTGTGAGTGTGTGGGCAGCACGGTAAGAGACGGAGGGAAGAGATGTGAAACCTATGAAGCGAAAGCTACTAACAATTGGTGAATCCAGATGAACAGTATATGAGTTCATTGTACTATTCTTGCAAATTTTCTATGAATGTTATGTCTTGAAGATACATACAGTAAAAATTTAAAAGAATATATGATAACTGCACTGAACTTTAGGAAGAAAGGAATTTCCAATTGTGGTAAAAAATACAGATATCCTAAAATTTACCATCTTAACTATTTTTAAGTGGTACAGTTCACTAAGGAGTTACGTTTGCAACATTACCAGCCACTAGGCACAAAAACTTTGCATCTGTGTTTTCCTATACCATGAAAACTTTATTTATTTAATGAATTTATTTATGTGTTTATTTATTTATTCATTTATTTATTTATTAGCAATGAGGTCTCACTGTGTTTCCCAGGCTGGGCTTGAACTCCAGGACTCAAGCAATCCTCTCACCTCGGCCTCCCAAGTAGCTGGGACTATGAGTGCATGGCATTCAGCCCAGCTTTAGACCTTTCTCCTAAATGACAATCTAAGGATAAACCACAGGACATGTATAATGCTTATATTCAGCCCTAGAGTACCAACAGCAGTGTGCGTCAGCTGAGAAATCTGAAGTCTACCACGTGGGTAGGATTTCAGTTACAATTACAATGTCAGTTTCTGAAGGATTGATTAGCTGGATGGATTTGAGGACTATGGAAAATCTTACAGTCACGACACCCATTACCTATTGGGGTAAAGAGAAACTTCACTTTGTTCAAATAAAGTTATATTTAGGTCCGAAGGTCCTAAAGGTAATATTCCATAAATGAACCCCGTGAAGAACAAAGCACCAAATATAACATTGTTTGTGAATCACAGAAAATATACTGTCCCCCGCACTGAGAATAAGGGAGTGGGCGGACAGCAATTAATGGGCATTGTTGTCAGTCAGATTCTAGGAACTTTTAACAGTGCATCCCTGGAATAATCCATGACCTCCGTTACATAAATGCTTCCTTTCAAAACATTTTATCTCGGAGAAATTATTTCCATCTCACGTTAATCTCAGGATAATTCCGTTTTTGCTTTTCTAACCATAAAAGGATTTAATCACCTCCTAAAGGCCGCTGAGAAAAATCACTAAACCAGCTACCTGTATGGCAGTATCCTCATTTATCCAGCTTTTATCAAACGTACCATATAAAAATATCAATCAAAGGAAACGGGGGCCAACATTCAGCGACTCGGTTTTTGGAGCTGCTCCTGCTCCTCTGAACTGGGTCTATTCTTGGGTCAGTACTAAGCTACCTTACAGTAAAGCCTTTTGAGTTTTAAGCATTTTCAGCAAAATCACTTCCTTCTTTCCAGCAACATACATGATAGGAAGACACAAACCTTAGAACACAGTACAAATGTTGTATTCACCAGTCAAGGGTTCTTGGATAACACACAATCCTGGCACCTCCATTCTCTCATTCATAAAGTCGAGAACTTTTATCATAGTGAGGGATTTGCCTAAGCTAAGCTGCAAACTACATAGCCTCCTCGCTTTTCCAGTCAATTTCAGGCATTCTTTCCATTGTTTTCTTTCCTCCTCTTCCTCCTATGTGACAATGCCTAACACACACACACGTGCACACACACACACGAACACACACACACGCACACACCAGCAGACGTTCTTCTTCCCTTTCCCTCACCTTGACCTGCAGATGCTCCCTCATCCTCTCCCTCCTGAGCAGCTGCAGGATCCTGACGTTGAGTTGCTGGTTCCCCTTCTTCAGGTGTTGCTGGTTCCACTTCATCACTGAACTGCTCGGGCTGGGGAATACGTGTGGGTGTGCAAATAGAAAATAAGTTTCGTTATTGATACAAAATTTTACATATATACACAGAATACATAGCTATTTCTGGTCCTAACTAAGCCTAAAGACATTTCTCCAACTCTATGCTCTATGCCCAATAAGGTTACTCCACCCACAGGGAGGTTACTGTGAGAAAAGTGACGCACGAGGACTTTGGGGGCTATTATACTCTGTGTTGGAATACATGTGTACAATCTGTCATTAACAAACAAAGCCGGAGAAAGAAGTCATGGGCAAAAGCTGAAGAACACGAGAGGAAAAAAAAAATCCTCCAGAATCAATGTTTCCTTCATGAGATGCCATCCTCATTTTTTATGAGCAGGAAAGACCTTTATCAGCATTTCCACACTAATGCAACGACGCTATCACAAAAATTAATTTCTACTAATAGAAAACATCGAATTAACGTTTAAGCACTCACCCGCATAGGCCCAATCATTTCAGGAGGCTGTACATAGCGCCTTGGTCTAGGCCAATAATAGGTCGATCTTCCTCGCCAACTCATATTTCACACTGAAAACAGACAACCGTGATTGGGAACGTGCGCTCCAGAGGGCTGCTATATTCGATCACTTCCATGGATAAATGTTAACTTGCCGTTTTACTTTTGAAAATACTCTCAAAATAAGTCCCAGAGTTAAGCATACGTGTGTACGCTGTCTGAGTGCCTACAAAGCCACTTCTGCTGGCCAGGCTGGCAGAGCAATCATCTTAAGGCGTGTGGCAAAAGGCAGAGGACATTTTTTTCTAAATTTCTTTTGGACACGCGGTCTCGCTGTGTTGCTCAGGCTGGAGTGCAGCGGCGTGATCACAGCTCACTGCAGCCTCGACCTCCCGCTCAAGGGATCCTCCCACCTCAGTGTCCCCAGTAACTGGGAATACGTAGGCGAGCGCCACTGCGCCCCGCAGACAGAGGTCATTTCTGATGAGGTTTAGTTTCACAAGTGCACTCCCCACGAAAACCCTAGTGAATCACAATTCTCGTGATTGCTGCTTTGGGCACACTCCCACTTCCTAGAGCCATTCACCCCCACTCACAACAAGTTTGGTTGGACCGCACTGCCTCGCCCACTCCTTCCCACTGTTTTCGGACCTTCCATGGCGGAGGTGAGACCTTGCAGTGCTTCTCACTCGGGCGCTCCGCACTCCACACCGCTGAGGGGGCGCTCGCCAGGCCGCAGCCTTCCCAGGTGCCAGGCCCCTTCTTCACCGCCCGCCTCGCCCCCGCCGGGGGCCCCATTCAGGGAATCTGCCCTGTGTCGTCGGGGATCCCGGCACCTCGGGACTTCCATCCCCCCAACAGCACTCACCCCGTCTTCACCTGAGCCCCTGACCGCCTCCCCTCCACGGCCCACCTTCCTCCCCGTCCAGGCCCCTTCACGACCACGAAGCCGCCGGTGGCCTCGCAGCCTGTGAAGGGAAGGAGGACGACCTCGTGGCCCTTCTCCCTCGGAGGCCACAGACCAGGAAGCGGGACCCGCCTGACCCACCCGAGGCCCTCTCCACCCTCACTCACACTTCAGCCCCCGGGATGACTGGCCTGCACACCTACCAGATGAATCTCAGTAGAGGAAAAAGAGTCCGGACGGCAGGAACCACACAGCACTGCCTCACAGCTCCCTGGCGTTCTTCACGTGGGCGAAGGGGCCGGGCAGAAGACGCCCAGTGAACATGCGCACTGAGGCGGGAGCCCAGGGAGCATGCGCGGCTGTGGGCTGGGGAGGGCTGCCGTTCCCAGCGCCACGCCCCAAACCCTCCATGCCCATCCTCATTGAGGATAAGGGAATCCCACCTCCCTCTGCTGTTTCCTATGCCTCTGGGACTCAAGTAGTGCTCCCCTCAAAACTCACCCCATCTTCAACTGAACCCCACCCCCAACCCAGGGCCCTCTCTTGCCCCGGACCCACCATGGGGACAAGGACCACTGTGACTGGCTGGGAAGACAGGTAAACCACCTGCGAAAACAGAAATAGCAACCTATCCCAAAAGGAAATTGTTCAATGTGAACAAGTCAGAGAAAGAGACTGAAAGAAAAATGAATAGAATCGCTAGGACCCGTAAGAAAATGCTAAAACGATATCTATCATTTGTAGCATCAGAATCGCAGAGGGTGAAGTGACAGTATTAGGGAAACAGGACAGCCAGAGTGACACCACGTGAAAATATACTCCGTCTTGAAAGCAGCAAGATACATAGTCCTACCAGTCACAACCCATGGTCCTAAGATGTTTGGAGTTGAGAAAACAGATGAAAGGTACCTCCAAGGACATGCTCCCACAGCAGCGGAAAGTGCACGGTTCCCAACACCCATTAACAATATATGCTTTCAACAGAATTATGCTTTCATGGACTTACACACTGGTAAGTCAAGGACAGTTTTCTTTAAATCAATAGAATGATAAAAGTCATCATGCTCTTAGCCCACCCGCACAAAGGCACAGATTAACTTTAGTCTTTATATAGATAAGACCCCTATATAAGAAAAACCAGACCAGGCCAAGGCTCACGCCTGTAATCCTAGTATTTTGGGAGGCTGAGCTGGCCAGATCACCTGAGCTCAGGACTTCGAGACCAGCCTAAGCAACATCAGAAAATCTCATCACTACAAAAAACAAACAAAAAACCATCGAAAAATTAGCTGGGCATGGTGGCATGTACCTATACTCACAGCTCCTCAGGAGGCTGAGGTGGGAGGCGCGCTTGAGCCCAGCAGGTCAAGGCTGCAGCGAGCTCTGATAACACCACCGCACTCCAGCCTCGGTGACAGAGTGAGACGCTGTCTCAAGTTTTAATAATCGAACCTAAAAACGTACAAATTTATCAATCGAATTCACTATATTAACACATGAATGGGAAAAAACGCTGTGGTAATCGAAATAGATGCACTGTTTGATGAAAATCAACATATATTCAAATGAATACTCTCAGCAAATTTGGAACAGAATGCAATGACTCACTCTGATAAAGTCCGTCTACAAAAAAAGGAGAGTGAATAGGATGGTGAAATGTTGAAATTTTTCGGTTTCTCATCAGGGATAAGACAAGGATGTCCACTGTCACCATTGTAACGGGTGGGTCTGCGCAATGCCATAAAATCAGAAAAGGAAATAAAACTCTTTACAATGGCAATGACGGGCCCGCCACGGTGGCCCACGCCAGTAATCCCAGCACTGTGGGAGGTGAGGTGGGTGCATCACTTGCACTCAAAAGTTCAACAACAGCCCGGGAAACATGGCAAAACCCCGTCTCTACAAAAAAATACAAAAGGGAAAAGAAAAAAATATGGCGGAAACAAAACTGCTCTTATTCCAGGATGATATGTTTCTGTATATTGAAGACTGAAAACGACCTAGAAGTAAACTTTAGAATTCACAAGCATATTTCACAAGGCCGCTGGATAGAAAACCAATATGTAAGAATTATGTCTCCACCGGGCACGGAGGCTCATGCCTGTAATCCCAGCACTTTGGGAGGCCAAGGCAGGTGAATCACGAGGTCAGGAGTTCAAGAGCACCCCGGCCAAGATGGCGAAAGCCCATCTCTAGTAAAAACACAAAACTTAGCCAGGCGTGCTGGTGGGTGCCTATAATCCCAGCTACTCGGGAGGCTGAGGCAGACAATTGCTTGAATCCGGGAGGCGGGGTTGCAGTGAGCAGAGATCGCGCCACTGCACTCCAGCCTGGGCGACAGAGCAAGACTCCGTCTCAAAAGAGGACAAAGAAAAAAAGAAAAAAAAAGAACGATGTCTCTACATACCAGCTCAGAGAGTTACAATACACGATTTCAAAGAATGATACATATTTCACAGCATCAAAAAGCTAGAAATAAACTTCACAAAAGATGCGCAAGACTTCTTTGCAGAAGGCTGTAAAGCTTTATTGGGAGAATTTTAATGAACAAATTTCCAACATAGGAGCAGCCTGCATCATTTCAACGTGTCTTCTTTTAACACTGTGATTGCTTTTCACCTGTAACAGAAACACAACGATTGGGAACATGACTTAGCAACAGATTATTCAGATGACCCTAAAGGCATACAAAGCACACTACAGTTTGGGTTTTATTAAATGGACTAAAAACAGAACCCTATGGGAGATCCCGTGTCTTACACGCAATTGAACCTCTGCATTAACTTTGAGCGTAGACCTGCAGAATTTAAAAGGAATTTCCTCCCTGAACATCAAGTGCTTCCTTTCAAGTCACAAGCACTTACAATTAACAGTCAGCAATTTGGAAAACACATGTGTAAAGCATACTTCAGTTGATTACTCAGGAAGTACTAGAGTCATGGTCTTTCAACTTCAAATCTTATCAATTCATGTCTCTAAAGGTGAAACTTACATGTAACATTTGATATGATTAGAGATGATTATATCGTATGTGTGTCTACAGTCTTATTAGAAATAGTGGCTCATGAAGACTGACAGTGGGGCAGGGAGCATGCATAGCACAGGCATCTTACTCACACCCATGCTGAGCATCACTGACCTACATGCCACAGATGATACGAACTAAACGGTCTCTCGCCATTTGATATTTATTTCAGTCACTCAAGGTTTCCGTGGGGAAAGTTTTAAGAAGCAATTGTACCATTTGACCCAGCCATCCCATTACTGGGTATATACCCAAAGGACTATAAATCATGCTGCTATAAAGACACATGCACACGTATGTTTATTGCGGCATTATTCACGATAGCAAAGACTTGGAACCAACCCAAATGTCCAACAACGATAGACTGGATTAAGAAAATGTGGCACATATACACCATGGAATACTATGCAGCCCTAAAAAATGATGAGTTCATGTCCTTTGTAGGGACATGGATGAAACTGGAAATCATCATTCTCAGTAAACTATTGCAAGAACAAAAAACCAAACACCGCATATTCTCACTCATAGGTGGGAACTGAACAATGAGATCACATGGACAGAGGAAGGGGAATATCACACCCTGGGGACTGCTGTCGGGTGGGGGGAGGGGGGAGGGATAGCACTGGGAGATGTACCTAATGCTAGATGATGAGATAGTGGGTGCAGCGCACCAGCATGGCACATGTATACATATGTAACTAACCTGCACAACGTGCACATGTACCCTAAAACTTAAAGTATAATGATAAATAAATAAATAAATAAATAAATAAATAAATAAATAAATAAAAGAAAAAAAAAGAAGCAATTGTTCATTAAAAGCCAGAGAAACCCTGCCTGGGCAACACAGTGAGACCTCATCTCTACAAAAATGAAAACAAAAAAATGTAGTCAGGCACGGTGGCTTGTGCATGTAGTTCCAGCCACTCGGGAGGCTGAGGTGGGAGGACGGCTTTAGCCTGGGAGCCAGAAGTTGCAGTGAGCTGAAATTGCATCACTGCACTCCAGCCTGGGTGACACACTGAGACTCTGTCGCAAACAAACAAACCAAGAAGAGGGAGAATTCACAATTTCACAAGATCTTACACTACGTATTCAGCTCTCCACACGGAAAAACTAGGATGAAGCAGAGGGCCCGCTCACTGTCTTACTGACAATGAAATCTCAATTCAGAGATTTTCAGATGACTCGGGCCAGGGTTTCATGATTTGTGATTAACAAACCATGCGAAGCAGATGATCTCTGTGTCCCACGCATTCTATGCAACAGGATCAGAGTATGAAAGAAACGGAATGCAAAATGGTTTTAAAATCTCTGACTTAAACTCACTATTTTCATAAGAACCAAAGATAGGTTTAGAAGGGAAAGGACTCACTCAGAATCTCGCCAAGGCTGTAAGAGCTGGTATTAGAACCCGCATGAGTGCTTCAGCATTTTTCACACCAAGTGATGGGTGTTACAAACGTGTTATGTATTGATTAAAAGCAGACCTTTACAAAAGCATCTGAAAATTGTGAGCTACTGGTTTAAGGATTTACACTCAAAACTTTTAATTCAACATAGCTTTGACTCAGTTTGTTTCCCTACCTGACAGTCTATCAGTCGGGTGCTGGGGCCTGAACTACGTTTCAAATAACCTTTATATAAGAACTCTGTTACTAAAGAGGCAGTATTGTTACCTCTCCGTTATTAAAAATATAATGCTGGGTCGGGCACGGTGGCTCTCGCCTGTAATCCCGGCAATTTCAATGGTCGAGGCAGGTGGATCACCTGAGGTCAGGAGTTCGGGAACAACCTGTGCAACATAACGAAACCCTGTCTCTACTAAAAATACAACAATTAGCTGGGCGCGGCGGAGCATGCCTGTAAGCCCGGCTCCGCCAGAGGCTCAGGCAGGAGAATCACTTGAACCCTGGAGACAGAATTTCCAGTGAGCCGAAATGGCACCACTGCACTCCAGCCTGGTCTTCAGAGCGAGACTCCGTCTCAAAAACATAGTAACAATTACAATATGATACTGTGGAAACAGACACCCTACAATGTGCATGCCTAATGGATTGCCTACCTTCTTCAGGCGTTTTCACCTCCTCTGGATTTGGCGGGTCCATCTCCTGCCCATCAGGACCATCTTCACACTCACACCCAGTCTGTGGGTGACCCTGTTCCTGGCTATGAGCTTCAGGCTTCGGCCCTTAAAAATAAAAAATACGTATCAATTTAAGCAGTAAAACATAAAGTATGAATAAGAAAATAATATTCATGCTCTCGGTATTATTATATAAAAGCTTTAGCTAACGTAATAATAAATGTGTTGATAAGAATCCCAGGAACATTATTTCAGGAGTCCATTAGCAGAAAACAGGAAAACAAGGTGTTCCAAATAATACCCTCTTCCTTTCCGAAGACTGCCCTCAGACAACTTTGCTGCCTCCTTTGCACTTCTCTCTTATTCTACTTCTGATTGTCCTTCTCGTATTAAATGACTCAAGGCTCAAATCCCGTCTCTCACAGCACTTACACTCCTAGCGCTTAGACTCTTACATGGCATGAGTAGCCACCAATAAACGCTGAGTGAGAAAACTCTTTTAAAAATACATGAAAAAGCCCAAACTGCAGAATATTCTGCAAACCAACTGGTCTATCCTCTCCAAAAATGTCCGTATCGTGAATGACAAGAAAAATTAAGGAAACATTACAGGTTAAAGGAAACTAAAAACACCTGAAAAGCACATGCAAGGTGTGATTCTGAACTGGACTCTGGATCAGAAAAAGAAATCCTATCAATAAAATTATCTGGGCCGGGCGTGGGGTCTCACGCCTGCAATCCAAACATTTTGGGATGCCAAGGTGGGCAGAGCAGGTGAGGCCAGAAGTTCAAGACCGCAGTGGCCGGCGCCTGTAGTCCCAGCTACACGGGAGGCTGAGGCATGAGAATCCCTAGAACCTGGGAGGTGTAGGTTGCAGTGAGCCGAGATCGCACTACTGCACTCCCACCTGGCCCACAGAGAGAGACTCCGTCTCAACAAAGAAAAAAAAAAGGAAAAAAGAAATTTTCTGGGGAACTGGCAAAATTTGAGTATGCACTCTGTATTAAATGACTCCATTTTCTCATTGTTAAATTTCCTGATTTTTATCTTTGTGCAGTGATGATCCAAGAAATGACTTTCTCTTTGTTCTGACGATATACACACCCTCAAGTACATAGGGTAAAGGACCATAATCCCTGAAACTTTATCGAGACAATTCACCATTAATAACAGTAAACATATATCCGTATGTGTGTGTGTGTGTGTGTGTGTGAGTGTGTGGGCAGCACGGTAAGAGACGGAGGGAAGAGATGTGAAACCTATGAAGCGAAAGCTACTAACAATTGGTGAATCCAGATGAACAGTATATGAGTTCATTGTACTATTCTTGCAAATTTTCTATGAATGTTATGTCTTGAAGATACATACAGTAAAAATTTAAAAGAATATATGATAACTGCACTGAACTTTAGGAAGAAAGGAATTTCCAATTGTGGTAAAAAATACAGATATCCTAAAATTTACCATCTTAACTATTTTTAAGTGGTACAGTTCACTAAGGAGTTACGTTTGCAACATTACCAGCCACTAGGCACAAAAACTTTGCATCTGTGTTTTCCTATACCATGAAAACTTTATTTATTTAATGAATTTATTTATGTGTTTATTTATTTATTCATTTATTTATTTATTAGCAATGAGGTCTCACTGTGTTTCCCAGGCTGGGCTTGAACTCCAGGACTCAAGCAATCCTCTCACCTCGGCCTCCCAAGTAGCTGGGACTATGAGTGCATGGCATTCAGCCCAGCTTTAGACCTTTCTCCTAAATGACAATCTAAGGATAAACCACAGGACATGTATAATGCTTATATTCAGCCCTAGAGTACCAACAGCAGTGTGCGTCAGCTGAGAAATCTGAAGTCTACCACGTGGGTAGGATTTCAGTTACAATTACAATGTCAGTTTCTGAAGGATTGATTAGCTGGATGGATTTGAGGACTATGGAAATCTTACAGTCACGACACCCATTACCTATTGGGGTAAAGAGAAACTTCACTTTGTTCAAATAAAGTTATATTTAGGTCCGAAGGTCCTAAAGGTAATATTCCATAAATGAACCCCGTGAAGAACAAAGCACCAAATATAACATTGTTTGTGAATCACAGAAAATATACTGTCCCCCGCACTGAGAATAAGGGAGTGGGCGGACAGCAATTAATGGGCATTGTTGTCAGTCAGATTCTAGGAACTTTTAACAGTGCATCCCTGGAATAATCCATGACCTCCGTTACATAAATGCTTCCTTTCAAAACATTTTATCTCGGAGAAATTATTTCCATCTCACGTTAATCTCAGGATAATTCCGTTTTTGCTTTTCTAACCATAAAAGGATTTAATCACCTCCTAAAGGCCGCTGAGAAAAATCACTAAACCAGCTACCTGTATGGCAGTATCCTCATTTATCCAGCTTTTATCAAACGTACCATATAAAAATATCAATCAAAGGAAACGGGGGCCAACATTCAGCGACTCGGTTTTTGGAGCTGCTCCTGCTCCTCTGAACTGGGTCTATTCTTGGGTCAGTACTAAGCTACCTTACAGTAAAGCCTTTTGAGTTTTAAGCATTTTCAGCAAAATCACTTCCTTCTTTACAGCAACATACATGATAGGAAGACACAAACCTTGGAACACAGTACAAATGTTGTATTCACCAGTCAAGGGTTCTTGGATAACACACAATCCTGGCACCTCCATTCTCTCATTCATAAAGTCGAGATCTTTTACCATAGTGAGGGATTTGCCTAAGCTAAGCTGCGAACTACATAGCCTCCTCGCTTTTCCAGTCAATTTCAGGCATTCTTTCCATTGTTTTCTTTCCTCCTCTTCCTCCTATGTGACAATGCCTAACACACACACACACACGTGCACACACACACACACGAACACACACACACGCACACACCAGCAGACGTTCTTCTTCCCTTTCCCTCACCTTGACCTGCAGATGCTCCCTCATCCTCTCCCTCCTGAGCAGCTGCAGGATCCTGACGTTGAGTTGCTGGTTCCCCTTCTTCAGGTGTTGCTGGTTCCACTTCATCACTGAACTGCTCGGGCTGGGGAATACGTGTGGGTGTGCAAATAAAAAATAAGTTTCGTTATTGATACAAAATTTTACATATATACACAGAATACATAGCTATTTCTGGTCCTAACTAAGCCTAAAGACATTTCTCCAACTCTATGCTCTATGCCCAATAAGGTTACTCCACCCACAGGGAGGTTACTGTGAGAAAAGTGACGCACGAGGACTTTGGGGGCTATTATACTCTGTGTTGGAATACATGTGTACAATCTGTCATTAACAAACAAAGCCGGAGAAAGAAGTCATGGGCAAAAGCTGAAGAACACGAGAGGAAAAAAAAAATCCTCCAGAATCAATGTTTCCTTCATGAGATGCCATCCTCATTTTTTATGAGCAGGAAAGACCTTTATCAGCATTTCCACACTAATGCAACGACGCTATCACAAAAATTAATTTCTACTAATAGAAAACATCGAATTAACGTTTAAGCACTCACCCGCATAGGCCCAATCATTTCAGGAGGCTGTACATAGCGCCTTGGTCTAGGCCAATAATAGGTCGATCTTCCTCGCCAACTCATATTTCACACTGAAAACAGACAACCGTGATTGGGAACGTGCGCTCCAGAGGGCTGCTATATTCGATCACTTCCATGGATAAATGTTAACTTGCCGTTTTACTTTTGAAAATACTCTCAAAATAAGTCCCAGAGTTAAGCATACGTGTGTACGCTGTCTGAGTGCCTACAAAGCCACTTCTGCTGGCCAGGCTGGCAGAGCAATCATCTTAAGGCGTGTGGCAAAAGGCAGAGGACATTTTTTTCTAAATTTCTTTTGGACACGCGGTCTCGCTGTGTTGCTCAGGCTGGAGTGCAGCGGCGTGATCACAGCTCACTGCAGCCTCGACCTCCCGCTCAAGGGATCCTCCCACCTCAGTGTCCCCAGTAACTGGGAATACGTAGGCGAGCGCCACTGCGCCCCGCAGACAGAGGTCATTTCTGATGAGGTTTAGTTTCACAAGTGCACTCCCCACGAAAACCCTAGTGAATCACAATTCTCGTGATTGCTGCTTTGGGCACACTCCCACTTCCTAGAGCCATTCACCCCCACTCACAACAAGTTTGGTTGGACCGCACTGCCTCGCCCACTCCTTCCCACTGTTTTCGGACCTTCCATGGCGGAGGTGAGACCTTGCAGTGCTTCTCACTCGGGCGCTCCGCACTCCACACCGCTGAGGGGGCGCTCGCCAGGCCGCAGCCTTCCCAGGTGCCAGGCCCCTTCTTCACCGCCCGCCTCGCCCCCGCCGGGGGCCCCATTCAGGGAATCTGCCCTGTGTCGTCGGGGATCCCGGCACCTCGGGACTTCCATCCCCCCAACAGCACTCACCCCGTCTTCACCTGAGCCCCTGACCGCCTCCCCTCCACGGCCCACCTTCCTCCCCGTCCAGGCCCCTTCACGACCACGAAGCCGCCGGTGGCCTCGCAGCCTGTGAAGGGAAGGAGGACGACCTCGTGGCCCTTCTCCCTCGGAGGCCACAGACCAGGAAGCGGGACCCGCCTGACCCACCCGAGGCCCTCTCCACCCTCACTCACACTTCAGCCCCCGGGATGACTGGCCTGCACACCTACCAGATGAATCTCAGTAGAGGAAAAAGAGTCCGGACGGCAGGAACCACACAGCACTGCCTCACAGCTCCCTGGCGTTCTTCACGTGGGCGAAGGGGCCGGGCAGAAGACGCCCAGTGAACATGCGCACTGAGGCGGGAGCCCAGGGAGCATGCGCGGCTGTGGGCTGGGGAGGGCTGCCGTTCCCAGCGCCACGCCCCAAACCCTCCATGCCCATCCTCATTGAGGATAAGGGAATCCCACCTCCCTCTGCTGTTTCCTATGCCTCTGGGACTCAAGTAGTGCTCCCCTCAAAACTCACCCCATCTTCAACTGAACCCCACCCCCAACCCAGGGCCCTCTCTTGCCCCGGACCCACCATGGGGACAAGGACCACTGTGACTGGCTGGGAAGACAGGTAAACCACCTGCGAAAACAGAAATAGCAACCTATCCCAAAAGGAAATTGTTCAATGTGAACAAGTCAGAGAAAGAGACTGAAAGAAAAATGAATAGAATCGCTAGGACCCGTAAGAAAATGCTAAAACGATATCTATCATTTGTAGCATCAGAATCGCAGAGGGTGAAGTGACAGTATTAGGGAAACAGGACAGCCAGAGTGACACCACGTGAAAATATACTCCGTCTTGAAAGCAGCAAGATACATAGTCCTACCAGTCACAACCCATGGTCCTAAGATGTTTGGAGTTGAGAAAACAGATGAAAGGTACCTCCAAGGACATGCTCCCACAGCAGCGGAAAGTGCACGGTTCCCAACACCCATTAACAATATATGCTTTCAACAGAATTATGCTTTCATGGACTTACACACTGGTAAGTCAAGGACAGTTTTCTTTAAATCAATAGAATGATAAAAGTCATCATGCTCTTAGCCCACCCGCACAAAGGCACAGATTAACTTTAGTCTTTATATAGATAAGACCCCTATATAAGAAAAACCAGACCAGGCCAAGGCTCACGCCTGTAATCCTAGTATTTTGGGAGGCTGAGCTGGCCAGATCACCTGAGCTCAGGACTTCGAGACCAGCCTAAGCAACATCAGAAAATCTCATCACTACAAAAAACAAACAAAAAACCATCGAAAAATTAGCTGGGCATGGTGGCATGTACCTATACTCACAGCTCCTCAGGAGGCTGAGGTGGGAGGCGCGCTTGAGCCCAGGAGGTCAAGGCTGCAGCGAGCTCTGATAACACCACCGCACTCCAGCCTCGGTGACAGAGTGAGACGCTGTCTCAAGTTTTAATAATCGAACCTAAAAACGTACAAATTTATCAATCGAATTCACTATATTAACACATGAATGGGAAAAAACGCTGTGGTAATCGAAATAGATGCACTGTTTGATGAAAATCAACATATATTCAAATGAATACTCTCAGCAAATTTGGAACAGAATGCAATGACTCACTCTGATAAAGTCCGTCTACAAAAAAAGGAGAGTGAATAGGATGGTGAAATGTTGAAATTTTTCGGTTTCTCATCAGGGATAAGACAAGGATGTCCACTGTCACCATTGTAACGGGTGGGTCTGCGCAATGCCATAAAATCAGAAAAGGAAATAAAACTCTTTACAATGGCAACGACGGGCCCGCCACGGTGGCCCACGCCAGTAATCCCAGCACTGTGGGAGGTGAGGTGGGTGCATCACTTGCACTCAAAAGTTCAACAACAGCCCGGGAAACATGGCAAAACCCCGTCTCTACAAAAAAATACAAAAGGGAAAAGAAAAAAATATGGCGGAAACAAAACTGCTCTTATTCCAGGATGATATGTTTCTGTATATTGAAGACTGAAAACGACCTAGAAGTAAACTTTAGAATTCACAAGCATATTTCACAAGGCCGCTGGATAGAAAACCAATATGTAAGAATTATGTCTCCACCGGGCGCGGAGGCTCATGCCTGTAATCCCAGCACTTTGGGAGGCCAAGGCAGGTGAATCACGAGGTCAGGAGTTCAAGAGCACCCCGGCCAAGATGGCGAAAGCCCATCTCTAGTAAAAACACAAAACTTAGCCAGGCGTGCTGGTGGGTGCCTATAATCCCAGCTACTCGGGAGGCTGAGGCAGACAATTGCTTGAATCCGGGAGGCGGGGTTGCAGTGAGCAGAGATCGCGCCACTGCACTCCAGCCTGGGCGACAGAGCAAGACTCCGTCTCAAAAGAGGACAAAGAAAGAAAGAAAAAAAAAAGAACGATGTCTCTACATACCAGCTCAGAGAGTTACAATACACGATTTCAAAGAATGATACATATTTCACAGCATCAAAAAGCTAGAAATAAACTTCACAAAAGATGCGCAAGACTTCTTTGCAGAAGGCTGTAAAGCTTTATTGGGAGAATTTTAATGAACAAATTTCCAACATAGGAGCAGCCTGCATCATTTCAACGTGTCTTCTTTTAACACTGTGATTGCTTTTCACCTGTAACAGAAACACAACGATTGGGAACATGACTTAGCAACAGATTATTCAGATGACCCTAAAGGCATACAAAGCACACTACAGTTTGGGTTTTATTAAATGGACTAAAAACAGAACCCTATGGGTGATCCCGTGTCTTACACGCAATTGAACCTCTGCATAAACTTTGAGCGTAGACCTGCAGAATTTAAAAGGAATTTCCTCCCTGAACATCAAGTGCTTCCTTTCAAGTCACAAGCACTTACAATTAACAGTCAGCAATTTGGAAAACACATGTGTAAAGCATACTTCAGTTGATTACTCAGGAAGTACTAGAGTCATGGTCTTTCAACTTCAAATCTTATCAATTCATGTCTCTAAAGGTGAAACTTACATGTAACATTTGATATGATTAGAGATGATTATATCGTATGTGTGTCTACAGTCTTATTAGAAATAGTGGCTCATGAAGACTGACAGTGGGGCAGGGAGCATGCATAGCACAGGCATCTTACTCACACCCATGCTGAGCATCACTGACCTACATGCCACAGATGATACGAACTAAACGGTCTCTCGCCATTTGATATTTATTTCAGTCACTCAAGGTTTCCGTGGGGAAAGTTTTAAGAAGCAATTGTACCATTTGACCCAGCCATCCCATTACTGGGTATATACCCAAAGGACTATAAATCATGCTGCTATAAAGACACATGCACACGTATGTTTATTGCGGCATTATTCACGATAGCAAAGACTTGGAACCAACCCAAATGTCCAACAACGATAGACTGGATTAAGAAAATGTGGCACATATACACCATGGAATACTATGCAGCCCTAAAAAATGATGAGTTCATGTCCTTTGTAGGGACATGGATGAAACTGGAAATCATCATTCTCAGTAAACTATTGCAAGAACAAAAAACCAAACACCGCATATTCTCACTCATAGGTGGGAACTGAACAATGAGATCACATGGACAGAGGAAGGGGAATATCACACCCTGGGGACTGTTGTCGGGTGGGGGGAGGGGGGAGGGATAGCACTGGGAGATGTACCTAATGCTAGATGATGAGATAGTGGGTGCAGCGCACCAGCATGGCACATGTATACATATGTAACTAACCTGCACAACGTGCACATGTACCCTAAAACTTAAAGTATAATGATAAATAAATAAATAAATAAATAAATAAATAAATAAATAAAAGAAAAAAAAAGAAGCAATTGTTCATTAAAAGCCAGAGAAACCCTGCCTGGGCAACACAGTGAGACCTCATCTCTACAAAAATGAAAACAAAAAAATGTAGTCAGGCACGGTGGCTTGTGCATGTAGTTCCAGCCACTCGGGAGGCTGAGGTGGGAGGACGGCTTTAGCCTGGGAGCCAGAAGTTGCAGTGAGCTGAAATTGCATCACTGCACTCCAGCCTGGGTGACACACTGAGACTCTGTCGCAAACAAACAAACAAACCAAGAAGAGGGAGAATTCACAATTTCACAAGATCTTACACTACGTATTCAGCTCTCCACACGGAAAAACTAGGATGAAGCAGAGGGCCCGCTCACTGTCTTACTGACAATGAAATCTCAATTCAGAGATTTTCAGATGACTCGGGCCAGGGTTTCATGATTTGTGATTAACAAACCATGCGAAGCAGATGATCTCTGTGTCCCACGCATTCTATGCAACAGGATCAGAGTATGAAAGAAACGGAATGCAAAATGGTTTTAAAATCTCTGACTTAAACTCACTATTTTCATAAGAACCAAAGATAGGTTTAGAAGGGAAAGGACTCACTCAGAATCTCGCCAAGGCTGTAAGAGCTGGTATTAGAACCCGCATGAGTGCTTCAGCATTTTTCACACCAAGTGATGGGTGTTACAAACGTGTTATGTATTGATTAAAAGCAGACCTTTACAAAAGCATCTGAAAATTGTGAGCTACTGGTTTAAGGATTTACACTCAAAACTTTTAATTCAACATAGCTTTGACTCAGTTTGTTTCCCTACCTGACAGTCTATCAGTCGGGTGCTGGGGCCTGAACTACGTTTCAAATAACCTTTATATAAGAACTCTGTTACTAAAGAGGCAGTATTGTTACCTCTCCGTTATTAAAAATATAATGCTGGGTCGGGCACGGTGGCTCTCGCCTGTAATCCCGGCAATTTCAATGGTCGAGGCAGGTGGATCACCTGAGGTCAGGAGTTCGGGAACAACCTGTGCAACATAACGAAACCCTGTCTCTACTAAAAATACAACAATTAGCTGGGCGCGGCGGAGCATGCCTGTAAGCCCGGCTCCGCCAGAGGCTCAGGCAGGAGAATCACTTGAACCCTGGAGACAGAATTTCCAGTGAGCCGAAATGGCACCACTGCACTCCAGCCTGGTCTTCAGAGCGAGACTCCGTCTCAAAAACATAGTAACAATTACAATATGATACTGTGGAAACAGACACCCTACAATGTGCATGCCTAATGGATTGCCTACCTTCTTCAGGCGTTTTCACCTCCTCTGGATTTGGCGGGTCCATCTCCTGCCCATCAGGACCATCTTCACACTCACACCCAGTCTGTGGGTGACCCTGTTCCTGGCTATGAGCTTCAGGCTTCGGCCCTTAAAAATAAAAAATACGTATCAATTTAAGCAGTAAAACATAAAGTATGAATAAGAAAATAATATTCATGCTCTCGGTATTATTATATAAAAGCTTTAGCTAACGTAATACTAAATGTGTTGATAAGAATCCCAGGAACATTATTTCAGGAGTCCATTAGCAGAAAACAGGAAAACAAGGTGTTCCAAATAATACCCTCTTCCTTTCCGAAGACTGCCCTCAGACAACTTTGCTGCCTCCTTTGCACTTCTCTCTTATTCTACTTCTGATTGTCCTTCTCGTATTAAATGACTCAAGGCTCAAATCCCGTCTCTCACAGCACTTACACTCCTAGCGCTTAGACTCTTACATGGCATGAGTAGCCACCAATAAACGCTGAGTGAGAAAACTCTTTTAAAAATACATGAAAAAGCCCAAACTGCAGAATATTCTGCAAACCAACTGGTCTATCCTCTCCAAAAATGTCCGTATCGTGAATGACAAGAAAAATTAAGGAAACATTACAGGTTAAAGGAAACTAAAAACACCTGAAAAGCACATGCAAGGTGTGATTCTGAACTGGACTCTGGATCAGAAAAAGAAATCCTATCAATAAAATTATCTGGGCCGGGCGTGGGGTCTCACGCCTGCAATCCAAACATTTTGGGATGCCAAGGTGGGCAGAGCAGGTGAGGCCAGAAGTTCAAGACCGCAGTGGCCGGCGCCTGTAGTCCCAGCTACACGGGAGGCTGAGGCATGAGAATCCCTAGAACCTGGGAGGTGTAGGTTGCAGTGAGCCGAGATCGCACTACTGCACTCCCACCTGGCCCACAGAGAGAGACTCCGTCTCAACAAAGAAAAAAAAAAGGAAAAAAGAAATTTTCTGGGGAACTGGCAAAATTTGAGTATGCACTCTGTATTAAATGACTCCATTTTCTCATTGTTAAATTTCCTGATTTTTATCTTTGTGCAGTGATGATCCAAGAAATGACTTTCTCTTTGTTCTGACGATATACACACCCTCAAGTACATAGGGTAAAGGACCATAATCCCTGAAACTTTATCGAGACAATTCACCATTAATAACAGTAAACATATATCCGTATGTGTGTGTGTGTGTGTGTGTGTGAGTGTGTGGGCAGCACGGTAAGAGACGGAGGGAAGAGATGTGAAACCTATGAAGCGAAAGCTACTAACAATTGGTGAATCCAGATGAACAGTATATGAGTTCATTGTACTATTCTTGCAAATTTTCTATGAATGTTATGTCTTGAAGATACATACAGTAAAAATTTAAAAGAATATATGATAACTGCACTGAACTTTAGGAAGAAAGGAATTTCCAATTGTGGTAAAAAATACAGATATCCTAAAATTTACCATCTTAACTATTTTTAAGTGGTACAGTTCACTAAGGAGTTACGTTTGCAACATTACCAGCCACTAGGCACAAAAACTTTGCATCTGTGTTTTCCTATACCATGAAAACTTTATTTATTTAATGAATTTATTTATGTGTTTATTTATTTATTCATTTATTTATTTATTAGCAATGAGGTCTCACTGTGTTTCCCAGGCTGGGCTTGAACTCCAGGACTCAAGCAATCCTCTCACCTCGGCCTCCCAAGTAGCTGGGACTATGAGTGCATGGCATTCAGCCCAGCTTTAGACCTTTCTCCTAAATGACAATCTAAGGATAAACCACAGGACATGTATAATGCTTATATTCAGCCCTAGAGTACCAACAGCAGTGTGCGTCAGCTGAGAAATCTGAAGTCTACCACGTGGGTAGGATTTCAGTTACAATTACAATGTCAGTTTCTGAAGGATTGATTAGCTGGATGGATTTGAGGACTATGGAAATCTTACAGTCACGACACCCATTACCTATTGGGGTAAAGAGAAACTTCACTTTGTTCAAATAAAGTTATATTTAGGTCCGAAGGTCCTAAAGGTAATATTCCATAAATGAACCCCGTGAAGAACAAAGCACCAAATATAACATTGTTTGTGAATCACAGAAAATATACTGTCCCCCGCACTGAGAATAAGGGAGTGGGCGGACAGCAATTAATGGGCATTGTTGTCAGTCAGATTCTAGGAACTTTTAACAGTGCATCCCTGGAATAATCCATGACCTCCGTTACATAAATGCTTCCTTTCAAAACATTTTATCTGGGAGAAATTATTTCCATCTCACGTTAATCTCAGGATAATTCCGTTTTTGCTTTTCTAACCATAAAAGGATTTAATCACCTCCTAAAGGCCGCTGAGAAAAATCACTAAACCAGCTACCTGTATGGCAGTATCCTCATTTATCCAGCTTTTATCAAACGTACCATATAAAAATATCAATCAAAGGAAACGGGGGCCAACATTCAGCGACTCGGTTTTTGGAGCTGCTCCTGCTCCTCTGAACTGGGTCTATTCTTGGGTCAGTACTAAGCTACCTTACAGTAAAGCCTTTTGAGTTTTAAGCATTTTCAGCAAAATCACTTCCTTCTTTCCAGCAACATACATGATAGGAAGACACAAACCTTAGAACACAGTACAAATGTTGTATTCACCAGTCAAGGGTTCTTGGATAACACACAATCCTGGCACCTCCATTCTCTCATTCATAAAGTCGAGAACTTTTATCATAGTGAGGGATTTGCCTAAGCTAAGCTGCAAACTACATAGCCTCCTCGCTTTTCCAGTCAATTTCAGGCATTCTTTCCATTGTTTTCTTTCCTCCTCTTCCTCCTATGTGACAATGCCTAACACACACACACGTGCACACACACACAGGAACACACACACACGCACACACCAGCAGACGTTCTTCTTCCCTTTCCCTCACCTTGACCTGCAGATGCTCCCTCATCCTCTCCCTCCTGAGCAGCTGCAGGATCCTGACATTGAGTTGCTGGTTCCCCTTCTTCAGGTGTTGCTGGTTCCACTTCATCACTGAACTGCTCGGGCTGGGGAATACGTGTGGGTGTGCAAATAGAAAATAAGTTTCGTTATTGATACAAAATTTTACATATATACACAGAATACATAGCTATTTCTGGTCCTAACTAAGCCTAAAGACATTTCTCCAACTCTATGCTCTATGCCCAATAAGGTTACTCCACCCACAGGGAGGTTACTGTGAGAAAAGTGACGCACGAGGACTTTGGGGGCTATTATACTCTGTGTTGGAATACATGTGTACAATCTGTCATTAACAAACAAAGCCGGAGAAAGAAGTCATGGGCAAAAGCTGAAGAACACGAGAGGAAAAAAAAAATCCTCCAGAATCAATGTTTCCTTCATGAGATGCCATCCTCATTTTTTATGAGCAGGAAAGACCTTTATCAGCATTTCCACACTAATGCAACGACGCTATCACAAAAATTAATTTCTACTAATAGAAAACATCGAATTAACGTTTAAGCACTCACCCGCATAGGCCCAATCATTTCAGGAGGCTGTACATAGCGCCTTGGTCTAGGCCAATAATAGGTCGATCTTCCTCGCCAACTCATATTTCACACTGAAAACAGACAACCGTGATTGGGAACGTGCGCTCCAGAGGGCTGCTATATTCGATCACTTCCATGGATAAATGTTAACTTGCCGTTTTACTTTTGAAAATACTCTCAAAATAAGTCCCAGAGTTAAGCATACGTGTGTACGCTGTCTGAGTGCCTACAAAGCCACTTCTGCTGGCCAGGCTGGCAGAGCAATCATCTTAAGGCGTGTGGCAAAAGGCAGAGGACATTTTTTTCTAAATTTCTTTTGGACACGCGGTCTCGCTGTGTTGCTCAGGCTGGAGTGCAGCGGCGTGATCACAGCTCACTGCAGCCTCGACCTCCCGCTCAAGGGATCCTCCCACCTCAGTGTCCCCAGTAACTGGGAATACGTAGGCGAGCGCCACTGCGCCCCGCAGACAGAGGTCATTTCTGATGAGGTTTAGTTTCACAAGTGCACTCCCCACGAAAACCCTAGTGAATCACAATTCTCGTGATTGCTGCTTTGGGCACACTCCCACTTCCTAGAGCCATTCACCCCCCCTCACAACAAGTTTGGTTGGACCGCACTGCCTCGCCCACTCCTTCCCACTGTTTTCGGACCTTCCATGGCGGAGGTGAGACCTTGCAGTGCTTCTCACTCGGGCGCTCCGCACTCCACACCGCTGAGGGGGCGCTCGCCAGGCCGCAGCCTTCCCAGGTGCCAGGCCCCTTCTTCACCGCCCGCCTCGCCCCCGCCGGGGGCCCCATTCAGGGAATCTGCCCTGTGTCGTCGGGGATCCCGGCACCTCGGGACTTCCATCCCCCCAACAGCACTCACCCCGTCTTCACCTGAGCCCCTGACCGCCTCCCCTCCACGGCCCACCTTCCTCCCCGTCCAGGCCCCTTCACGACCACGAAGCCGCCGGTGGCCTCGCAGCCTGTGAAGGGAAGGAGGACGACCTCGTGGCCCTTCTCCCTCGGAGGCCACAGACCAGGAAGCGGGACCCGCTTGACCCACCCGAGGCCCTCTCCACCCTCACTCACACTTCAGCCCCCGGGATGACTGGCCTGCACACCTACCAGATGAATCTCAGTAGAGGAAAAAGAGTCCGGACGGCAGGAACCACACAGCACTGCCTCACAGCTCCCTGGCGTTCTTCACGTGGGCGAAGGGGCCGGGCAGAAGACGCCCAGTGAACATGCGCACTGAGGCGGGAGCCCAGGGAGCATGCGCGGCTGTGGGCTGGGGAGGGCTGCCGTTCCCAGCGCCACGCCCCAAACCCTCCATGCCCATCCTCATTGAGGATAAGGGAATCCCACCTCCCTCTGCTGTTTCCTATGCCTCTGGGACTCAAGTAGTGCTCCCCTCAAAACTCACCCCATCTTCAACTGAACCCCACCCCCAACCCAGGGCCCTCTCTTGCCCCGGACCCACCATGGGGACAAGGACCACTGTGACTGGCTGGGAAGACAGGTAAACCACCTGCGAAAACAGAAATAGCAACCTATCCCAAAAGGAAATTGTTCAATGTGAACAAGTCAGAGAAAGAGACTGAAAGAAAAATGAATAGAATCGCTAGGACCCGTAAGAAAATGCTAAAACGATATCTATCATTTGTAGCATCAGAATCGCAGAGGGTGAAGTGACAGTATTAGGGAAACAGGACAGCCAGAGTGACACCACGTGAAAATATACTCCGTCTTGAAAGCAGCAAGATACATAGTCCTACCAGTCACAACCCATGGTCCTAAGATGTTTGGAGTTGAGAAAACAGATGAAAGGTACCTCCAAGGACATGCTCCCACAGCAGCGGAAAGTGCACGGTTCCCAACACCCATTAACAATATATGCTTTCAACAGAATTATGCTTTCATGGACTTACACACTGGTAAGTCAAGGACAGTTTTCTTTAAATCAATAGAATGATAAAAGTCATCATGCTCTTAGCCCACCCGCACAAAGGCACAGATTAACTTTAGTCTTTATATAGATAAGACCCCTATATAAGAAAAACCAGACCAGGCCAAGGCTCACGCCTGTAATCCTAGTATTTTGGGAGGCTGAGCTGGCCAGATCACCTGAGCTCAGGACTTCGAGACCAGCCTAAGCAACATCAGAAAATCTCATCACTACAAAAAACAAACAAAAAACCATCGAAAAATTAGCTGGGCATGGTGGCATGTACCTATACTCACAGCTCCTCAGGAGGCTGAGGTGGGAGGCGCACTTGAGCCCAGGAGGTCAAGGCTGCAGCGAGCTCTGATAACACCACCGCACTCCAGCCTCGGTGACAGAGTGAGACGCTGTCTCAAGTTTTAATAATCGAACCTAAAAACGTACAAATTTATCAATCGAATTCACTATATTAACACATGAATGGGAAAAAACGCTGTGGTAATCGAAATAGATGCACTGTTTGATGAAAATCAACATATATTCAAATGAATACTCTCAGCAAATTTGGAACAGAATGCAATGACTCACTCTGATAAAGTCCGTCTACAAAAAAAGGAGAGTGAATAGGATGGCGAAATGTTGAAATTTTTCGGTTTCTCATCAGGGAGAAGACAAGGATGTCCACTGTCACCATTGTAACGGGTGGGTCTGCGCAATGCCATAAAATCAGAAAAGGAAATAAAACTCTTTACAATGCCAACGACGGGCCCGCCACGGTGGCCCACGCCAGTAATCCCAGCACTGTGGGAGGTGAGGTGGGTGCATCACTTGCACTCAAAAGTTCAACAACAGCCCGGGAAACATGGCAAAACCCCGTCTCTACAAAAAAATACAAAAGGGAAAAGAAAAAAATATGGCGGAAACAAAACTGCTCTTATTCCAGGATGATATGTTTCTGTATATTGAAGACTGAAAACGACCTAGAAGTAAACTTTAGAATTCACAAGCATATTTCACAAGGCCGCTGGATAGAAAACCAATATGTAAGAATTATGTCTCCACCGGGCACGGAGGCTCATGCCTGTAATCCCAGCACTTTGGGAGGCCAAGGCAGGTGAATCACGAGGTCAGGAGTTCAAGAGCACCCCGGCCAAGATGGCGAAAGCCCATCTCTAGTAAAAACACAAAACTTAGCCAGGCGTGCTGGTGGGTGCCTATAATCCCAGCTACTCGGGAGGCTGAGGCAGACAATTGCTTGAATCCGGGAGGCGGGGTTGCAGTGAGCAGAGATCGCGCCACTGCACTCCAGCCTGGGCGACAGAGCAAGACTCCGTCTCAAAAGAGGACAAAGAAAAAAAGAAAAAAAAAGAACGATGTCTCTACATACCAGCTCAGAGAGTTACAATACACGATTTCAAAGAATGATACATATTTCACAGCATCAAAAAGCTAGAAATAAACTTCACAAAAGATGCGCAAGACTTCTTTGCAGAAGGCTGTAAAGCTTTATTGGGAGAATTTTAATGAACAAATTTCCAACATAGGAGCAGCCTGCATCATTTCAACGTGTCTTCTTTTAACACTGTGATTGCTTTTCACCTGTAACAGAAACACAACGATTGGGAACATGACTTAGCAACAGATTATTCAGATGACCCTAAAGGCATACAAAGCACACTACAGTTTGGGTTTTATTAAATGGACTAAAAACAGAACCCTATGGGAGATCCCGTGTCTTACACGCAATTGAACCTCTGCATTAACTTTGAGCGTAGACCTGCAGAATTTAAAAGGAATTTCCTCCCTGAACATCAAGTGCTTCCTTTCAAGTCACAAGCACTTACAATTAACAGTCAGCAATTTGGAAAACACATGCGTAAAGCATACTTCAGTTGATTACTCAGGAAGTACTAGAGTCATGGTCTTTCAACTTCAAATCTTATCAATTCATGTCTCTAAAGGTGAAACTTACATGTAACATTTGATATGATTAGAGATGATTATATCGTATGTGTGTCTACAGTCTTATTAGAAATAGTGGCTCATGAAGACTGACAGTGGGGCAGGGAGCATGCATAGCACAGGCATCTTACTCACACCCATGCTGAGCATCACTGACCTACATGCCACAGATGATACGAACTAAACGGTCTCTCGCCATTTGATATTTATTTCAGTCACTCAAGGTTTCCGTGGGGAAAGTTTTAAGAAGCAATTGTACCATTTGACCCAGCCATCCCATTACTGGGTATATACCCAAAGGACTATAAATCATGCTGCTATAAAGACACATGCACACGTATGTTTATTGCGGCATTATTCACGATAGCAAAGACTTGGAACCAACCCAAATGTCCAACAACGATAGACTGGATTAAGAAAATGTGGCACATATACACCATGGAATACTATGCAGCCCTAAAAAATGATGAGTTCATGTCCTTTGTAGGGACATGGATGAAACTGGAAATCATCATTCTCAGTAAACTATTGCAAGAACAAAAAACCAAACACCGCATATTCTCACTCATAGGTGGGAACTGAACAATGAGATCACATGGACAGAGGAAGGGGAATATCACACCCTGGGGACTGCTGTCGGGTGGGGGGAGGGGGGAGGGATAGCACTGGGAGATGTACCTAATGCTAGATGATGAGATAGTGGGTGCAGCGCACCAGCATGGCACATGTATACATATGTAACTAACCTGCACAACGTGCACATGTACCCTAAAACTTAAAGTATAATGATAAATAAATAAATAAATAAATAAATAAATAAATAAATAAATAAAAGAAAAAAAAAGAAGCAATTGTTCATTAAAAGCCAGAGAAACCCTGCCTGGGCAACACAGTGAGACCTCATCTCTACAAAAATGAAAACAAAAAAATGTAGTCAGGCACGGTGGCTTGTGCATGTAGTTCCAGCCACTCGGGAGGCTGAGGTGGGAGGACGGCTTTAGCCTGGGAGCCAGAAGTTGCAGTGAGCTGAAATTGCATCACTGCACTCCAGCCTGGGTGACACACTGAGACTCTGTCGCAAACAAACAAACAAACCAAGAAGAGGGAGAATTCACAATTTCACAAGATCTTACACTACGTATTCAGCTCTCCACACGGAAAAACTAGGATGAAGCAGAGGGCCGGCTCACTGTCTTACTGACAATGAAATCTCAATTCAGAGATTTTCAGATGACTCGGGCCAGGGTTTCATGATTTGTGATTAACAAACCATGCGAAGCAGATGATCTCTGTGTCCCACGCATTCTATGCAACAGGATCAGAGTATGAAAGAAACGGAATGCAAAATGGTTTTAAAATCTCTGACTTAAACTCACTATTTTCATAAGAACCAAAGATAGGTTTAGAAGGGAAAGGACTCACTCAGAATCTCGCCAAGGCTGTAAGAGCTGGTATTAGAACCCGCATGAGTGCTTCAGCATTTTTCACACCAAGTGATGGGTGTTACAAACGTGTTATGTATTGATTAAAAGCAGACCTTTACAAAAGCATCTGAAAATTGTGAGCTACTGGTTTAAGGATTTACACTCAAAACTTTTAATTCAACATAGCTTTGACTCAGTTTGTTTCCCTACCTGACAGTCTATCAGTCGGGTGCTGGGGCCTGAACTACGTTTCAAATAACCTTTATATAAGAACTCTGTTACTAAAGAGGCAGTATTGTTACCTCTCCGTTATTAAAAATATAATGCTGGGTCGGGCACGGTGGCTCTCGCCTGTAATCCCGGCAATTTCAATGGTCGAGGCAGGTGGATCACCTGAGGTCAGGAGTTCGGGAACAACCTGTGCAACATAACGAAACCCTGTCTCTACTAAAAATACAACAATTAGCTGGGCGCGGCGGAGCATGCCTGTAAGCCCGGCTCCGCCAGAGGCTCAGGCAGGAGAATCACTTGAACCCTGGAGACAGAATTTCCAGTGAGCCGAAATGGCACCACTGCACTCCAGCCTGGTCTTCAGAGCGAGACTCCGTCTCAAAAACATAGTAACAATTACAATATGATACTGTGGAAACAGACACCCTACAATGTGCATGCCTAATGGATTGCCTACCTTCTTCAGGCGTTTTCACCTCCTCTGGATTTGGCGGGTCCATCTCCTGCCCATCAGGACCATCTTCACACTCACACCCAGTCTGTGGGTGACCCTGTTCCTGGCTATGAGCTTCAGGCTTCGGCCCTTAAAAATAAAAAATACGTATCAATTTAAGCAGTAAAACATAAAGTATGAATAAGAAAATAATATTCATGCTCTCGGTATTATTATATAAAAGCTTTAGCTAACGTAATAATAAATGTGTTGATAAGAATCCCAGGAACATTATTTCAGGAGTCCATTAGCAGAAAACAGGAAAACAAGGTGTTCCAAATAATACCCTCTTCCTTTCCGAAGACTGCCCTCAGACAACTTTGCTGCCTCCTTTGCACTTCTCTCTTATTCTACTTCTGATTGTCCTTCTCGTATTAAATGACTCAAGGCTCAAATCCCGTCTCTCACAGCACTTACACTCCTAGCGCTTAGACTCTTACATGGCATGAGTAGCCACCAATAAACGCTGAGTGAGAAAACTCTTTTAAAAATACATGAAAAAGCCCAAACTGCAGAATATTCTGCAAACCAACTGGTCTATCCTCTCCAAAAATGTCCGTATCGTGAATGACAAGAAAAATTAAGGAAACATTACAGGTTAAAGGAAACTAAAAACACCTGAAAAGCACATGCAAGGTGTGATTCTGAACTGGACTCTGGATCAGAAAAAGAAATCCTATCAATAAAATTATCTGGGCCGGGCGTGGGGTCTCACGCCTGCAATCCAAACATTTTGGGATGCCAAGGTGGGCAGAGCAGGTGAGGCCAGAAGTTCAAGACCGCAGTGGCCGGCGCCTGTAGTCCCAGCTACACGGGAGGCTGAGGCATGAGAATCCCTAGAACCTGGGAGGTGTAGGTTGCAGTGAGCCGAGATCGCACTACTGCACTCCCACCTGGCCCACAGAGAGAGACTCCGTCTCAACAAAGAAAAAAAAAAGGAAAAAAGAAATTTTCTGGGGAACTGGCAAAATTTGAGTATGCACTCTGTATTAAATGACTCCATTTTCTCATTGTTAAATTTCCTGATTTTTATCTTTGTGCAGTGATGATCCAAGAAATGACTTTCTCTTTGTTCTGACGATATACACACCCTCAAGTACATAGGGTAAAGGACCATAATCCCTGAAACTTTATCGAGACAATTCACCATTAATAACAGTAAACATATATCCGTATGTGTGTGTGTGTGTGTGTGTGTGAGTGTGTGGGCAGCACGGTAAGAGACGGAGGGAAGAGATGTGAAACCTATGAAGCGAAAGCTACTAACAATTGGTGAATCCAGATGAACAGTATATGAGTTCATTGTACTATTCTTGCAAATTTTCTATGAATGTTATGTCTTGAAGATACATACAGTAAAAATTTAAAAGAATATATGATAACTGCACTGAACTTTAGGAAGAAAGGAATTTCCAATTGTGGTAAAAAATACAGATATCCTAAAATTTACCATCTTAACTATTTTTAAGTGGTACAGTTCACTAAGGAGTTACGTTTGCAACATTACCAGCCACTAGGCACAAAAACTTTGCATCTGTGTTTTCCTATACCATGAAAACTTTATTTATTTAATGAATTTATTTATGTGTTTATTTATTTATTCATTTATTTATTTATTAGCAATGAGGTCTCACTGTGTTTCCCAGGCTGGGCTTGAACTCCAGGACTCAAGCAATCCTCTCACCTCGGCCTCCCAAGTAGCTGGGACTATGAGTGCATGGCATTCAGCCCAGCTTTAGACCTTTCTCCTAAATGACAATCTAAGGATAAACCACAGGACATGTATAATGCTTATATTCAGCCCTAGAGTACCAACAGCAGTGTGCGTCAGCTGAGAAATCTGAAGTCTACCACGTGGGTAGGATTTCAGTTACAATTACAATGTCAGTTTCTGAAGGATTGATTAGCTGGATGGATTTGAGGACTATGGAAATCTTACAGTCACGACACCCATTACCTATTGGGGTAAAGAGAAACTTCACTTTGTTCAAATAAAGTTATATTTAGGTCCGAAGGTCCTAAAGGTAATATTCCATAAATGAACCCCGTGAAGAACAAAGCACCAAATATAACATTGTTTGTGAATCACAGAAAATATACTGTCCCCCGCACTGAGAATAAGGGAGTGGGCGGACAGCAATTAATGGGCATTGTTGTCAGTCAGATTCTAGGAACTTTTAACAGTGCATCCCTGGAATAATCCATGACCTCCGTTACATAAATGCTTCCTTTCAAAACATTTTATCTCGGAGAAATTATTTCCATCTCACGTTAATCTCAGGATAATTCCGTTTTTGCTTTTCTAACCATAAAAGGATTTAATCACCTCCTAAAGGCCGCTGAGAAAAATCACTAAACCAGCTACCTGTATGGCAGTATCCTCATTTATCCAGCTTTTATCAAACGTACCATATAAAAATATCAATCAAAGGAAACGGGGGCCAACATTCAGCGACTCGGTTTTTGGAGCTGCTCCTGCTCCTCTGAACTGGGTCTATTCTTGGGTCAGTACTAAGCTACCTTACAGTAAAGCCTTTTGAGTTTTAAGCATTTTCAGCAAAATCACTTCCTTCTTTCCAGCAACATACATGATAGGAAGACACAAACCTTAGAACACAGTACAAATGTTGTATTCACCAGTCAAGGGTTCTTGGATAACACACAATCCTGGCACCTCCATTCTCTCATTCATAAAGTCGAGAACTTTTATCATAGTGAGGGATTTGCCTAAGCTAAGCTGCAAACTACATAGCCTCCTCGCTTTTCCAGTCAATTTCAGGCATTCTTTCCATTGTTTTCTTTCCTCCTCTTCCTCCTATGTGACAATGCCTAACACACACACACGTGCACACACACACACGAACACACACACACGCACACACCAGCAGACGTTCTTCTTCCCTTTCCCTCACCTTGACCTGCAGATGCTCCCTCATCCTCTCCCTCCTGAGCAGCTGCAGGATCCTGACATTGAGTTGCTGGTTCCCCTTCTTCAGGTGTTGCTGGTTCCACTTCATCACTGAACTGCTCGGGCTGGGGAATACGTGTGGGTGTGCAAATAAAAAATAAGTTTCGTTATTGATACAAAATTTTACATATATACACAGAATACATAGCTATTTCTGGTCCTAACTAAGCCTAAAGACATTTCTCCAACTCTATGCTCTATGCCCAATAAGGTTACTCCACCCACAGGGAGGTTACTGTGAGAAAAGTGACGCACGAGGACTTTGGGGGCTATTATACTCTGTGTTGGAATACATGTGTACAATCTGTCATTAACAAACAAAGCCGGAGAAAGAAGTCATGGGCAAAAGCTGAAGAACACGAGAGGAAAAAAAAAATCCTCCAGAATCAATGTTTCCTTCATGAGATGCCATCCTCATTTTTTATGAGCAGGAAAGACCTTTATCAGCATTTCCACACTAATGCAACGACGCTATCACAAAAATTAATTTCTACTAATAGAAAACATCGAATTAACGTTTAAGCACTCACCCGCATAGGCCCAATCATTTCAGGAGGCTGTACATAGCGCCTTGGTCTAGGCCAATAATAGGTCGATCTTCCTCGCCAACTCATATTTCACACTGAAAACAGACAACCGTGATTGGGAACGTGCGCTCCAGAGGGCTGCTATATTCGATCACTTCCATGGATAAATGTTAACTTGCCGTTTTACTTTTGAAAATACTCTCAAAATAAGTCCCAGAGTTAAGCATACGTGTGTACGCTGTCTGAGTGCCTACAAAGCCACTTCTGCTGGCCAGGCTGGCAGAGCAATCATCTTAAGGCGTGTGGCAAAAGGCAGAGGACATTTTTTTCTAAATTTCTTTTGGACACGCGGTCTCGCTGTGTTGCTCAGGCTGGAGTGCAGCGGCGTGATCACAGCTCACTGCAGCCTCGACCTCCCGCTCAAGGGATCCTCCCACCTCAGTGTCCCCAGTAACTGGGAATACGTAGGCGAGCGCCACTGCGCCCCGCAGACAGAGGTCATTTCTGATGAGGTTTAGTTTCACAAGTGCACTCCCCACGAAAACCCTAGTGAATCACAATTCTCGTGATTGCTGCTTTGGGCACACTCCCACTTCCTAGAGCCATTCACCCCCACTCACAACAAGTTTGGTTGGACCGCACTGCCTCGCCCACTCCTTCCCACTGTTTTCGGACCTTCCATGGCGGAGGTGAGACCTTGCAGTGCTTCTCACTCGGGCGCTCCGCACTCCACACCGCTGAGGGGGCGCTCGCCAGGCCGCAGCCTTCCCAGGTGCCAGGCCCCTTCTTCACCGCCCGCCTCGCCCCCGCCGGGGGCCCCATTCAGGGAATCTGCCCTGTGTCGTCGGGGATCCCGGCACCTCGGGACTTCCATCCCCCCAACAGCACTCACCCCGTCTTCACCTGAGCCCCTGACCGCCTCCCCTCCACGGCCCACCTTCCTCCCCGTCCAGGCCCCTTCACGACCACGAAGCCGCCGGTGGCCTCGCAGCCTGTGAAGGGAAGGAGGACGACCTCGTGGCCCTTCTCCCTCGGAGGCCACAGACCAGGAAGCGGGACCCGCCTGACCCACCCGAGGCCCTCTCCACCCTCACTCACACTTCAGCCCCCGGGATGACTGGCCTGCACACCTACCAGATGAATCTCAGTAGAGGAAAAAGAGTCCGGACGGCAGGAACCACACAGCACTGCCTCACAGCTCCCTGGCGTTCTTCACGTGGGCGAAGGGGCCGGGCAGAAGACGCCCAGTGAACATGCGCACTGAGGCGGGAGCCCAGGGAGCATGCGCGGCTGTGGGCTGGGGAGGGCTGCCGTTCCCAGCGCCACGCCCCAAACCCTCCATGCCCATCCTCATTGAGGATAAGGGAATCCCACCTCCCTCTGCTGTTTCCTATGCCTCTGGGACTCAAGTAGTGCTCCCCTCAAAACTCACCCCATCTTCAACTGAACCCCACCCCCAACCCAGGGCCCTCTCTTGCCCCGGACCCACCATGGGGACAAGGACCACTGTGACTGGCTGGGAAGACAGGTAAACCACCTGCGAAAACAGAAATAGCAACCTATCCCAAAAGGAAATTGTTCAATGTGAACAAGTCAGAGAAAGAGACTGAAAGAAAAATGAATAGAATCGCTAGGACCCGTAAGAAAATGCTAAAACGATATCTATCATTTGTAGCATCAGAATCGCAGAGGGTGAAGTGACAGTATTAGGGAAACAGGACAGCCAGAGTGACACCACGTGAAAATATACTCCGTCTTGAAAGCAGCAAGATACATAGTCCTACCAGTCACAACCCATGGTCCTAAGATGTTTGGAGTTGAGAAAACAGATGAAAGGTACCTCCAAGGACATGCTCCCACAGCAGCGGAAAGTGCACGGTTCCCAACACCCATTAACAATATATGCTTTCAACAGAATTATGCTTTCATGGACTTACACACTGGTAAGTCAAGGACAGTTTTCTTTAAATCAATAGAATGATAAAAGTCATCATGCTCTTAGCCCACCCGCACAAAGGCACAGATTAACTTTAGTCTTTATATAGATAAGACCCCTATATAAGAAAAACCAGACCAGGCCAAGGCTCACGCCTGTAATCCTAGTATTTTGGGAGGCTGAGCTGGCCAGATCACCTGAGCTCAGGACTTCGAGACCAGCCTAAGCAACATCAGAAAATCTCATCACTACAAAAAACAAACAAAAAACCATCGAAAAATTAGCTGGGCATGGTGGCATGTACCTATACTCACAGCTCCTCAGGAGGCTGAGGTGGGAGGCGCGCTTGAGCCCAGGAGGTCAAGGCTGCAGCGAGCTCTGATAACACCACCGCACTCCAGCCTCGGTGACAGAGTGAGACGCTGTCTCAAGTTTTAATAATCGAACCTAAAAACGTACAAATTTATCAATCGAATTCACTATATTAACACATGAATGGGAAAAAACGCTGTGGTAATCGAAATAGATGCACTGTTTGATGAAAATCAACATATATTCAAATGAATACTCTCAGCAAATTTGGAACAGAATGCAATGACTCACTCTGATAAAGTCCGTCTACAAAAAAAGGAGAGTGAATAGGATGGCGAAATGTTGAAATTTTTCGGTTTCTCATCAGGGAGAAGACAAGGATGTCCACTGTCACCATTGTAACGGGTGGGTCTGCACAATGCCATAAAATCAGAAAAGGAAATAAAACTCTTTACAATGCCAACGACGGGCCCGCCACGGTGGCCCACGCCAGTAATCCCAGCACTGTGGGAGGTGAGGTGGGTGCATCACTTGCACTCAAAAGTTCAACAACAGCCCGGGAAACATGGCAAAACCCCGTCTCTACAAAAAAATACAAAAGGGAAAAGAAAAAAATATGGCGGAAACAAAACTGCTCTTATTCCAGGATGATATGTTTCTGTATATTGAAGACTGAAAACGACCTAGAAGTAAACTTTAGAATTCACAAGCATATTTCACAAGGCCGCTGGATAGAAAACCAATATGTAAGAATTATGTCTCCACCGGGCACGGAGGCTCATGCCTGTAATCCCAGCACTTTGGGAGGCCAAGGCAGGTGAATCACGAGGTCAGGAGTTCAAGAGCACCCCGGCCAAGATGGCGAAAGCCCATCTCTAGTAAAAACACAAAACTTAGCCAGGCGTGCTGGTGGGTGCCTATAATCCCAGCTACTCGGGAGGCTGAGGCAGACAATTGCTTGAATCCGGGAGGCGGGGTTGCAGTGAGCAGAGATCGCGCCACTGCACTCCAGCCTGGGCGACAGAGCAAGACTCCGTCTCAAAAGAGGACAAAGAAAAAAAGAAAAAAAAAGAACGATGTCTCTACATACCAGCTCAGAGAGTTACAATACACGATTTCAAAGAATGATACATATTTCACAGCATCAAAAAGCTAGAAATAAACTTCACAAAAGATGCGCAAGACTTCTTTGCAGAAGGCTGTAAAGCTTTATTGGGAGAATTTTAATGAACAAATTTCCAACATAGGAGCAGCCTGCATCATTTCAACGTGTCTTCTTTTAACACTGTGATTGCTTTTCACCTGTAACAGAAACACAACGATTGGGAACATGACTTAGCAACAGATTATTCAGATGACCCTAAAGGCATACAAAGCACACTACACTTTGGGTTTTATTAAATGGACTAAAAACAGAACCCTATGGGTGATCCCGTGTCTTACACGCAATTGAACCTCTGCATTAACTTTGAGCGTAGACCTGCAGAATTTAAAAGGAATTTCCTCCCTGAACATCAAGTGCTTCCTTTCAAGTCACAAGCACTTACAATTAACAGTCAGCAATTTGGAAAACACATGTGTAAAGCATACTTCAGTTGATTACTCAGGAAGTACTAGAGTCATGGTCTTTCAACTTCAAATCTTATCAATTCATGTCTCTAAAGGTGAAACTTACATGTAACATTTGATATGATTAGAGATGATTATATCGTATGTGTGTCTACAGTCTTATTAGAAATAGTGGCTCATGAAGACTGACAGTGGGGCAGGGAGCATGCATAGCACAGGCATCTTACTCACACCCATGCTGAGCATCACTGACCTACATGCCACAGATGATACGAACTAAACGGTCTCTCGCCATTTGATATTTATTTCAGTCACTCAAGGTTTCCGTGGGGAAAGTTTTAAGAAGCAATTGTACCATTTGACCCAGCCATCCCATTACTGGGTATATACCCAAAGGACTATAAATCATGCTGCTATAAAGACACATGCACACGTATGTTTATTGCGGCATTATTCACGATAGCAAAGACTTGGAACCAACCCAAATGTCCAACAACGATAGACTGGATTAAGAAAATGTGGCACATATACACCATGGAATACTATGCAGCCCTAAAAAATGATGAGTTCATGTCCTTTGTAGGGACATGGATGAAACTGGAAATCATCATTCTCAGTAAACTATTGCAAGAACAAAAAACCAAACACCGCATATTCTCACTCATAGGTGGGAACTGAACAATGAGATCACATGGACAGAGGAAGGGGAATATCACACCCTGGGGACTGTTGTCGGGTGGGGGGAGGGGGGAGGGATAGCACTGGGAGATGTACCTAATGCTAGATGATGAGATAGTGGGTGCAGCGCACCAGCATGGCACATGTATACATATGTAACTAACCTGCACAACGTGCACATGTACCCTAAAACTTAAAGTATAATGATAAATAAATAAATAAATAAATAAATAAATAAATAAATAAATAAAAGAAAAAAAAAGAAGCAATTGTTCATTAAAAGCCAGAGAAACCCTGCCTGGGCAACACAGTGAGACCTCATCTCTACAAAAATGAAAACAAAAAAATGTAGTCAGGCACGGTGGCTTGTGCATGTAGTTCCAGCCACTCGGGAGGCTGAGGTGGGAGGACGGCTTTAGCCTGGGAGCCAGAAGTTGCAGTGAGCTGAAATTGCATCACTGCACTCCAGCCTGGGTGACACACTGAGACTCTGTCGCAAACAAACAAACAAACCAAGAAGAGGGAGAATTCACAATTTCACAAGATCTTACACTACGTATTCAGCTCTCCACACGGAAAAACTAGGATGAAGCAGAGGGCCCGCTCACTGTCTTACTGACAATGAAATCTCAATTCAGAGATTTTCAGATGACTCGGGCCAGGGTTTCATGATTTGTGATTAACAAACCATGCGAAGCAGATGATCTCTGTGTCCCACGCATTCTATGCAACAGGATCAGAGTATGAAAGAAACGGAATGCAAAATGGTTTTAAAATCTCTGACTTAAACTCACTATTTTCATAAGAACCAAAGATAGGTTTAGAAGGGAAAGGACTCACTCAGAATCTCGCCAAGGCTGTAAGAGCTGGTATTAGAACCCGCATGAGTGCTTCAGCATTTTTCACACCAAGTGATGGGTGTTACAAACGTGTTATGTATTGATTAAAAGCAGACCTTTACAAAAGCATCTGAAAATTGTGAGCTACTGGTTTAAGGATTTACACTCAAAACTTTTAATTCAACATAGCTTTGACTCAGTTTGTTTCCCTACCTGACAGTCTATCAGTCGGGTGCTGGGGCCTGAACTACGTTTCAAATAACCTTTATATAAGAACTCTGTTACTAAAGAGGCAGTATTGTTACCTCTCCGTTATTACAAATATAATGCTGGGTCGGGCACGGTGGCTCTCGCCTGTAATCCCGGCAATTTCAATGGTCGAGGCAGGTGGATCACCTGAGGTCAGGAGTTCGGGAACAACCTGTGCAACATAACGAAACCCTGTCTCTACTAAAAATACAACAATTAGCTGGGCGCGGCGGAGCATGCCTGTAAGCCCGGCTCCGCCAGAGGCTCAGGCAGGAGAATCACTTGAACCCTGGAGACAGAATTTCCAGTGAGCCGAAATGGCACCACTGCACTCCAGCCTGGTCTTCAGAGCGAGACTCCGTCTCAAAAACATAGTAACAATTACAATATGATACTGTGGAAACAGACACCCTACAATGTGCATGCCTAATGGATTGCCTACCTTCTTCAGGCGTTTTCACCTCCTCTGGATTTGGCGGGTCCATCTCCTGCCCATCAGGACCATCTTCACACTCACACCCAGTCTGTGGGTGACCCTGTTCCTGGCTATGAGCTTCAGGCTTCGGCCCTTAAAAATAAAAAATACGTATCAATTTAAGCAGTAAAACATAAAGTATGAATAAGAAAATAATATTCATGCTCTCGGTATTATTATATAAAAGCTTTAGCTAACGTAATACTAAATGTGTTGATAAGAATCCCAGGAACATTATTTCAGGAGTCCATTAGCAGAAAACAGGAAAACAAGGTGTTCCAAATAATACCCTCTTCCTTTCCGAAGACTGCCCTCAGACAACTTTGCTGCCTCCTTTGCACTTCTCTCTTATTCTACTTCTGATTGTCCTTCTCGTATTAAATGACTCAAGGCTCAAATCCCGTCTCTCACAGCACTTACACTCCTAGCGCTTAGACTCTTACATGGCATGAGTAGCCACCAATAAACGCTGAGTGAGAAAACTCTTTTAAAAATACATGAAAAAGCCCAAACTGCAGAATATTCTGCAAACCAACTGGTCTATCCTCTCCAAAAATGTCCGTATCGTGAATGACAAGAAAAATTAAGGAAACATTACAGGTTAAAGGAAACTAAAAACACCTGAAAAGCACATGCAAGGTGTGATTCTGAACTGGACTCTGGATCAGAAAAAGAAATCCTATCAATAAAATTATCTGGGCCGGGCGTGGGGTCTCACGCCTGCAATCCAAACATTTTGGGATGCCAAGGTGGGCAGAGCAGGTGAGGCCAGAAGTTCAAGACCGCAGTGGCCGGCGCCTGTAGTCCCAGCTACACGGGAGGCTGAGGCATGAGAATCCCTAGAACCTGGGAGGTGTAGGTTGCAGTGAGCCGAGATCGCACTACTGCACTCCCACCTGGCCCACAGAGAGAGACTCCGTCTCAACAAAGAAAAAAAAAAGGAAAAAAGAAATTTTCTGGGGAACTGGCAAAATTTGAGTATGCACTCTGTATTAAATGACTCCATTTTCTCATTGTTAAATTTCCTGATTTTTATCTTTGTGCAGTGATGATCCAAGAAATGACTTTCTCTTTGTTCTGACGATATACACACCCTCAAGTACATAGGGTAAAGGACCATAATCCCTGAAACTTTATCGAGACAATTCACCATTAATAACAGTAAACATATATCCGTATGTGTGTGTGTGTGTGTGTGTGTGAGTGTGTGGGCAGCACGGTAAGAGACGGAGGGAAGAGATGTGAAACCTATGAAGCGAAAGCTACTAACAATTGGTGAATCCAGATGAACAGTATATGAGTTCATTGTACTATTCTTGCAAATTTTCTATGAATGTTATGTCTTGAAGATACATACAGTAAAAATTTAAAAGAATATATGATAACTGCACTGAACTTTAGGAAGAAAGGAATTTCCAATTGTGGTAAAAAATACAGATATCCTAAAATTTACCATCTTAACTATTTTTAAGTGGTACAGTTCACTAAGGAGTTACGTTTGCAACATTACCAGCCACTAGGCACAAAAACTTTGCATCTGTGTTTTCCTATACCATGAAAACTTTATTTATTTAATGAATTTATTTATGTGTTTATTTATTTATTCATTTATTTATTTATTAGCAATGAGGTCTCACTGTGTTTCCCAGGCTGGGCTTGAACTCCAGGACTCAAGCAATCCTCTCACCTCGGCCTCCCAAGTAGCTGGGACTATGAGTGCATGGCATTCAGCCCAGCTTTAGACCTTTCTCCTAAATGACAATCTAAGGATAAACCACAGGACATGTATAATGCTTATATTCAGCCCTAGAGTACCAACAGCAGTGTGCGTCAGCTGAGAAATCTGAAGTCTACCACGTGGGTAGGATTTCAGTTACAATTACAATGTCAGTTTCTGAAGGATTGATTAGCTGGATGGATTTGAGGACTATGGAAATCTTACAGTCACGACACCCATTACCTATTGGGGTAAAGAGAAACTTCACTTTGTTCAAATAAAGTTATATTTAGGTCCGAAGGTCCTAAAGGTAATATTCCATAAATGAACCCCGTGAAGAACAAAGCACCAAATATAACATTGTTTGTGAATCACAGAAAATATACTGTCCCCCGCACTGAGAATAAGGGAGTGGGCGGACAGCAATTAATGGGCATTGTTGTCAGTCAGATTCTAGGAACTTTTAACAGTGCATCCCTGGAATAATCCATGACCTCCGTTACATAAATGCTTCCTTTCAAAACATTTTATCTCGGAGAAATTATTTCCATCTCACGTTAATCTCAGGATAATTCCGTTTTTGCTTTTCTAACCATAAAAGGATTTAATCACCTCCTAAAGGCCGCTGAGAAAAATCACTAAACCAGCTACCTGTATGGCAGTATCCTCATTTATCCAGCTTTTATCAAACGTACCATATAAAAATATCAATCAAAGGAAACGGGGGCCAACATTCAGCGACTCGGTTTTTGGAGCTGCTCCTGCTCCTCTGAACTGGGTCTATTCTTGGGTCAGTACTAAGCTACCTTACAGTAAAGCCTTTTGAGTTTTAAGCATTTTCAGCAAAATCACTTCCTTCTTTCCAGCAACATACATGATAGGAAGACACAAACCTTAGAACACAGTACAAATGTTGTATTCACCAGTCAAGGGTTCTTGGATAACACACAATCCTGGCACCTCCATTCTCTCATTCATAAAGTCGAGAACTTTTATCATAGTGAGGGATTTGCCTAAGCTAAGCTGCAAACTACATAGCCTCCTCGCTTTTCCAGTCAATTTCAGGCATTCTTTCCATTGTTTTCTTTCCTCCTCTTCCTCCTATGTGACAATGCCTAACACACACACACGTGCACACACACACACGAACACACACACACGCACACACCAGCAGACGTTCTTCTTCCCTTTCCCTCACCTTGACCTGCAGATGCTCCCTCATCCTCTCCCTCCTGAGCAGCTGCAGGATCCTGACATTGAGTTGCTGGTTCCCCTTCTTCAGGTGTTGCTGGTTCCACTTCATCACTGAACTGCTCGGGCTGGGGAATACGTGTGGGTGTGCAAATAGAAAATAAGTTTCGTTATTGATACAAAATTTTACATATATACACAGAATACATAGCTATTTCTGGTCCTAACTAAGCCTAAAGACATTTCTCCAACTCTATGCTCTATGCCCAATAAGGTTACTCCACCCACAGGGAGGTTACTGTGAGAAAAGTGACGCACGAGGACTTTGGGGGCTATTATACTCTGTGTTGGAATACATGTGTACAATCTGTCATTAACAAACAAAGCCGGAGAAAGAAGTCATGGGCAAAAGCTGAAGAACACGAGAGGAAAAAAAAAATCCTCCAGAATCAATGTTTCCTTCATGAGATGCCATCCTCATTTTTTATGAGCAGGAAAGACCTTTATCAGCATTTCCACACTAATGCAACGACGCTATCACAAAAATTAATTTCTACTAATAGAAAACATCGAATTAACGTTTAAGCACTCACCCGCATAGGCCCAATCATTTCAGGAGGCTGTACATAGCGCCTTGGTCTAGGCCAATAATAGGTCGATCTTCCTCGCCAACTCATATTTCACACTGAAAACAGACAACCGTGATTGGGAACGTGCGCTCCAGAGGGCTGCTATATTCGATCACTTCCATGGATAAATGTTAACTTGCCGTTTTACTTTTGAAAATACTCTCAAAATAAGTCCCAGAGTTAAGCATACGTGTGTACGCTGTCTGAGTGCCTACAAAGCCACTTCTGCTGGCCAGGCTGGCAGAGCAATCATCTTAAGGCGTGTGGCAAAAGGCAGAGGACATTTTTTTCTAAATTTCTTTTGGACACGCGGTCTCGCTGTGTTGCTCAGGCTGGAGTGCAGCGGCGTGATCACAGCTCACTGCAGCCTCGACCTCCCGCTCAAGGGATCCTCCCACCTCAGTGTCCCCAGTAACTGGGAATACGTAGGCGAGCGCCACTGCGCCCCGCAGACAGAGGTCATTTCTGATGAGGTTTAGTTTCACAAGTGCACTCCCCACGAAAACCCTAGTGAATCACAATTCTCGTGATTGCTGCTTTGGGCACACTCCCACTTCCTAGAGCCATTCACCCCCACTCACAACAAGTTTGGTTGGACCGCACTGCCTCGCCCACTCCTTCCCACTGTTTTCGGACCTTCCATGGCGGAGGTGAGACCTTGCAGTGCTTCTCACTCGGGCGCTCCGCACTCCACACCGCTGAGGGGGCACTCGCCAGGCCGCAGCCTTCCCAGGTGCCAGGCCCCTTCTTCACCGCCCGCCTCGCCCCCGCCGGGGGCCCCATTCAGGGAATCTGCCCTGTGTCGTCGGGGATCCCGGCACCTCGGGACTTCCATCCCCCCAACAGCACTCACCCCGTCTTCACCTGAGCCCCTGACCGCCTCCCCTCCACGGCCCACCTTCCTCCCCGTCCAGGCCCCTTCACGACCACGAAGCCGCCGGTGGCCTCGCAGCCTGTGAAGGGAAGGAGGACGACCTCGTGGCCCTTCTCCCTCGGAGGCCACAGACCAGGAAGCGGGACCCGCCTGACCCACCCGAGGCCCTCTCCACCCTCACTCACACTTCAGCCCCCGGGATGACTGGCCTGCACACCTACCAGATGAATCTCAGTAGAGGAAAAAGAGTCCGGACGGCAGGAACCACACAGCACTGCCTCACAGCTCCCTGGCGTTCTTCACGTGGGCGAAGGGGCCGGGCAGAAGACGCCCAGTGAACATGCGCACTGAGGCGGGAGCCCAGGGAGCATGCGCGGCTGTGGGCTGGGGAGGGCTGCCGTTCCCAGCGCCACGCCCCAAACCCTCCATGCCCATCCTCATTGAGGATAAGGGAATCCCACCTCCCTCTGCTGTTTCCTATGCCTCTGGGACTCAAGTAGTGCTCCCCTCAAAACTCACCCCATCTTCAACTGAACCCCACCCCCAACCCAGGGCCCTCTCTTGCCCCGGACCCACCATGGGGACAAGGACCACTGTGACTGGCTGGGAAGACAGGTAAACCACCTGCGAAAACAGAAATAGCAACCTATCCCAAAAGGAAATTGTTCAATGTGAACAAGTCAGAGAAAGAGACTGAAAGAAAAATGAATAGAATCGCTAGGACCCGTAAGAAAATGCTAAAACGATATCTATCATTTGTAGCATCAGAATCGCAGAGGGTGAAGTGACAGTATTAGGGAAACAGGACAGCCAGAGTGACACCACGTGAAAATATACTCCGTCTTGAAAGCAGCAAGATACATAGTCCTACCAGTCACAACCCATGGTCCTAAGATGTTTGGAGTTGAGAAAACAGATGAAAGGTACCTCCAAGGACATGCTCCCACAGCAGCGGAAAGTGCACGGTTCCCAACACCCATTAACAATATATGCTTTCAACAGAATTATGCTTTCATGGACTTACACACTGGTAAGTCAAGGACAGTTTTCTTTAAATCAATAGAATGATAAAAGTCATCATGCTCTTAGCCCACCCGCACAAAGGCACAGATTAACTTTAGTCTTTATATAGATAAGACCCCTATATAAGAAAAACCAGACCAGGCCAAGGCTCACGCCTGTAATCCTAGTATTTTGGGAGGCTGAGCTGGCCAGATCACCTGAGCTCAGGACTTCGAGACCAGCCTAAGCAACATCAGAAAATCTCATCACTACAAAAAACAAACAAAAAACCATCGAAAAATTAGCTGGGCATGGTGGCATGTACCTATACTCACAGCTCCTCAGGAGGCTGAGGTGGGAGGCGCGCTTGAGCCCAGGAGGTCAAGGCTGCAGCGAGCTCTGATAACACCACCGCACTCCAGCCTCGGTGACAGAGTGAGACGCTGTCTCAAGTTTTAATAATCGAACCTAAAAACGTACAAATTTATCAATCGAATTCACTATATTAACACATGAATGGGAAAAAACGCTGTGGTAATCGAAATAGATGCACTGTTTGATGAAAATCAACATATATTCAAATGAATACTCTCAGCAAATTTGGAACAGAATGCAATGACTCACTCTGATAAAGTCCGTCTACAAAAAAAGGAGAGTGAATAGGATGGCGAAATGTTGAAATTTTTCGGTTTCTCATCAGGGAGAAGACAAGGATGTCCACTGTCACCATTGTAACGGGTGAGTCTGCACAATGCCATAAAATCAGAAAAGGAAATAAAACTCTTTACAATGCCAACGACGGGCCCGCCACGGTGGCCCACGCCAGTAATCCCAGCACTGTGGGAGGTGAGGTGGGTGCATCACTTGCACTCAAAAGTTCAACAACAGCCCGGGAAACATGGCAAAACCCCGTCTCTACAAAAAAATACAAAAGGGAAAAGAAAAAAATATGGCGGAAACAAAACTGCTCTTATTCCAGGATGATATGTTTCTGTATATTGAAGACTGAAAACGACCTAGAAGTAAACTTTAGAATTCACAAGCATATTTCACAAGGCCGCTGGATAGAAAACCAATATGTAAGAATTATGTCTCCACCGGGCACGGAGGCTCATGCCTGTAATCCCAGCACTTTGGGAGGCCAAGGCAGGTGAATCACGAGGTCAGGAGTTCAAGAGCACCCCGGCCAAGATGGCGAAAGCCCATCTCTAGTAAAAACACAAAACTTAGCCAGGCGTGCTGGTGGGTGCCTATAATCCCAGCTACTCGGGAGGCTGAGGCAGACAATTGCTTGAATCCGGGAGGCGGGGTTGCAGTGAGCAGAGATCGCGCCACTGCACTCCAGCCTGGGCGACAGAGCAAGACTCCGTCTCAAAAGAGGACAAAGAAAAAAAGAAAAAAAAAGAACGATGTCTCTACATACCAGCTCAGAGAGTTACAATACACGATTTCAAAGAATGATACATATTTCACAGCATCAAAAAGCTAGAAATAAACTTCACAAAAGATGCGCAAGACTTCTTTGCAGAAGGCTGTAAAGCTTTATTGGGAGAATTTTAATGAACAAATTTCCAACATAGGAGCAGCCTGCATCATTTCAACGTGTCTTCTTTTAACACTGTGATTGCTTTTCACCTGTAACAGAAACACAACGATTGGGAACATGACTTAGCAACAGATTATTCAGATGACCCTAAAGGCATACAAAGCACACTACAGTTTGGGTTTTATTAAATGGACTAAAAACAGAACCCTATGGGAGATCCCGTGTCTTACACGCAATTGAACCTCTGCATTAACTTTGAGCGTAGACCTGCAGAATTTAAAAGGAATTTCCTCCCTGAACATCAAGTGCTTCCTTTCAAGTCACAAGCACTTACAATTAACAGTCAGCAATTTGGAAAACACATGTGTAAAGCATACTTCAGTTGATTACTCAGGAAGTACTAGAGTCATGGTCTTTCAACTTCAAATCTTATCAATTCATGTCTCTAAAGGTGAAACTTACATGTAACATTTGATATGATTAGAGATGATTATATCGTATGTGTGTCTACAGTCTTATTAGAAATAGTGGCTCATGAAGACTGACAGTGGGGCAGGGAGCATGCATAGCACAGGCATCTTACTCACACCCATGCTGAGCATCACTGACCTACATGCCACAGATGATACGAACTAAACGGTCTCTCGCCATTTGATATTTATTTCAGTCACTCAAGGTTTCCGTGGGGAAAGTTTTAAGAAGCAATTGTACCATTTGACCCAGCCATCCCATTACTGGGTATATACCCAAAGGACTATAAATCATGCTGCTATAAAGACACATGCACACGTATGTTTATTGCGGCATTATTCACGATAGCAAAGACTTGGAACCAACCCAAATGTCCAACAACGATAGACTGGATTAAGAAAATGTGGCACATATACACCATGGAATACTATGCAGCCCTAAAAAATGATGAGTTCATGTCCTTTGTAGGGACATGGATGAAACTGGAAATCATCATTCTCAGTAAACTATTGCAAGAACAAAAAACCAAACACCGCATATTCTCACTCATAGGTGGGAACTGAACAATGAGATCACATGGACAGAGGAAGGGGAATATCACACCCTGGGGACTGTTGTCGGGTGGGGGGAGGGGGGAGGGATAGCACTGGGAGATGTACCTAATGCTAGATGATGAGATAGTGGGTGCAGCGCACCAGCATGGCACATGTATACATATGTAACTAACCTGCACAACGTGCACATGTACCCTAAAACTTAAAGTATAATGATAAATAAATAAATAAATAAATAAATAAATAATAAATAAATAAAAGAAAAAAAAAGAAGCAATTGTTCATTAAAAGCCAGAGAAACCCTGCCTGGGCAACACAGTGAGACCTCATCTCTACAAAAATGAAAACAAAAAAATGTAGTCAGGCACGGTGGCTTGTGCATGTAGTTCCAGCCACTCGGGAGGCTGAGGTGGGAGGACGGCTTTAGCCTGGGAGCCAGAAGTTGCAGTGAGCTGAAATTGCATCACTGCACTCCAGCCTGGGTGACACACTGAGACTCTGTCGCAAACAAACAAACAAACCAAGAAGAGGGAGAATT